>NC_000005.10:151555880-151856198 GCF_000001405.40 Homo sapiens | reverse complement strand
AGATTACTGTAATAACCCAAAATATTCAATGAAGGACTTTGCTTTTAGAAAATGCATTAGAAATATAACTTCCCTTACATTGCCTAACTGAGGCCCATGTTTTGGAGCCAGCAGCATTCTCCAAAGGGTCATTGTTCCATGTCTATGGTAAATGTGAACGGAGGAGAAATGGCTTGAATAAGTCATGGTCCTTGAACCCACAAGATGTTCACTCCAGCAGGGGAGGTAAACAACTGACTGCACAAATAACTCTACTAAAGGGCGGCAAGTGATTGGTGTGTTGTTAGAAGTACAAAGCACTGTGGCCTCGTGGCAGAAAGCGTGCTTCCTTCTAATGGAGAAGGAAAGAGGTTATTGGAGTAGACTTTATGGAGGACTGGGATTTTAACAGATTGGATAGCAGACTCCTTTGATTGCAAACAGAGAAACCAATCTGACTAACTTAAAAATACAGAAACCAAGGCAGAGCACTTAGGCAACAGGAACTAATGGACCATTTCCTTGGAGCACTACCCGTGAGGGGAATCAGCACAAACCAATTCTGAACCTCTTGTTACTTCACTCAATAGTTGCTGAAGTGCTGGGGCACAGTCTGGCCTAGCTTGAGTCACCTTTTCACACTTTCCCCCGTCTACCCCAGCCAGTGGTTAGTCCCACCAAGAGAGCGTGCAATAGAGTTGTTCCACAGAGGAGTATCTGCTGTGAGCAAAAGAGGAGGCTGGCAAGGATGGTGTGCAGGTGAAAATAGCAGATGTCCACTGCATTTCACCATGGGAGTGAGAGGGGGAACAATAGGACAAACTAATGCAGAAGGTTGGGAAGAGAGGTGGAAGGGCTCTGATGTAGATATAAATAATTAACCAGTTTTTTACCTCTTTTGAGAGGAAAAAAAAGGAACCTGGTCTCACAAGTTCCATCAAGTGTCTGATGTCTCTCTCAGTCTCTAACCCTAACCAATCCTGACATGCTTCAAACAAGTGCTTCTGAGTGGTGACTGCTCCTTCTTCTGATCCCATCCCAGTTGGATATACGATGAATGACCTCATCTTTGAGTGGCAGGAACAGGGAGCCGTGCAGGTAGCAGATGGACTAACTCTGCCCCAGTTTATCTTGAAGGAAGAGAAGGACTTGAGATACTGCACCAAGCACTACAACACAGGTAGGTACAAGGGCCACCCTCCTCAGATCCCACCCCCCAACCAGGACCAGAGGTCATTTCAGACACATTCAATCATTGATCCAACAGATCTTATGAAGATTACCTAGTGGTTAAGAGAATAGGTTTTGAAACAAAAATGTGGCTCTGACATTTTCTTCCTGTGAGTCCTGGAGTGAGTAACTTAAGCTTGGGCCATACCTAATTACGAGGGAAGCTGGTAAATACAGTCATTATTCCAGGTAGCAGAATGGATCCTATTTCTAAGGCAGAAGTAAAGAACTGATATTGGGAAGACACCTAGTAGTCTCTGTCACAGATGAACTGGCATTTCCAATAGAGCAAAAGTAGAGAGAATGCTCACAATAGACCTCAGCAAGAGGGAGCTGAGAGGTGTCACTGAAGGTTAGTAAATAGCTAGAAAGGGTTCACTTGCCTGTGAGCTATGAGAGGTCAGAGAAGCCACGATGGTGTAGCTTAGCTCTCTATTTCCCATGCTTTTGTTGGAAGATTGAATATCTGGATGACTGGGGCCAGATCAAGACTGGCTTTGCGTATCCTGTCTCAGGCTGAGAACAAGCTCATAAAAGCATGGAAGAAGAAAGTCAGTCAATTGGTATAACAGCTGGAAGGATGGGTAGGAAGCTGGGGTCTGAACCCAGATGCACAGAGTAGAGAGGCATGGCAAGCCAGCAAGAGGAGGAGGTGAAAGAGAGAGATTGAGAGAAACCATCGTAGGCTCTGGTGTAAGTAGAAAGCCCAGTGAAGGTACAGGCAGCCTGGGCTGCAGTCTGTCTTGGGTAGCTGCCTCTTTCTGAGTCACCTCAGAGATGTTTCAGAACCTCCAAAGATACTCTCTTTGTTCCTTGAGCCATAATGGTATTCCCATAGCAGCCATGAAAGCAATGACTCCCAAGTCAAATCACCACAACTGACCCTCACATACCAAGTCTTTTACTCTTTATACAGCATTTTCTTTTCTTTTTAGCTTTCTTAAGGTATAACTGACCAATAACAATTGCATATATCGAAGGTATGCAACGTGATGTTCTGATATACATATGCATTGTGAAATAATTACCACACTCAAGCTAAGTAACATATCCATCAACTCACATACTTCTCATTGTGTGTGTGTGTATGTGTGTGTGTCTAGTAAGAACACTTTAAGATCTACCCTCTTAAAGACCTAAATTTAAGATTAAGCTAAAATGATAAAACTTCTAGAAGACATGAGGACAAATCTTCCTAATCTTAGATTTGGCAATAGATTCCTAGATATAACACCAAAAACACAAGCAATAATGAAAAAACAATAGATAGATTTGACTTCATAAATATTAAAAGTGCATCAAAAGACACTATCAAGATAGTGAAGATAAAGAACCCACAGAATGGGAGAAAATACTTGCAAATCATAAATCTGATGGGGTCAAATATTCAAAATATATTTAAAAACTCTTAAAATGTAAGAAAAAGAAAAAAAAGGCCAGGCATGGTGGCTCATGCCTGTAATCCCAGCACTTTGGGAGGTCAAGGCGGGTGGATGACTTGAGGCCAGGAGTTTTAGACCAGCCTAACCAACATGGTGAAACCCTGTCTCTACTGAAAATACAAAAAAAAAAAAAAATTAGTTGGGCATGGTGGCACATACCTGTAATCCCAGCTACTTTGGAGACTGAGACAGGAGATCCCTTGAACCCAGGAGACAGAGGCTGCAGTGAGCTGAGATCACGCCACTGCACTCCAGCCTGGATGACAGAGCAAGACTCTATCTCAAAAAAGAAAAAAAAATAAGTAAAAAGGAGATCTATCCTCTTAGCAAATTTCAAGCACACAGGACAGCACTGTTAATTCTAGTCACATTGCTGTACATTAGATCTCCAGAACTTATTCATCTTGCACAACTGAAATTCTGTACCCTTTGACCAACATCTCCCAATTTCCCCCATCCCTCAGCCTCTAGCAACCACCATGCTACTTTTGGCTTCTGTAAGTATGACTATTTTAGATTCCACATATAAGTGAGATCATACAATATATGTCTTTCTGTGTCTGGCTTATTTCACTTAATATAAAAATGTCCTCCATCTTCATTCACATTGTCATAAATGGCAGAATTTCCTTCTTTTTTAAGGCTGAATAATGTTTCATTTTCTTTATCTATTCATCCATTGAGAAATATATCATGGTCCAGCAATCCCACTTCTAGATACATATCCAAAGGAAATGAAATCAGTACCTCAAAGACATATCTGCACTCCCATGTTCACTGCAGTAATATTCACAATAGCCAAGATATGGAAACAACCTAAATGTACACAGCATATTCTGATTCATTTCACTTGCTCTTCACCATTTTCATTTAAGTTAGAGCTGAACTCTGTGCTAGACCCTATGGATGCAAGAAGAAAAGACTGACAAGTCCCTGCCTACAGCTTACAGTCCAGGGAACTCCAGGAAATTCGCTATTGTGCTTCAGTAGACAGGAACTAAGATCCCACCATAAGACTGGCCCCATCCCAGTTCCAGGGATACACAGACAGGGAGCAGACAAGCTGCCTAGTCTAGTGCAGAAGACAGATAGAAAGAGAGACTGACTTGCCCATTCACTCACTGTATTATATCTTGAAGGCTCTCATGATCATGTGAACAGGGCTCAGGGAACACAGAAAAAGAGCAGCATTCTGTCTGGGAGAATCTTCACATTTACACTGCCATGGAGGAGAAGGAAGATTTATTTGGCTGGTTGTGGGAAGGAACAAGGGCATTCTGGGCAAAGGGATGAGCAAGATCAAAAGCTCAGAAACATGAAAGTTCAGGGCATGCTCAAGGCAAGGGATGGCATATAGGGAGTCATGATTAGGGTGAAGAAAGATGGGGAAGGGGATAGAAAGACTGGTTAGAGCTTGATTATAAAGGGCAGGCTAAAGAGTTTAAACTTTTTCCTGTAGGTAATGGGAACTGCCTTGTATGAGGAAAGAAGGATGAGACCAAAGGTTTTACAAGAGGAAATAACAGGAACAAGTCATGTTTTGGGAAGATAACTGGCAGAAAGGTAGAGAAAGTTCTACTTAGTCAGGCCCATTCTTAGCAAGAAAATATTGATGATGATGATGATGATGATGATGGTAACAGTGATGTTGGCAATTGACAATTCTGAACATTTACAATGTATGAGGACTGCTAAGTTTTTCATAAGCATCATCTCATTTTATCCTCACATTAATCATATAAGTAACTATATGATGGAGGTATTATTGTTATTATCCCCAGTTTACTATACATAAGGAAACAGATACAGAACAATTCAAATACTTGTCTAAGGACACAGGTAGTGTGAGACTGAACCAGGACTCTAGCCGAGGTTGTTCTAATCCTAAAGCCTTTTGTCCTATTCACCAGGCTACACTGCCTTCTCACTGCAATTTCTTGCAGGTAAATTCACCTGCATTGAGGCCCGGTTCCACCTGGAGCGGCAGATGGGTTACTACCTGATTCAGATGTATATTCCCAGCCTGCTCATTGTCATCCTCTCATGGATCTCCTTCTGGATCAACATGGATGCTGCACCTGCTCGTGTGGGCCTAGGCATCACCACTGTGCTCACCATGACCACCCAGAGCTCCGGCTCTCGAGCATCTCTGCCCAAGGTAAGTCCCATTGCCCAAGAGCACAGAACACCTGGACAAATAAGGACAGCACCTACTTCCTTGCTCTGCCTAAAACATGGGGAGCAAAGGAATTATTCACTACTTATTTATCTACTATACTTTGCAGGATCCTGCAGATCTTTGCAGGTTCTACACTTTTCTGATCCATCAAACCTTCCACCAGACTCAACATTATGTTCAATACGAGTTGCCAGACACCACATTCTGCTCCACTGTCTACCAACACCAGACACACATTCTGCTTCATTTACTATTAACACTCAACTTCACATTCTCCTCCATTCACTTTTAGGGCTAAGTACAATATTCTGCTCTTTTCACCATTAATAGTAAATACTGTGTGTCAGGGATCTCCAACACTAATCTCATATCTAGAGATTTGATAGAAAGATTCATAGGACTCAGCATAAAGTTGTATTTGCAGCTAAGATTTATTTATTTTTTAATTTTTTGAATTAAAAAAAGACCTTTATATTCCACCCTTTGAGTTGCAATTGGGACAATTGGGAGAGGGGGAAGAGTTGGAGTGGGATGAAGAACTAGGAGGGGCTCGACGGCTGGAGGTCTTGTCCACTTAGTTTTTGTACTGGAAGGGCTCATTGCCGGTTTCATTGAGAAGACACGTGTTGATGAGGGCTTCTGTCACCGAAAAGGGTTCGCAGTGGCAGAGGGGCAACAGTCTTCAAAGTAACCCTTCTTCTCCTGGCCAACAGTCCAGGGAATGTGTATGTTGGCACTACGATTGGCTACACCAGCAGAAAAGTCGTTGATGTTGGAGGTTTCATGGAATCCAGCTAGGTGTTGGGCTTTGTCCAGGCCTCCCTTGGGATCATAAGCGTGGATGTGGTACTGGTGCCACTGCTTAGTTTCTCGATGGCCTCCTCAGTGTACTTCAGACCATTCTCCTCCCACATGGCCTTGGTGCTGAAGTTGGTATGGCAGCCTGAACACTTCCTGTTCCCAGGAATGGGCTTGGGATCAAAGGTTGCTATCACTCCAAAGTCTTCACATACATGATGCAAAATGAAACAGCCCACCCAGAAATGATCTCCCATGCTGATTCTTTCACAGGGTCCGGTTTGAAATTCCCACTGGGCAGGCATGACCTCAGCATTAGTACCCACCATCTTGGCTCCAGCATACAAGCAGGCCTGGTAATGGGCCTCCACGATGTCCCTGCCATGGGCTTTGCCTGCTCCCACACTGCAGTAATATGGACCCTGGGGTCCTGGGAAGCCATTGGAAGGCCAACCAAAGTGGTACCCATCTGTCCCCATGAGGGTATATTCCTGCTCCATGCCAAACCAGGGTGCTGGTTGCTCACCATGTCCATTATCCACTTACAAGTGTGCCTCAAATTGGTCACTGCAGGCTTTCGGTTGTACTCGAAAACTTCACAGAACACCAGCTTGTAGGGTCCTTACTGAAGGTATCCCAAAACATGGCAGGAGGCATGAAATGCATGTCACTGTTGGAGCCTTCAGACTGTAAAATACTAGAGCCATCAAAATTCTAGGCTAGGCATGGTGGCTCATGCCTGTAATCCCAGGACTCTGGGAGGCCAAGGCAGTTGGATCACCTGAGGTCAGGAGTTGGAGACCAGCCTGGCCAACATAGTGAAACCACGTCTCTACTAAAAATACAAAAAATTAGCTGGGCGTAGTCACACACACCTGTAATCCTAGCTACTCGTGAGGCTGAGGCAGGAGAATCGCTTGAACCTGGCAGGCCGAGGTTGCAATGAGCTGAAATCATGCCATTGCACTCCAGCCTGGGCAACAAGAGTGAAAACTCCATCAGAAAGAAAAGAAAGAAAGAGAGAGAGAGGACAGAAAGAAAGAAAGAAAAAAAGAAAGAAAGAAAGAAAGAAAAGAAAGGAAGGAAGGAAGGAAGGAAGGAAGGAAGGAAGGAAGGAAAGGAAAGGAAAGGAAAGGAAAGGAAAGGAAAGGAAAGGAAAGGAAAGGAAAGGAAAGGAAAGGAAAGGAAAGGAAACGAAAGGAAGAAAGGAAGGAAGGAAGGATGGAAGGAAGGGGGAGAGAGAGAGAAAGGGAGGGAGGGAGGGAAAGAAAGAAAGAAGAGAGAGAAAGAAAGGAAGAGAGAGAGAGAGAAAGAAAGAAGGGAAGGAAGGAAGGAAGGAAGGAAGGAAGGAAGAAAGGAAGGAAAGAAAGAAAAGAAAGAAAAGAAAGAAAGAAAGAAAGAAAGAAAAGAAAAGAAAAGAAAGAAAGAAAGAAAGAAAGAAAGAAAGAAAGAAAGAAAGAAAGAAAAGAAAAGAAATAAAAAGGAAAGAAAAGAAAGAAAGAAATCCCACTCAGGCAACTCTTCCACACAGTTGGGCTCACTGTCCAGAGTCTGGGTCTTGCAGCGCCATCCTTCTCCAGTACCATCGATCCAGACATACATGGCCTGGACTTTCTCACCCTGAGACAGGGACATGTACACCTGCTTAATACCTTTGTTTAAGTGGGAATGTGCTGAGGCGGTCATGGTGGAAGGTGTTCTGGGCGCTGAGCAGGCGGGCGGGTAAAGGTAGGCCATGAGAGTGAGGTGAGGAGAGGAGAGGAGAGGAGAGGAGACCGCCGTGCTGCTCACACACTCCGCTCTTCTCCCATTCTCAGCTCTCCACAGCTAAGATTTATTACAGCAACATATTCAGAAGATACAGCTAGCTCATCAGGGGGAAAGAACATAGGCAGAGACTAGAGGAATCCATGTGCAGGCTTCCTTACTCTCCCGCTCCCATGAGGGGTCACACAGAATGCACTCTTACTCCAGCAACAACAATGCAGACACGTGTGTGCTGTGTTTCTGCCCCAAAAGACAGAAACACAGAAACTCTTAGTCAGGCATGGTGGCCCGCGCTTGTAATCCCAGCTACTCAGGAGGCTGAGGTAGGAGAATCACCTGAACCCGAGAGGCGGAGATTGCAGTGAGCCAAGATGGTGCCACTGCACTCCAGCCTGGGCAACAGAGTGAGACTCCATCTAAAAAAAAAGAAAAAGAAAAACAGAGTCTGCTCTAAGATTCATTAGAGGCTCAGCGTGCCATGTTTTAACTGGGGGCTGGTCACATCAGCACCCTCTGCCTAGCATGTGCCAAAATTCCAGACTCCCAAAAGGAAAGCAGATTGTTCAGCATGAACCAGATTGTTTGTACAATCTAGGCACAGCGAGCCAGCCTTATCAGTTAGGGAAAGTAGGAATACTCCCAAAATCCAAGTTCCCAGATGCCATCCAAGAGGCAACCTTGCAAGCAGGCCCTTTCTAAGATAGCAGCCTCAGGCCTGTTTTGTTAACCCTTTTCTGGACACACTTCAATTTGATACTTACATTTCTAGTGTTAAACACCACATTTGCTGTTAACTCCTAAACCATATTCTGCTTCATTCACTATCAGCACTAGACACAGCATTCTGCTCCATTCACTATTAATGTCAGATACACATTCTGCTCCATTCACCCTTATGCTAGACACAACATTCTGTTCCATTCACCTCTAACACCAGACAGAGCATCTCACTTCATTCATTACTAACACCAGGCACTATTTTTCTTTCAGTCACCCTTACGATCAATACAACCTTCTGTTCCCTTCACTGTCAACACTAGATCTTGCATTCTGCTTAATTCACTTTTTTTTTTTTTTTGAGACGAAGTCTCACTCCGTTGCCCAAGCTGGAGTGCAGTGGCACTATCTCGGCTCACTGCAACCTCCACCCTCCACCTCCCGGGTTCAAGCGATTCTCCTGCCTCAGCCTCCCGGGTAGCTGGGACTACAGGCACGCGCCGTCATGCCTGGCTAATGTTTGTATTTTTAGTAGAGATGGGATTTCACTATGTTGGCCAGGCTGGTCTTGAACTCCTGACCTCGTGATCCACCCACCTTGGCCTCCCAAAGTGCTGGGATTACTTAATTCAGTTTTAACGCTAAACATAATGTTCCGTTTCACTTACGGTTAATGCTAGACACCATATACTCCTCCATTCACCCCTAGTTGAGGTACAACATTCTGTTCCCTTCACTATTAATACTTGATACTTCATTCTACTTCACTCTCTTTTAATGCTACATGCTGCATTCTACCACATTCACTATTATTGTTTGAGTCACATTCTGCTCTATTCACTCAACAATAGACACAATATTCTGCTCTATTATTAATGCCAGACACCACATTGTGCTTCCTTTAGCCTTCTGCTAAAAACAATGTTTTGCACCATTTCCAATTAATGCTGCTTAACATTCTGTTTTGATATAGAAAAGTTGAAAGAACATACAATAAACACCCTCACACCCTTTACCCAGATTCACCAGTCATCATTTTCCCACATATACTGTCTTAGTTTAGGTAGACAGATGGATAAATAGATAGATAGATGGGCAGGTAGGTAGGTAGATGCAATTTTTGCTGAATCAACAAAGACATGGCAATTCACCTCAAAATAAGGAAGGAGAATCACAATGACATTATCACATCTTTAAAAATTAACATTAACTCAATGGTTATTATTGAGTTAGAAATAATTCAATTTGAAATAATTCAATAATATCATCTAATACAGAAACTTTATTTAAATTCTCCCAGTTGTCAAAAAAGTCATCAGAAAATATGATGAGGGATCCAATCAAGGATCCAATTCATATTGCACACAGTTGCTCTATTTTGTCTCTTTTAACCTAGAACAGTCTCCCAGCTGTTTTTTGTTTTTCATGACACTGACTATTCCATTAACTTTTAACGTGAGACACAACATTCTGTTTCATTTGCCATCAGCAGTAGACACCACACTCTCCTCTATTCACCCTTAGAACAAAACTCGACAATATGCTCTCTGCAGCATTCACACTAGACCTCAAATTCTGCTACATTCACTACAAATGCTTGAATCCACATTCTCTGATCACTATTAACACCTGACAACACATTCTGCTGTGTGCAATTGTAGCAGCAGACATAATGTTCTGCTTTCTTTTCCTTATGTTAGATTCAACATTCTGCTCCACTCACTATTAATAGTTGATGCCACATTCTTCTCTACCTATGGTTTACACTAGACTCAACATTCTGCTGCATTTGTGGTTAAAAATATTTGGCTCCATATGTTATTAACACTCAACTCCACCTTCCCCTTCATTCATACTTTTTATTTATTTGCCTTTTTAAGCATTAGATTTAGTTCCTTTTAGTATATTCACAAAGTTGTACAACCCTATCTATACAACTGCCTATAGATAGTATCTAATTCCAGAACATTTTCATCACCCAGAAAGAAAATCCATACCCTCCAACAGTCACTCCTCATTCCCCACTCCCAAGAGCCTCTGGTAACAATAAATGGATACTTAACTACCTGTATAAATTTGCCTTTTCTGGACATCTCGTATAAATGGAATCATACAATATGTGGCCTTTTACGATTGGCTTCTTTCATTTAGTGTAATGTTTTCAAGGTTCATCCATGCTGTAGAATGCATCAGTACTTCATTCCTTTTTATGGCTGAATAATATTCCATGGTATAGATATATCACATTTTGTTATCCATTCAGCAGTTAGGCATTTGGTTTATTTTCACTTTGGCTATTATAAATAATGCTGCTGTGAACATCTGTGTACAAGTTTTTGTGTGGACATGTTTTTAATTCTCAAAGGTATATATCTAGAAGTGAAACTGTTGTGTCACATGTTAACTACATGCTTAACTTTTTGAGGAACTGCCAAACTGTTTTCCAAAGCAGCTATACCATTTTATGATCCCACCAGGGTTCCAACGTCTGCACATCTTCACAAACATATATTATTATCTGTTTTTTTTAACTATAGCCATTTAGTGGGTGTGAAATGGTATTGCATTGTGGTTTTGATTTGCATTTTGCTAACGAATAATAATGCTGAGCATTGTTTCATGTGCTTATTGATCCCTTCTGTATCTTCTTTGGTGAAATGTCTGCATTTCTGCTCCACTCACTATTAAAATCTTTTGCTCACTTTTGTTATTTGTCTTATTGAGTTGTAATAGTTCTTTATGTATTCTGGATTTTAGACCTTTATTAGATATAGGATTTGCACATATTTTCTCTTGTTCTATGTGCCGTGGTTTAGATTCTTTTCCCTTCCAAACCTTGTATTAAAATTTAATCCCCAACATTGGAGAAGGGTCCTAATGGAAGTGTTTGGATCATAGGAGTGGATTCCTCATGAATAGATTAATGCCTTCTCTTAGGGGTGACTTCTCACTATATTCATTGTTTAAAAAGAGCCTGGCCACAGGTAATACACCTATGTAACAAACCTGCATGTTCTGCATATGTATCCCAAGACTTAAAATAAAATTTAAAAATAAATAAAATTTTAAAAAATGATTTTTAAAAAGAACCTGGCGTCTCCCACCCACTTCTTGCTTCCTCTCTCACCATGTGATCTCTGCACATGATGGCTTCCCTTCACTTTCTACCATGAGTGGAAGCAGCCTGAGGCCCTCACCAGATGCCCAATCTTGAACTTTTCCAGACATCAGAATTGTGAGCCAAATAAACCATTTTTTCTTTATAAATTATCCCATCTTAGATATTCTTTTGAAGTAACACAAAATGGACTAAGACTCTATGGGTTTTCTTTTCACTTGGTTGATAGTATCATTTATGCTCAAAAGTTTTTAATTTTGATAAAGTCTAATTTATCTGTTTTTTCTTTTGTTGCTTACGCTTTTGGTGTCTTTTTTTTTCTTTTTCTTTTTTTTTTTTTTTTTTTTGAGATAGAGTACTACTCTGTCACCCAGGCTGGAGTGCAGTGGCACAATCTCAGCTCACCGTAACCTCTCCCTCCCAGGTGCAAGAGATTCTCCAGCCTCAGCCTCCCGAGTAGCTGAAATTACAGGCATGCACCACCATGCCTGGCTAATTTTTATATTTTTAGTAGAGATGGGGTTTTGTCATGTTGGCCAGCCTGGCCTCGAACTTCTGACCTCAAGCAATCTGCCTGCCTCAGCCTCCCAAAGTGCTGGGATTACAGGCGTGAGCCACTGCTCCTGGCCTTGGTGTCATTTTTTAGAAACTATTGCCTAATCCAAGGTCATGAAGATTAATACCTGTATTTTCTTCTAAGAGTTTCATAGTTTATCTCTTATGTTTAGGTCTTTGGCACATTTAGATTTATTTATATATGTGATGTGAGGGAAGAGGTCCAACTTCATTTTTTTTTTTTAAGACATAGTCTCACTCTGTCACCCAGGCTAGAGTGCAGTGGCATGATCTTGACTCACTGCAACCTCCGCCTCCTGAGTTCAAGCGATTCTTCTGCCTCAGCCTCCCCAGTAGCTGGGATTACAGGCATGCACCACCACACCTGGCTAATTTTTGTATTTTTACTAGAGAAGGGGTTTCACCATGTTGTCCAGGCTGGTCTCAAACTCCTGACCCCAGGTGATCTGCCTGCCTTGGCCTCCCAAAGTGCTAGGATTACAGGTGTGAGCCACCGTGCCCAGCCCAACTTCATTCTTTCACGTGTGAATATCCAGTTGTCCCAGCACCATTTGTTGAGAAGAGTATTCTTTTCCCTGTTGAATTGATACCCTCGTCAAAAAAATCAACTGACCTATAAATGGACTGGCTTACTTCTGGACTCTCAATTCTATTGCATTGATCTATGTGTTGATCCTTTTGTCAGTACCACACCGTTTTGATTACTGTAGCTTTGGAGTAATTTTTAAAATTTGGAAGTGTGAGTCCTCCAATTTTGTTCTACTTTTTCAAGATTGTTTTGGCTACTCTCTGTCTTTTTCATTTGAACACAAATATAAATTTTAGAAGCAGCGGCCAGGCATGGTGGCTCACACCTGTAATCCCAGCACTTTGGGAGGCTGAGGTGGGCAGATCACAAGGTCAGGAGATCTAGACCATCCTGACTAACATGGTGAAACCTCGTCTCTACTAAAAATACAAAAATATTAGCCAGGCATGGTGGCAGGTGCCTGTAGTCCCAGCTACTCAGGAGGCTGAGGCAGGAGAATGGCGTGAACCCGGGAGGCAGAGCTTGCAGTGAGCTGAGATCGCACCATTGCACTCCAGCCTGGGAGAGAGAGTGAGACTCCATCTCAAAAAAAAAAAAAAAAAAAAAATTTAGAAGCAGCTTGTCAATTTTTGAAATGAAAAAAATAGCTGGAGTTTTAATAAAGAATGCATTGACTCCATGGACCAATCAGGGGAGTATTGCCATCTTAACAATATTATGTCTTCCAATTCCATCAACATGGGATTTCTTCTCATTTATTTAGGTCATCTTTAATTTCTTTCAAAAAAGATTTCTAGTTTTCAGTGTACAAGTCTTGCACTTATTTTGTTAAATTATATAACAGGTGTTGTACAGATATATTCTTTTATGCTATATAAATTGAATTGTTTTTAAGTTTAATTTTTAAATTATTCATTCTAGTCTATAGAAATACAATTGATTTTTGTATGTTCATCTTGTATCCAATAACTTTCCTGAACTCATTTATTAACTCTAGGTCTTTTATACATCCTTAGGATTTTCTTTATACAAGACCATGTGATGT
This sequence comes from Homo sapiens, assembly GCF_000001405.40. Lineage (NCBI taxonomy): Eukaryota > Metazoa > Chordata > Mammalia > Primates > Hominidae > Homo > Homo sapiens. The sequence continues at coordinate 151,842,818 of NC_000005.10, read as the reverse complement.
ACAAATAGAGATGGCTTTATTTTTTTCTTTCTCACCTAGATGTCATTTATTTCTTTTTCTCAACTAATTTCCCTGGCTAGATCTCCCAGTACAATGAAGAATAGAAGTAGTAAGAACAGATATTCCTGTCTCATTCCTGGTCTTACAGAGAAAGCTTTCAGTTTTTCACTGAAAACTGAGGTTAGCTGTGGGTTTTACATAGATGCCCTTTACAGTTTGAGGAAGTTTTCTATTCTTAATGTGTGGAGTATTTTTACCATGAAAGCTGTTGAATTTTGTCAAATCCTGTTTCTGCATCTATTTAGAGGATCATGTGATATTTTTCCTTTATTTTATTCATATGGTGACTGATTTTTGTATGTTCAACTAACATTGCATTCCTGGGATACATCCCACTTACTCATAACGTATAATTCTTTTTCACATGTCACTGGATTTGGTTTGCTAGTGTTTTCCTGAGAGTTTTTTTTTTTTGTCTGTATTCATAAGAGATGTTGATACGTAGTTTTCTTTATTGTGATGTCTTTGGTGTTGTTATCAGGGTAATACTTGCTTCTTAGAAAGAGTTGGGAAATGTTCTATCCACTTCCACTTCTCTGAGAGTATAAGAAGGATTTGTGTGAATTCTTTAAATGTTTGGTAGAATTAATGAAAGAAGCCATCTGGTCCTGGACAATTCTTTGTCGAATTTTTATTACTAATTCAATCTCCTTACATGTTATGTGTGTATTCAAAGTTTCTATTTTTTTTTTTTTTTTTTTTAGATGGAGTTTTGCTCTTGTCATCCAGGCTGGAGTGCAGTGGCACGATCTCGGCTCACGGCAACCTCCAACTCCTGGGTTCAAGCAATTCTCCTGCCTCAGCCTCCCAAGTAGCTGGGATTACAGGCACACGCCACCACGCTCAGCTAATTTTTGTATTTTTAGTAGAGATGGGGTTTCTCCATGTTGGCCAGACTGGTCTCAAACTCCTGACCTCAGATGATCCACCCGTCTTGGCCTCCCAAAGTGCTGGGATTACAGGCATGAGCCACCATGAATGGCCTCTATTTCTTTCTGGGTCAGTGTCTTTTTAGGAATTTGTCCACCTCATTTAGGTTATCAAATTTATTGGCATACAGTTGTTCAAAGTATTCCCTTATAATCCTTTTTATTTCTGTAAAGTCAATGATAATGCCTCCTCTTTCACTCTTTTAGTAATCTGATTCTTCCCTCATTTTTTCTTGAACAGTATAGTTAGAAGTTATTCAATTTTGCTAATTTTTTCAAAGAATCAACATTTGGTTTCATTGATTTTCTCTATTATTTTTCTACTGTTCTACTTATTACCATTCCAATCTTTATTATTTTCTTCCTTCTGCTTGCTTTGACTTTAGTTTGCCCTCCTAGTTTCTTAAAGTGCAAAGTTATTGATTTAGGACCTTTCTTCTTTTTAAAATAGGTGTTTACAGTTATACACTTCCCTCTAAAAATGATTTTAGCTGCATCTCATTAGTTGTAGTATGTTGTGTTTTCAATTCTCCTCAGAGTATTCCTTAATATATCTTTTATTTATTCTTTGATGCATTGTTTAATTTATTGTTGTGAGTTTTCCAACTTTCTTTTGGTTATTGATTTTTAATATTCCATTGAAATCAGAAAACATATTTTGTATGATTTCAACTATTTTAAGTTTGAGACTTGTTTTATGCATAATAGTATGGTTTATTCTGAAAATACTCCATGGTGCACTTCAGAAGAATGTACATTCTTCTGTTACTGTGTGGAGTGTTCTATAGGTGTTCTTTAGGTCTAGTTGGTTTACAGTGTCAATTAAGTTTTTCATTTCCTTGGCAATCTTCTAATTATTCTATTCATTATAAAAAGCAGGGTTTTGAAGACACCAAGTATTATTGTTGAATTATCTATTTATTGCTTCAATTCAGGCAGTTTTGCTTCATATATTTTGGGGCTCTGTTGTTAGATGCATAGATGTTTATAATTGTTATATTTCTTGATGGATTGACTCATTTATTATCAAATGCTCTTCATCTCTTATTAACAATTTTTTTTTCTTAAAGACTGGTTTGTTTGTGGGTTTTTTTTTTTTCTGATGTTGGTATAATCACCTAAAGGCCTCTTTTGGTTACTGTTTACATGGTATGTTTTTTCCATTCTTCTACTTTTATCCTAGTTGTGTCTTTGAATCTAAAGTGTATCTTTTATAGACAGTATGTAGTTGCATTTTATTTTTTAATCCAGTCTGACAATCTCTAACTTTCAATTAGTTTGTTTAGTCTATTTCCACTTAATTTAATTAATGTAATAAAAAATGCGATTTCGTATAATTTACATCTGCCATTGTGTTGTTTTCTATATATATCTTATCTTTTTTGTGTCTTTGTTCCTCCGTTACTGCCTTTTTGCATTAAATATGTATTTTTGTGAGTGCAGTTGCTCATGCCTGTAATTCCAGCACTTTGGGAGGCTGAGGCAGGTAGGTTGCTTGAGCTCAGTAGTCCAAGACCAGCCTGAGCAACATGGTGAAATCCCATCTTTACAAAAAATACTTTTAAAAAATTAGCTGGATGGAATGGCATACAGCTGTAGTCCTAGCTACTTGGGAGGCTGAGGTGGGAGGACTGCTTGAACCTTGGAGATTGAGGCTGCAGTGAGCCATGCTGGCAACACTGCACTCCAGCCTGGGTGACAAAGCAAGACACTATCAAAAAAAAAAAAAACAGTATTTTCTAGCGTGTCATCTTAATTCCCTGGTCATTTCTTTTACTATTTTTTTCCAGTTATTTTTTTCATGATTGCCCTGAGGATTACAATTTCATCTTATTTTAGAAACATCTAATTCAGATTATTAATACTAACTTAATTACAACAGTGTCTTAGTTTACTTGGACTGCTAAAAGAAATGCCACAGATTTGGTGGTTTAAACAATAAAAATTTATTTTTCATAGTTCTGAAACCTGGGAAGTCCAAAATCAAGGTGGCAGCTAATTCAGTTGCTGGTGAAGGTTCTTTTTCAGGTTTGCAGATGACCACTTTCTTGCTTTGTCCTAACATGGTAGAGAAAGAGTTCTGGTATCTCTTCTTCCCTAAATCCTATTGAATTAAGGCCCCACCTGTAAGATCTCACCCTAAAGATCTCACCTCTAAGATCTAACCCTAACCCTAACCCTAAGTCTAACCTAATCACTTCCTCATAGGCCCTGTCTCCAAATACAGTCATAATGGGGGTAAGGACTTCAACATACAAATGCTAGGGGCACACAAATATTCAGTTCATAACAAACAGTACGCAAAAAACTTTGCTCCTATATATATCTCAATTACCTCCCCCTTCCTTTGCACTATTATCATACAAATTACATCTTCATTATATGTTGATTAACACAGGTTTACAATCATTGATTTACTCAACTGTCCTTTAAATCAGATAGGAGAAAAAAGTTATAAACAAAAACTGCATTTTTTATATTGTCTTGAATATTTACCTATGCAGTTACCTTTACTAATACTCCTTATTTCTTCGTATGAATTTGAGTTACTGTCTAGCATCCTTTTATTTCAGCCTAAAGGGCGTCCTTTAGTATTTCTTGTAGGACAGATCTGCTAGCGGAAGTCTCTCAGCTTTTGTTTACCTAAAAATGTATTTTTCATTTTTAAGGGATACAGAATTCTTGAGAAAAATTGGCAGTCTTTTCCTTTCAGCACTTTGAAAATGTTATCCCACTATCTTCTGTACCCGATGGTGTTAATGAGAATACAACTGTTAATCTTATCAAGAATCCCTTGTACAAAAGGAGTTGCTTCTCTTTTGCTGTTTTAAGATTCTGCCTTTGCAGGAGAATTTCTTGAACCTGGGAGGTGGAGGTTGCAGTAGCAGAGATCTAGCCACTGCACTCTAGCCTGGGCAACAGAGCGAGACTCCATCTGAAAAAAAAAGATTCTGACTTTGTCTTCTGACATTTTGATTAGGATGTGTCTAGGTGTGGATCTCTTTATCTTACTTGGATTTCCCTGTGCTTCTTAGATGTATAGATTACTATTTTTAATCAAATTTGATAAGTTTTCAGGCACTATTTTTTTAAATATTCTTTCTGTCTCCACTGCAAATTCCTATTAAACATTATGTTGGTGCATTACATGGTTTCCCACAGGTTTCTGGGGCTGTTTATTTTTCTTCATTCTGTTCCTCAGACCATATAATCTAAAATTCACTGATTCTTCTTTAAGTTTCCTGATTCTTCTGTCTTCTTAAATCTACTGTTGATTCCATCTAGTGAAGTTTTCATTTCAGTTATTTTACTTTTCAACTCCAGAATTTCTATTTGGTTCTTCTTTATCATTTCTTTTTTTGAGAAGGACTCTCACTCTGTTGCCCAGGCTAGAGTGCGGTGATACGATCTCGGCTCACTACAATCTCTGCCTCCTGTGTTCAAGCAATTCTCCAATCTTAGCCTCCCGAGTAGCTGGGATTACAGGCATGCACCACCACACCTGGCTAATTTTTTCTATTTTTAGTAGAGACGAGGTTTCACCATGTTGGCCAGGCTGGTCTCAAACTCCTGACCTGAGGTGATCTACCTGCCTCAGCCTCCCAAAGTGCTGGGATTACAGGCTATCATTTCTCTTTATTAATATGCTATATTTGGTGAGACACTGCTCTCATATTTTCCTTTAGTTGTTTAGACATAGTTTCCTCTAGTTTGTTGAACATACTTAAAATAACTGATTTAAAGTCTTTGTCTATTAAGTCCAGCATCTGGGCTTCCTCAGGGACAGCTTCTTTTGACTACTTTTCTCCCTATGTATGAGCCATACTTTCCTCTTTCTTTGCATGTCTTAGAATTTTTGTTAAAAATGGACATTTTATTTAAGTTCTGGGATACATGTGCAGAACATGCAGGTTTGTTACATAGGTATACACACGTCATGGTGGTTTGCTGCACCCATCAACCCATCATCTACGTTAGGTATTTCTCCTAATGCTATCCCTCCCCTAGCCCCCTACCACCCAATAGGCCCTGGTGTGTGATGTTCCCTGCCCTGTGTCCATGTATTCTCATTGTTGAACTCCCATTTATGAGTGAGAACATGCAGTATTTGGTTTTCTGTTCTTGTGTTAGTTTGCCGAGAATAATGGTTTCCAGCTTCATCCATGTCCCCACAAAGGACATGAACTCATCCTTTTTATGGCTGCATAGTATTCCATAGTGTATATGTGACACATTTTCTTTATCAGTCTATCATTGGTGGCCATTTGGGTTGGTTCCAAGGCTTTGCTATTGTGAACAGTGCTGCAATAAACATACGTGTGCATGTGTCTTTATAGTAGAATGATTTATAATCCTTTGGGTATATACCCAGTATTGGGATTGCTGGGTCAAATTATATTTCTAGTTCTAGATCCTTCAGGAATTGCCACACTGTCTTCCACAATGGTTGAACTAATTTACATTCTCACCAACAGTGTAAAAGCATTCCTATTTCTCCACATCCTCTCCAGCATCTGTTATTTCCTAACTTTTTAATGATGGCCATTCTAACTGGCATGACATGGTATCTCATTGTGGTTTTTATTTGCATTGCTCTAATGACCAGTGGTGATGAGCTTGTTTTCATATGTTTGTTGACTGCATAAATGTCTTCTTTTGAGAAGTGTCTGTTCATATCCTTTGCCCACTTTTTGATGGGGTTGTTTTTCTTATAAATTTGTTTAAGTTCTTTATAGATTCTGAATATTAGCCCTTTGTCAGATGGATAGATTGCAAAAATTTTCTCCCATTCCGTAGGTTGCCTGTTCACTCTGATGATAGTTTTTTGGTTTTTTGTTGTTGTTGTTGTTGTTTGCTGTGCAGAAGCTCTTTAGTTTAATTAGATCCCATTTGTCAATTTTGGCTTTTGTTGCCATTGCTTTTGGTGTTTTAGTCATGAAGGCTTTGTTTGGGCCTATGTCCTGAATGGTATTGCCTAGGTTTTCTTCTAGGGATTTTATGGTTTTAGGTCTTACATTTAAGTCCTCAATCCATCTTAATTTTTGTATAAGGTGTAAGGAAGGGGTGCAGTTTCAGTTTTCTGCTTAAGGCTAGACAGTTTTCCCAACACCATTTATTGAATAGGGAATCCTTTCCCCATTGCTTGTTTTTGTCAAGATCAGATGGTTATAGTTATGTGGCGTTATTTCTGAGGCCTCTGTTCTGTTCCGTTGGTCTATATATCAGTTTTGGTACCAGCATCATGCTGTTTTGGTTACTGCAGCCTTGTAGTATAGCTTGAAGTTGGGTAGTGTGATGCCTCCAGCTTTGTTCTCTTGGCTTAGGATTGTCTTGGTTATGTGGGCTCTTTTTTGGTTACATATGAAATTTGAAGTAGTTTTTTCTAATTCTGTGAAGAAAGTCAATGGTAGCTTGATGGTGATAGCAATGAATCTATAAATTACTTTGGGAAGTATGGCCATTTTCACAATATTAATTCTTCCTATCCATGAGCATGGAATGTTCTTCCATTTGTTTGTGTCCTCTCTTATTTCCTTGAGCAGTGGTTTGTAGTTCTCCTTGAAGAGGTCCTTCACATCCCTTGTAAGCTGTATTCCTAGGTATTCTATTCTCTTTGCAGCAGTTGTGAATGGGAGTTCACTCATTATTTGGGTCTCTGTCTATTATTGGTGTATAGGAATACTTGTGATTTTTGCACATTGATTTTGTATCCTGAGACTTTGCTAAAGTTGCTTATCAACTTAAAGAGATTTTGGGCTGAGACAATGGGGTTTTCTAAATATACAATCATGTCATCTGCAAACAGATATAATTTGACTTCCTCTCTTCCTATTTAAATACCTTTTATTTCTTTCTCTTGCCTGACTGCCCTGGCCAGCACTTCCAATACTATGTTGAATAGGAGTGGTGAGAGAGGGAATCCTTGTCTTGTGCTGGCTTTCAAAGGGAATGCTTCCAGCTTTTGCTCATTCTATATGATACTGGCTGCAGGTTTGTCATAAATAGCTCTTATTATTTTGAGATACATTCCATCAATACCCAGTTTATTGAGAGTTTTTAGCATGAAGGGGTGTGGAATTTTATCAAAGGCCTTTTCTGCATCTATTGAGATAATCATGGGTTTTTGGCATTGGTTCTGTCTTTATGATGGATTATGTCTATTGATTTGCATATATTGAACCAGCCTTGCATCCCAGGGATGAAGCTGAATTGATGGTCATGGATAAGCTTTTTGATGTGCTGCTGGATTCAGTTTGCCAGTAATTTATTGAGGATTTTCTAATCGATGTTCATCAAGGATATTGGTCTGAAATTCTCTTTTTTTGTTGTGTCTCTGCCAGGTTTTGGTATCAGGATGATGTTGGCCTCATAAAATGAGTTTTGGTATCAGGATGATGCTGGCCTCATAAAATGAGTTAGGGAGGAGTCCCTCTTTTTCTATTGTTTGGAATAGTTTCAGAATGAATGGTACCAGCTCCTCTTTGTACCTCTTGTAGAATTTGGCTGTGAATCCTTCTGGTCCTGGGCTTTTTTTGGTTGGTAGGTTATTAATTACTGTGTCAATTTCAGACTTGTTATTGACCTTTTCCGGGATTCAACTTCTTCCTGGGTTAGTCTTGGGAGGGTGTATGTGTCCAGGAATTTATCCATTTCTCCTAGATTTTCTAGTTTATTTGCATAGAGGTGTTTACAATATTCTCTGATGGTAGTTTGTATTTCTGTGGGATCAGTGGTGATATCCCCTTTATCATTTTTATCGTGTCTATTTCATTCTTCTCTTTTTTTTTTTTTTTTTTTTTTTGAGATGTTGTCTCGCTCTGTCGCCCAGGCTGGAGTGCAGTGGCGCAATCTTGGCTCACTGCAAGCTCCACTTCTCGGGTTCACGCTATTCTCCTGCCTCAGCCTCCCAAGTAGCTGGGACTACAGGCGCCTGCCACCACGCCCGGCTAATTTTTTGTATTTTTTAGTAGAGACGGGGTTTCATCGTGTTAGCCAGGATGGTCTTGATCTCTTGACCTCATGATCCACCCACCTTGGCCTCCCAAAGTGCTGGGATTACAGGCATGAGCCACCACGCCCAGCCTCTTTTCTTTATTAGGCTGGCTAGCAGTCTATATATTTTATTAATCTTCAACAAACCAGCCCTGGATTCACTGATTTTTTGAAGGGTTTTTCATGTTTCTATCTCCTTCAGTTCTGCTCTGATTTTAGTTATTTCTTGTCTTCTGCTAGCTTTTGAATTTGTTTGCTCTTGCTTTTCTAGTTCTTTTAATTCTGATGTTAGGGTGTCAATTTTAGATCTTTCCTGCTTTCTCCTGTGGGCATTTAGTGCTATAAATTTTCCTCTAAACACTGCTTTAGATGTGTCCCAGAGATTCTGGTATGTTGTGTCTTTGTTATCATTGGTTTCAAAGAAATTATTCATTTCTGCCTTAATTTCGTTATTTACCCAGTAGTTATTCAGGAGCAGGTTGTTTAGTTTCCGTGGAGTTTTGTGGTTTTGAGTGAGTTTCTTAATCCTGAGTTTCAATTTGATTGTGCTGTGGTCTGAGAGACTGTTTGTTATGATTTCCATTCTTTTGCATTTGCTGAGGAATGTTTTACTTCCAATTATGTGGTCAATTTTAGAATAAGTGTGATGTGTTGCTGAGAAGAAGGTATATTTTGTTGATTTTGGGTGGAGAGTTCTGTAATTTCTATTAGGTCCGCTTGGTCCAGAGCTGAGTTCACATCCTGAATATCCTCGTTAATTTTTTGTCTCGTTGATCTAATATTATTTTCAGTGGGGTGTTAAAGTCTCCCACTATTATTGTGTGAGAGTCTAAGTCTCTTTGTAGGTCTCTAAGAACTTGCCTTACGAATCTGGGTGTATATGGGGTGCATATGTATTTAGGACAGTTAGCTCTTCTTGTTGCATTGATCCCTTTACCATTATGTAATGCCCTTCTTTGTCTTTTTTGATCTTTATTGGTTTAAAGTCTGTTTTATCAGAAACTAGGATTGCAACCCCTGCTTTTTTTTTTTTTTTTTTTGCTTTCCACTTCCTTGGTAAATATCCCTCCATCCTGCCAGACACGATTGCTCATGCCTATAATCCCAGCACGCTGGGAGGCCGAGGCAGGTGGATAGCCTGAGGTCAGGAGTTCGAGACTAGCCTGACCAACATGAAGAAACCCCATCTCTACTAAAAATACAAAATTAGCCAAGCATGGTGGCGCATGCCTGTAATCCCAGCTACTCGGGAGGCTGAGGCAGGAGAATCGCTTGAACCCAGGAGGCGGAGGATTTGGCGAGCTGAGATCGTGCCATTGCACTCCACCCTGGGGGGCAACAAGAGCAAAACTCTGTCTCAAAAGAAAAATATATATATATATATCCCTCCATCCCTTTATTTTGAGCCTATATGTGTCTTTGCACGTGAGATTGGTCTTCTGAATACAGCACACTGATGAGTCTTGATTCTTTATCCAATTTGCCAGTCTGTGTCTTTTAACTGGGGCATTTTGCCTGTTTACATTTAAGATTAATATTGTTATGTGTGAATTTGATCCTATCATTATGATGCTAGCTGGTTATTTTGCCCATTAGTTGATGTGGTTTCTTCATAGTGTCAACGGTCTTCACAATTTGGCATGTTTTTGCAGTGGCTGGTACCGGTTGTTCCTTTCCATGTTTAGTGCTTCCTTCAGGAGTTCTTGTGAGACAGGCCTGGTGGAGACTAAATCTCTCAGCATTTGCTTGTCTGTAAAGGATTCTGTTTCTCCTTTGCTTATGAAGCTTAGTTTGGCTGGGTATGAAATTCTGGGTTGAAAATTCTTTTCTTTAAGATTGTTGAATATTGGCCCCCAGTCTCTTCTGGCTTGTAGGGTTTCTGCCGAGAGATCCGCTATTAGTCTGATGGGCTTCCCTTTCTGGGTAACCTGACCTTTCCCTCTGGCTGCCCCTAACATTTTTTCCTTCATTTCAACCTTTGTGAATCTGACAATTATGTGTCTTGCGGTTGGTCTTCTCGAGGAGTATCTTTGTGGTGTTCTCTGTATTTCCCGAATTTGAATATTGGCCTGTCTTGCTAGGTTGGGGAAGTTCTCCTGGATAATACCCCGAAGAGTGTTTTCAACTTGGTTCCATTCTCCCCGTCACTTTCAGGTACACCAACTGAACGTAGGTTTGGTCTTTTCACAGAGTCCTGTATTTCTTGGAGGCTTTGTTTGTTCCTTTTCATTCTTTTTTCTCTAATCTTGTCTTCATGCTTTATTTCACTAAATTGATCTTCAATCTCTGATATCCTTTATTCCGCTTGATCGATTCAGCTATCGATACTTGTGTATGCTTCACGAAGTTCTTGCGCTGTGTTTTTCAGCTCCATCAGGTCATTTATATTCTTCTCTAAGCTTGTTATTCTAGTTAGCAATTCCTCTAAACTCTTTTCAAGGTTCTTAGCTTCCTTGCCTTGGATTAGAATGCTCCTTTAGCTTGGAGGAGTTTGCTATTCCCCACCTTCTGAAGCCTACTTCTGTCAATTTGTCGAACTCATTCTCTGTCCAGTTTTGTTCCCTTGCTGGCAAGGAGTTGTGATCCTTTGGAAGAGAAAAGGCATTCTGGTTTTTGGAATTTTCAGCCTTTTTGTGCTGGCTTTTCCTCTTCTTCATGGATTTATCTACCTTTGGCCTTTGACGCTTGTGACCTTCAAATGGGATTTCTGTGTGGATGTCCTTTTTGTTGATTTTGACGCTATTCCTTTCTGTTTGTTAGTTTTCCTTCTAACAGTCAGGCCTCTGAGCTGCAGGTCTGCTGGAGTTTGCTGGAGGTCCACTCCAGACCCTGTGTGCCTAGTTATCACCAGTGGAGACTGCAGAACAGCAAAGATTGCTACCTGTTCCTTCCTCTGGAAGCTTCATCCCAGAGGGGCACCTGCCAGGTGCCAGCCAGAGCTCTCCTGTATGAGTTGTCTTTCCACTCCTGCAGGGAGGTGTCTCTCCATCAGGAGGCACAGGGGTCAGGGACCCACTTGAGGCAGTCTGTCCCTTAGCAGAGCTCGAGTGCTGTGCTGGGAGATCCACTGCTCTCTTCAGAGCTGGCAGGCAGGAACGTTTAAGTCTGCTGAAGCTGCTCCCACAGCTGTCCCTTCCCCCAGGTGCTTTGTCCCAGAGAGTTGGTAGTTTTATCTATAAGCCCCTGACTGGAGCTGCTCCTTTTCTTTCAGAGATGCTCTGCCCAGAGAGGAGGAATCTAGAGACACAGCCTGGCTACAGAGGCTTTGCTGAGCTGTGGTGTGCTCCACCCAGTTCGAACTTCCTGGCAGCTTTGTTTACACTGTGAGGGGGAAACCGCCTACTCAAGCCTCAGTAATGGTGGACACTCCTCCCCCCACCAAGCTCAAGTGTTCCAGGTCAACTTCAGACTGCTGTGCTGGCAGCGAGAATTTCAAGCCAGTGGATCTTAGCTTGCTGGGCTCCGTGGGGATGGGATCTGCTGAGCTAAATCACTTGGCTCCCTGGCTTCAGCCCCCTTTCCAGGGGAGTGAATGGTTCTGTCTTGCTGGGGTTCCAGGTGCCACTGGGGTATGAAAAAACAAAACTGCAGCTAGCTCGGTGTCTGTCCAAACAGCTGCCCAGTTTTGTGCTTGAAAACCAGGGCCCTGGTGGCACAGGCACCCGAGGGAATCTCCTTTTCTGCGGGTTGCAAAGACACTGGGAAAAGAGTAGTATCTGGGGCCGGAGTGCACCATCCCTCATGACACAGCCCCTCAGGGCTTCCCTTGGCCAGGGGAGGGAGATCCCCAACCCCTTGTGCTTTCTGGGTGAGGTGACACCCCACTCTGCTTCAGCTCACCTTCTGTGGGCTGCACCCACTGTCTAACCAGTCCCAGTGAGATGAGCTGGGTACCTCAGTTAGAAATGCAGAAATCACTCGCCTTCTGCATTGATCTTGCTGGGAGCTGCAGACCGGAGCTGTTCCTATTTGGCCATCTTGCCAGCCAAGTTTGGACATTTTAATAATATAATGTGGCAACTTTGAAAATCAAATTCTACCCTCTCTTCAGGATTTGTTGCTGTTGCTATTCAGTAACTTTTCTGAATTAATTCCGTAAAGTTCGTATTATTTGTTTTGTGGGACTACTGAAGTCTCTGCTCAGGTTGGTAGTCAGCTAAAAATCAGACAAAGGTTTCCTAAATGCCTGGAAACTATAAGTCTCCTAGCCTTTGCCAAGGGGCTCTCTACCTTAAACATTCTGTGAGGCAGTTTACAACTTTGACTCAGGCTCCACTTCCTGCTTGCTCAGACTATCAAGGTTAGCCAAAGGTGAGAGCCTAGAGCCATCTCAAGTCTTCCCGGGAATTCACACAGCTCTAAGCTTGCACACAGTTTCCCAAGAATATGTCACAGCTTTCCAAAGCCCCCTATAAACAACTCATTACCCAGCTTTTCTTTTTCAGCTTTTTGATTAACCTATTATTTTGCCCCAACTGCCTCAGGTGGCAATTACTATTGATTGCTTTTGAAAAATGTCCTCAAAGAAAAGGTTGTTCACACGGGGCAAACTTCAAATCAGGTCAAAGACAGCCTTGTGAGTGGCATCTTTGAGGGAACCATGAGATATATCAAATGATGATAACTCTCTGGGAATGAGGCATTGAAGAAGCTCCAACTGTGTTCTGCTCCATCCAATGGCTTCCAGACAGCTGTTGGTTTTCAATGCTACTATGGAGCTGGATAGATTATGACAGGAATAGGGCAAAACACCACAAAGCTCCAAGGGAAATGAAAATACATGTCTGTGCAGAAACTTGTACATGGTTGTTTATAGCAGCATTACTCACAGTAGCTAAAAGGTAGAAAATTTAAATATCCATTACCTGATTAATGGATAAACAGAATGTTGTATATCCATAAAACAGGGTATTATTCAGCCATAAAAAGGAATGAAATACTGATACATGTTACGATGTGAATGAACCTTGAAAATATGCTAAGTGAAAGAGGCCAATCATAAAAAGCCACATATTGCATTATTTCATTCATATAAAATATGGATTAGTGGTTGTTTATGGCTGGGGGAATAGAGAGGTGACAGCTAAAAGGTAACATTTCTTTTTGAGGTAATGAAAATGTTCTAAAATTGACTGATGATGATGATTGCACATATGTGTGAATATTCTAAAAATCATTAAACTATACACTTTAAATGTGTGAATTGTATGGTATGTGAATTATATCTCAATAACACTTTTAAACACTGCCACAAAGCTTGCTGTTCTTATTAAGATTCAGCTGATTTTCTTGAATAAATGTTCACAGGACTGATATAAGCCTTTGGTAATTAGTGGAGTTCTGAAAAGTTGGCACTGACAATTTTTTCCAGTGTTCTCATTAATTTTTTGGAGGAATTTTCAGGTCCTTACGATGCCATTTTTGCTGACATCCTCCATTCACTTTTAATGCTCACTACAACAGTTTGTTCCAATCACCCTTAAATGAAAGACAGCATTCTGTTCTAAATGATAATGCTAAATATACCATTGTCTTCTCTTCAGTACTGTCATAGGTACCATAATCTATTTACCCCCAATATTCTTTCCAGTCTGTCTGATGCATTTCTTTTCTGTTTTCCTCTATACCTCCACCCTAATATCCCAGCTGAGAAGCAGACAGCAGTGGGTGATGTGGGGAATTACCGAAGAGCAGAAAATATTCCGCCATGCTTAATGTTTTACATTCCCCTGCTTTCACCTCCCTGTTTCTCCTCCACCCCCACTCTAGGTGTCCTATGTGAAAGCCATTGACATTTGGATGGCAGTTTGCCTGCTCTTTGTGTTCTCAGCCCTATTAGAATATGCTGCCGTTAACTTTGTGTCTCGGCAACATAAGGAGCTGCTCCGATTCAGGAGGAAGCGGAGACATCACAAGGTAGGCCTTTGGGTCACTGCCTAAGGAGGGACAGCTGTTAGTAAACAAAAGAGTTCTAAGCAGTATTGTCTTGTGTTATTTGTTTCAATGGTCCATCCTTCTCAATGTGCAAGGCAGGTTAGAAATAGGAATTAAAGACCTAGAGGTCTCAGCTTTCCCTCCCATAAATAATGCCCTAGGTGGGTCTATAGGCAGTCACTCTTCGAATCCTAACAGTAACACTACAGAAATTATCAAGTTATACCTAAAGGCGCAACTGATTAACTAAAAGCTGATGGGGTCAAGAAAATAACTAACTATAAACCTAAAAGATTGGGAGGTGTCCACTGGCTTTTTTCTGCAAGACTGCATTGTTTTAATAGGCTTGATTCCAGAAGACAATTGCACCACAAAAGGTGAGATCTTAACGTAGAATGCCCAGGTTCAGGCCTTTGCTTCCTGCCTCTAGGAAAGAGGCAACAAGCAAGATCTCTGCCAGAGTGGGTTCTCTCTCCATATGAGGGATTGAATAAAGGAATATTTGACAGGGCACCTCTGAGAAGTTACCAACCTCTGTTCACGAGGTTGTGCACTGACCAAAGAATGCCAATGGGGAGCATGCAGCCTGCTGGAGCAAACTGCTCCATACCGTGGGTCCATAACTAGTTCCCCAGAAGATCCAACCACCCTAGCTTTTTTCTTAGTTCTTCAAACATACACACAGGATTTTAAATATCTTGTTCTCTTTCCCTGTACTGCTCTTCCAGTGCACTGTGTGTCCTAGCAAATGCCACGTTCTACTTGAACTTAATTTCTAAACTTCTAAAAATGTATCCTGATTTAAAAGCATAAATTCAATGATGTGATTTTTTTAAAGCCGATCTCTTCCACCAAATCGCAAGCTCCATAAAGGCAGAGACCGTGTTTGGTTTTGCTCTGTGCTATATCCCTGGTGCCTAACACAATGCCTAACATATAGTGAGCATGCAATAAGTATTTGTTAAACAAATGAACAAAGGGATAAACAAAAGATTAGGTTGGTGCAAAAATAATTGCAGTTTTTGCCATTAAAAGCAATAAAGAAGAAGCCTTCAGACAGAGAGTCTGAAGTTTTTCCACTGACAGATTAGGGCAACCAGGGACCCACACATTATGACCTGTCATAGTGTTGCAGGTCACAGTACATACCTGCAATATGCCAGGTCCTACAAGCTTTAGACTGACCTATTTAAAATCGTTGTCTATTAATCAGTAAAGCTCAAAAATAAAATAAAACAAAACAAAATAGTTGTCTGCCCAGGCGCAATGTGCTGTGACAAAGGACCCTGCCTCTTTAGTTTTCTTTAGTATGAGACTTTGAGCTAGCCTACTTGGGCCCAGGTTCTTCATGTGCAAAATGCGTATAAAGGGAAATTCTGGTGAGAATTAAATCAGAGGATGCCAAAGTAGCTTTAAGTTTTGTTCCTGCCGCACAAGTGCCAAGGATTAAAATGATTACATATACACACATTTCCATCAGTATGTTTCTTAAACATCAGCAATCTGATTCAATTAACTTCTGGCAGTTTACCACAGGGAGGAGGCCGACGTTCCAATACAGAAGATGTCCATGGGAATTAAGATATCACCATCCTTCTAAACTACATTGAAGGAGGAAATTGTCTTGGGTTCAGCAAGCCAGATAGAACTTCTTAAATGACCCCTAGTTTTAGTTACTCTATATTGTCCATTTAATACCTAGCCTCTGATGCTTTAAAAAAAAAAAAAAAAGTCTATTTAAGCAACTGGCATGATGGCTTGTGCCTATAATCCCAACTACTAGGAAGACTGAGGTGAGAGGATTGCTTTAGCCCAGGAGTTCCAGACCAATGTGGGCAACATAGTGACTTTGTCTCAAAAAAAAAAAAAAAAACAGAAAGAAAGAAAGAAACTGACCAAACGTAAGTATCTCTAAGATTTTATTTTTCCATTTTCCCTATACACTAGCTGCTTTTTGTAATTTCATCTGCTAGAGACATTTGTTAAAAACACTGATTTGAAAAGATCATGTCCAAGATATTTTACTAGCACCAGCCCCTTTGATTGAGCACTGCACAGCTCCAGTAGATGCTGTTTGTATGGACTAAAATGGGAATGGAGCCTCCTGAAGATATGTAGTATGGTGGGCCTATGGTACTTTCAAAGGCTGCTTCTACGCTCCCTAAGTATCTACCAGTTTGACACACTAAAAGAAAACAAACACTATCTCTGGCCAGATAAAGTGTGAATAAGGCCACTAGCTAGATTTGATCAGATTCTCCTGCTCTGTTCCCTCCTTTGAAGATACCTCAGCAATCACCCTATCCACTCCTTCCATGCAACTGATGAGAGAGACCCACAATAGCAAGGCCAAGTCACCGGTATCATGAGGCACTGATGGCAAAGGCAGGAGAGGTGCTAAAAAACCCGAGGTTCTTCTCCAAACATTAACCATACCACCATGAGTTCTTATCTGTTCATCAGTGTGTCCATCCTGAAGCAGATAAAAATTGTCCTGCATTTATTAGATCTTAAATAAAAACTAAGCCTCATCCCATGGCGAAGGTCAAAAACTAGTAGCCGGAAGGCCAGATTTGGTGTGCAAATATCTGTACTTTGGCCTGGAGTGTTTTTAAAATCTGGACTTAAGGGGTCAGCATTTAAAAACCACACTTCTGGCTTCACTAGAAAAAAAATCACAGCATCCAGCCACACTGAATGTGCTTCCCATAAGGTATTGGTGCACTGGAACTGCCTTTAGGTAGGGAATGCATTTTCCAGTTAATACCATCCCTTCTAACCAGGGATATTTTTCAGCCCCAACTCACTTTACCACTCACATTTCTCCTGCCTGCCTCCTTCTATGCATTTGAATTAACGTAATCTCATTCATAAGGGCTCTTAAGTTGGCCCAAATGTCAGAAATTACAATGATGCAGAAGTGAGCTCACCATAAAGAATAGTTTCCTTAGAGTAAGCCGCTCTGGAAGTGATTTGTACCCTAGAGGTGTACAAGCTTCTTCTGCAGAAACTCTCTTTAACAGGAAGTTTGCAGAAGGGATTTTAAGTCCCAGATGGTGAGTGGAGAGGAACTAGCTACATGCCTGAATTTCTCAGAGCCTGTGATCTTGGACAGCTTTCCCAACTCCCACCATCTTCCCATGTTGCCTCATTTGTTGTGCACAAAGCATCTGGTTCTCGAATTCTCTGGCCAGCCTCCTTAGGCAAATTATCAGGAAACCATATCTGTGAGCACCAGACTCAGCAGGCATACTACTAGCAACTTCCCTGAGCTCCAGAGTACACTACCAGATTTCCCCTGCTCCAGCTCTAAGCAGCTCCAGATGCAGTTGGGCATGCATTTCCTGCCACCTGCTGGTTCCAATAAGAATAGCAAGCCTTTTACCAGTCATTCCTAGGGAATTTTTCTCCCAGACACAATATGAAATTGATAATCCTCTAGCTAGATGGGGCCTTCAATCCAAACCTCTACTCCTCCTACTCCCATGTTTAACAGATGAGAAAGGCAAAGAATAATTCACCCAAAGCAGCATAAAAAGTTAATTTGGTGCTTCCCCCTACGTAACTAGGTCCCAGTTTAAAATAAAAAATAAAAATAAAAATAGAACAACACCCCAGCTCCAGCAAGGGGAGATTTTCATTGAAATGCAATAGAGTCAGACTTAGACCCCCTTCTAAGTACTAGGTCCAGCAATTTGGCTGGCTCTCCCCAACTCCTCTCCTTGGCCCTGGCATTGAATCTTCTACTGTTGCCCTATTCATAGACAAGTACTTACTGAGCACCTGTTTGCCAGGCACTGTAGGTGGCACATCCTCTTCCTCCTCACTTTTGCAATGAAGATGTTGGACAAGATTCATTCATTTTCCAAGGATTTCTTCAGCATTTACCATATGTCTCAAACCCTTCTGGTGCTAAAAATACAACTCCATTTAAACAAACAACAACAACAAAAAAGGACACTAAAGCTGGTGAAGATATACAAGTAAACATTTGTTCAACAAACATATACCAAGTTTTGAGCTTATGAACCAGGGACTATGTTCATATGTTCAGTGTTGAGAGTGCAGTGAACATGACAGACTTTGCACGGAGCTTATAATCTAGTAAGAGACAGACGCTAATCAAGAAATTACCATACAATGTGATAAGAGCTTTAAAAAAAGACGGAGATATATACAGAGAGCTTATGGAGCACACAGCAGGAGCGGCTAGCCTATACTTGGGAGCTCAGAGAAGGCTTCTAAGGAAGAATTAGGTGAAAGAGGAGTTGGAGACAAGAGATGGGGTTCAGAGTGTGTTCTAGGCAGGGAGAACAACTTGCACAAAGGCCCAGAGTTCAAGAAAAGAACCATGACATTTTCAAATATAAGGAAATATTTCAGTGACTAAAGCATAGAACACCAGATAGAAATGGCACAAGATGAGACTGCAAAAGCAGGCAGGGTCCAGGTTCTAAGGCCTTGTTTATCATGTTCAGGATTTTAATTAACCTGAAGTCAGTGGCAGCCTATTAAAAGGTTCTAAGCAAAAGATGACCAAGATCTGTGTTATAACGACTCAGATGGGTTGGGTGGTGGGGGCAGATTGGAGGCTGTTGCAATGGTGGGCTGGACACAGTGGCTCACACCTGTAATCCCAGAACTTTGTGAAGCCGAGGCAGGAGGATCTCGAGGCCAGGAGTTCAAGACCAGACTGGGCAACATAGCGAGACCCCCATCTCTACAAACAAGATAAAACAAAACAAACAAATCAGAAGGTGGCCTACCCTACAGGAGAGATGGAGAGGCACCAGTGAATCCTATACTGAGTTTTTCTCTGTTGGCCCGGTCCTGCACAGGAACAAGCAGAAGACGGTGTTCTTTTCCTGAAAGCATTATCTAGTTGGGCAATGTGAGCTGATAAAACTTCCCAATGCCAACATTGAATCAACAGCTGAGACCAAAACATTAGACTCTCAATTCCTCCTCAGAGCTCACATGCAACGATAACAAAGCTGGACATGAGGAGAGCAGACAATAGTGCCTCCATGATTCAGACCAGGGCAAGACCACCATGACCTGGGAAAGAGATGAACTAGAAGGATCAGGGCAGCAGGCATTTTGGTAGTGAGCATAAGGAAGGGACGTGAGAAGGCACAAGAGAAAATGTACAAACCTGGAGGGCTGCAAAGTATCTGGTGGGGGAGAAGGAAAGCCTGGAAAGGTAAGTTGGAGCCAAATGATGAAGGGTCTTGAATGAAAACTTAGTAAAAATCCAGAGGTCTGTCTGAAGTTACAACTGCCAGGGATGTGGGAACGTAGAGGCAGGAAGAAGCTGTGGCTTCCCTGGCTTGTAGAACGGAAGTGAGGCCCAGAGCTCCTGCTCCATCCTGGCCCATAGCCATCCCCCTTACCACCCACTCCTGGGAGTTATTAACTGGGGAATGGGATGGGGAAGAGGGCAAGGAAGCAACAGAGGCAAAGCAGGGGATCTGTCCAAATTGTCCTCTGAATTTCTAACTAAAACCCAGTACAACCTTGAATATGTTCTCAATTATAACCTCTGATGGTCAAAAGAAACTTGTGGAGTAGTGGGGAGAATCTTATCCCCCAGGTAGAAGAAAAAATGAAATAAAAATCCCCGAGACTCACAGAAGGAAATTACTTGCCTATGGTCATACAACCAGCAATTGATAGAGCTGGGACTTGAACACAGGTCTCCAGACTCTAAACCACATTCCTATCCCCTGTTTTGCATCTGTTTCAGCAGGCAAGTGGCGCCCCTCTATAAGGCAGAACTCCCCAGCCAGCCAAAAAGCCTCCAGAAACCTAGAGTGATGCAGTCTGGAAAGCAGGGAGAACCAGATAGGCATGGCCTGGCCCCCAAGGGAGTGCCTTGCAGGGAGGGTGCCTAGCCCCTGTCTTATTTTAAGTAGAGCCCCATGTTGAATCTATTCCAGGAGGATGAAGCTGGAGAAGGCCGCTTTAACTTCTCTGCCTATGGGATGGGCCCAGCCTGTCTACAGGCCAAGGATGGCATCTCAGTCAAGGGCGCCAACAACAGTAACACCACCAACCCCCCTCCTGCACCATCTAAGTCCCCAGAGGAGATGCGAAAACTCTTCATCCAGAGGGCCAAGAAGATCGACAAAATATCCCGCATTGGCTTCCCCATGGCCTTCCTCATTTTCAACATGTTCTACTGGATCATCTACAAGATTGTCCGTAGAGAGGACGTCCACAACCAGTGAAGGGTCTGAAAGGTTGGGGGAGGCTGGGAGAGGGGAACGTGGGAATAGCACAGGAATCTGAGAGACTAAGGAAGAGAAGGGGAACGGAGGGAGGGGGCACACTTACACAACTCTCTCTGCAATATGTGCAATAGCAAAATGCAGTGATGCATGAATTTTACAATGTGGCACTATTTAACCTCAGATGGGCTGTGGGCGGGGGGTCAGGAGGGACTTTTCTAATACAGCAACTGAGGGCTGGGAGGAAAGGAGGGGGTAAGGGCAGGGGGTGGGGGATTGGGGAAATAATAGCTTTCAAAAATCTGTCCATGGGCTGTGCAGTTTTCCTGTTTGGAAGGAGAGCGCAGTCTGCCCCAGAGCAGAAAGAAAGTAATGTAATATATGATATATATTCATGCTTAATATTAATGCAAAACCCCAAAAACAAAAGATTTGTTTCTTAACCTATCAGCCTAGTAACTGCTTAAATTTTTAAAGTCACGGAAGTAACGGACAATTTTTCCCAGAGTGGAAACAGTCACAAATAAGCTTGCTCTGGTGTATGTCCCATATCATACCCCTCCAAACGCCATACCTGTCTTCAAACTGACCCAGGCGGACACATGCCAAAAAGCCATTTTGCCTCTGCTTCAAGAGGGCTGTGTGGTATGGGAATGGGTAGTGGAAATGGGGACAGGTAGAGAGACGAGAAGGGAGTGACTAAAGAGACGGACATTTCAGAGGCCAAGGATTGAGAATGTAGGTAACCCCAGCTCAACCCTCACATCTCAAGGCTGAGGACCACAATTGCCCCTCTCTGAGCCCTCTTGCTTCTGTGCTTCAACAACGCCCCACTCACCCTTCACCAGCACCCAGAAATGGCCAATGTGGTTTTCTCATTATATTGCCAATATGCAATCTTTTTTATGGTTAAAAAAAGTAATAATCTTGAAAGATAATATGCAGATAGACTGAGTGTAAACAGGTACTTTTTTCAAATGACTATTTTTTTGGAGAGTCTCTTTGGAACTGCAACTGAGTGCATGTTTGGGAAGGTGGGGTCAGTGGTGTGAAATATATTTATTATCTAGTGGTTCTACAGAGTAAAGTTTTAAGAGGTGAAAGGGCAGTGTTGAGTCTACTGCCGATTAGGTATAAATGGGTGGAGAGAGATGGTAATGTGGTAATGTTTAGAAAATGTTTGTTATATTTTGACATATCATATATCATAATGTGCAAAGTTTGGGGGGCTGACCCCGTTATATTTTTGTAAGTCTGTTTTTTTTCCTTTTAGGTGCTTTAACATTTAGGAAAGTTAGACAAGTATTTCTCTTTCCTTTTAATTCTGAAGTGCCAGAATTGTCCTGGGACAGGTAGGGCACTCCAGAAAAAAAGAAGGACCAGCAGACGAATTTAGTTTGGGGGTGGGGTGGGTGGGCATGGTCCTACTGACAGAAATGGATATCACAGATGGGAGGTCTGCAAGGTGGAGACAGCAGGCCTCTCTGTCCAATGTCAACAGCACTATGCCTGAAATAATGGCACCATTGTCTGAAGCATTTTCCCTGCTTTGGCCCATGGCCAGAGTACTGGGGTTCCATTTCTTTCTTTGCACTTTAGTGTCTGAGCTTTGGATCAAAGGTGTATGTAGAATGTTGAGATAGCTGACAATCAGTTTGTACTGAGGCCTGGGGTTTCACATGTGTCTTTTAAAAATCTCCAACTTAAGGCAGGATGGAGGAGGAGTGGTAAGCAGAGAAGAGACACTGGAAGCCTAACTTTTCCCTAAAGCACCTTCCCATAGAGGATTTTCTCCCATTCCCACAGCACAATAACTAATACAGGCCTAAAGTAGCAGGTCATGGCAAAGATCTAAAGAGATTTACATAAGGAAAATGCACTATGCAGCCAAAAAAGGGTTTGGCTTTGAGGCTTGAATGGTAAAGGTGTTTACATCCAGGTCCGGGGAAAATAAATTATTGCCTTCCCTTCTCTTGGCCTGTGTAGACCAAAAAGCTAAACTGTATTACAGCTTTGGATGATATGAGATAGAACCTGGAATCTATTTTATTAAGAAATCTTGGGAGATGGGAGCCAAGTGGGTAGAGAGTCTCTCATCTAAAACCATCCTTTCCCCCATCACAAACATGTGTCCAAAGGAGGAAAAGTTTAAAAGAGGGACTTGAACTACTATACTTCAAGATGAGAACATCAGTCTTCGAGCTGCTGTCAGCGCCTTTCATTAGCACTACATTCTCAAGTGGTGCATGAGTCTCTGGAGAGGCCCTCTCACTAGCACTTTATTCACTTTATTTACGGAAAATCATTTTTTAATCTAAAAAAAATTAAAGAAGCCCTTCTTCCTACTTTACTCATTACTGGACTAAATTCAGAATGTCTGAAGTCTTAGTGAATCAGGCAACAATCGTGCTAGACCTCCAGCAGAAACTAAAGACAATGCCATTGTTCTAAGACATTCTGCCTCCACTCAAAACATAAATCTGCAGGTTCCAAACCAGCCTCCTTTTAAGTAGTGTCTGGAATCCATCTGAGAGAAATCACTGGGCCATTTGCCCAACCTCTGCTGGGTCCTTGAACTTCTGCCACCATATTTACCTTGTGGGCCCACTAGGAGCTGCCAGGTTGACAGTAGCCAACAAATAATTGAATCATCTCTTTGAGACACAGAGGAGGGAATGTCACTGAAATCTTCTCTCAGACTATTTCAACTAGTGTCCCTTATGGAAAATCAACATGAGTGGAGTGACTATAGCAATGAAAAGAACCTGGATTTTAGTCCTGCCACTATAATAGGCTGAGTGACCTTGGGGAAATGACTAGGCTTTAGTTTCTCTAAATACACAATGTGAAGAGTAGTATAGTATCTAAACTCCCTCTTAGCTCTAAGTGCTCTATGACTCTGTGTTTAAGCTAGTCTACAGGAAATTCACACAACCAAAAATATAATGTCACTTTGATTTCTAAATCCTCCAAGATGGATGTGTGGATACATATGCACAAACATACGGACCCACACATTGTTGCCTTTCTTCGGAAAATTTGCAGATTTCCTTTTTATTTGCCCCACTTGGTGAATGGTGGTGAGGAAAGGACATCAATCATTACAAAGTCAAAAATATCATCATGAATTAAGAATGGAAGCATATTCAAGGAAAAGACATTATCATCAACGTATAATGTAGTAAGGATTTAACAAATTACATGAATTTCATCTTTATGGAAAAGTCAAACCAGATAAGCTAAGCCAATTACTTTAAGTGGCTCCAATGAACAGCGCAATACTTTCTTAATTTCCTCTTCAGTTTGAGCACAGGGGATACTATGCTTTGAGATTACAGATGCCAAGTAGTATGGTAGCCAAAAAACTGATTTAGGTACAATGAATGGTTTACCAGTTTTCAAACCCTTTGCTTATCTAGACCACACCAGTATTTATACATGGTGTGAGAACTGGACACTGGCATAGAGGATTGGTGATTTCACCCTCCAAAACTACAGCTAATCCTAGGAGCCAAATCTAGGAGGTACCAATTAAGCAGACCGAATTTCTGCTTAATTGATTCTCACTTATTAGTGTATAATGTATCTCATTCAAGAACAGTCAAAATAAATGGCTAAGCTTTGACACCCTCTAGTCCTTTCAAACATTCTTGGCTAAGACTCTAGGGAATGAACAAGACCAGGCATGAATAGAAAGGAAAAAAAAATCTATGTCCGTGTATGTGGGTATGTAGTATCTTGATTTTAACTCTATTTTTAGTTTGAGTTTAAAAAACAAGAGGGTTGGTTATTTGACCCAAATTATTCCTTCTAAACTGTCAATAAATAAGAAATGAATCGCTCTCAAAAGCTCACCAATATTTTTCATAGGCTATTTTGTTCATTCTGGGGAGAAAAATAAATATGAGAGATGGTTCCTTTCCTTCAAAGTACACATCTTTATCAGCATCATAAAAAATAGAGATGGTATTTTGTGAGGCTGCATTAGATTAGATTACAGAGTGGGCTGATGCCCCAGCTAAACTGATACCATCACTGATAATAGTCTTGTGTGAAAATTAGCTTCCTTAGTTAATTGCAACATACTGAAATGGAAGGGGTTATTATTATGTCTGTAGTAACTGCCTCCTTACTAAAAGAATCTGGCAAGCACAGGGCTTGGTGGTAGTACAATCTATATCAGCTTTAGGACAGAAGTCAAGGTCTAAGATTTGTAGCTGTTTCCTAGTCTGTCTGGAAGCCCAGTTAAGGAGCCATGAATACCACTCTAGAAAGCATCTTATTTATTCGATGAGCACCTTTTGCACATTCTACCCACCCTTCACGCCTACTCTGTAAAGGCAGGCAAGATTTTCTTTGTGGGCTATGTTTCCTGGGTTGGCTAGGTGGCTTGCACTCTGAGGGGCTGGTAAGGTACGTTGAGAAAGAGTGAATCGACCTCTACCCTTGATATATGGCATCATTCCTTCTTGAACCAACCAACCAAAAAATTCTCTAAACAGGCAATCAGATAGCATGTTTTTAAAATATAATTTAGCTTCTTTTCTACCACTGAGCTCCTTCTGTCAGAAATCAACTCCAGAAATTTGAATTAAGAACCTTCCCTGGCTGGGTGAGGTGGCTCATGCCTGTAATCCCAGCATTTTGGGAGGCCAAGGTGGGCAGATTACCAGAGGTCAGGAGTTCGCGACCAGCCTGGCCAACATGGTAAAACCCTGTCTCTACTAAAAATACAAAAATTAGCCAGGTGTGGTGGCGGGTGCCTGTAATCCCAGCTATTTGGGAGGCTGAGGCAGGAGAATCGCTTGAACCCAGGAGGCAGAGGTTGCAGTGAGCCGAGATCACACCATTGCACTCCAGGCTGGGTGACAAGAGTGAGACTCCGTCTCCCCAAGAAAAAAAAAAAAAAACCCTCCCTATTTTCCTGCAGTTCTATGAAGCCAGAGACAAGTGCTAATCCTGACCAAAGGGAGGAGTAAAAGAAATATGACTTGTTTTAATTGAGCTGCCTTGCTCTTGAGAACTACTTGTACCAGTGTAAGGGAAATCATGTATGTTGGCAAGGCTTTGGCCTTATCATATCCTGAAATCCCAACGCAGAGGGAGAACATCCTTGGATAAGTTGAAATCCCTGTAGAAATAAATAACTTTAAAAAAAAATCCTGAAATGAAGCCCTCCTCAACCAAGCCCAGTATTAAGAGAATGAAACCAGTAACTTTTTGCTGATTGTCTTAGCTGAGGATCCCAGAATGTCAAAGAAAGACAAAGGTATCCTACAAACATCTCACCCAGGCCTGAGTTACCTAGATTCACAAGGGCCCATACTAGATGATGCCTCTACCAATTATCATCCTGTTGTTTCCTAAGGATTTCTCAAGCTGTAGAGACAGAAATGGCAGTAGATAGGTTTGCTCATACGTTGTTGCTATTTCATGCTGTTTTGATGGAGCTATGTGGTTATTTAAAGCAGTAATTAAGGTGCTTTGTCATTCATGAGAACAGCAAAATGCGTTCCAAAGTAGAAACTGCCCAATAATTTTTAATACTAAGGCTCCTTCAGCTAACAGACCATTACTTCTCCTTTGCTTTCCCCCTTCTCCTCTCACTGCCTCTCTTCTGTCAGCATCTCATTTCATCAGTTTGTGCGTCTTATTTCATGAAACCAAACTGTGAGAAGATGCTGATTTATTTCCAAGGTAAGTAGGGGTAGACTAGAATGGACATAGCAGCTCCTGTCTTATTTGCTTTAAGGCTGCAATTTCTGTTCATTCTCTTACCCATGCACTTTGAAATTTCATTGCTCTGCAAAGTTTCCACTGAAACATCAGGTCGAGAAGACAAAATGTAGAGAATAGCAAACCAAAAATATACTCTTCAGAGAGCCCAGTGATGGAAATTATATTCTACGTAAGGCCATTAACCAGCTACAAAGCAGTAGCAGCTAACTAACCTGGGGATAAAAGACCATCTGCTGGCTGCATACTGATTCCAAGCATAATGGGTCTCCCATTCCCACCTCCACCTGGCTCCACAATTCCCTGCATTGTCTTTTAACCTCCTCTTCTTCAGACTCAACTGCTTCCTTATGCAACTCCAGAAACCCAGTATCTTATTTAAACACACCTGCCATTTGAAGTAGACAGGTCAAGGAGAGGTAGGTCCTTCTTCTGGTATAACCTCAGGTTCATCATGGGAATATAGATAAGCTGTTTCACTTTCTTGGCCTATTTACTCTCCTGTAAAAAGAGGGAGTTGCAGGAGATTCTTCAAAGCCAAACTGAATATTTTGATGGATTGAAGAAAAGAGCTATACGGTGTGTTGTAAAAGATTTCATTGTATTTTAGTATCAGGCTTGGCACCCCATCCCAGGCCTTCTGCTGAGTACATAGGGAGACATTTAAAAAAAAGAAGAGTGAGACTTGGCCCTTGAAGAGATTATAATCTTAATCCTTTCCCTTGAAAGTCAAGGTATTTCACAGCACTGGATGACTTGCCTCTAAGACTAGCTTCTCACCTGAGAATCCCATCACACATCAGGACATTCTACTCTGGTGTTTTAGCATGTGTATCCTATGAAGGCTATAACCCATTTCCCATGGCAATTGTCTGAATTCTCTGCCAAAGCCTCTGCAAGAATCAGAAATCCATCAGAGCAGAACTTGTGAAATAACTCTAATGACTCCTCCCTGCTCCCCCCTCCCCCACCCCCAATTTAATCATAGAGAAAACTTCCAGCAAGATTTAACAATGTATTCCCTGGTAGTTCCTGTTACTCTAAGTGCAGCTACAGCAGAAAACGTGCAACCATTCCAGACCACTGGAGGGTTTGTCTAAATTCATACCATTGACTAACTACAATAAAAAGAAGCAATTTTATAGCAGATGTGACTGGAGTTGAGCCAGCTCTCTCCATATTCACCCTCAAACAAGACCTCACCCTGGAAAGGTTTCTGAAATGCTTCTGCACTCCTATGGTTTCAACACTTCTTATAATCAGAAAACACTCTCTTTCTCAACAGGGATATTATGTATGCTTTATATCAATGGAATCCGAGAGTCAATCAATCCAAAATCTCTTGGAGGATGGGACATTTGAGCTCAGATTCTAAACAAAAGGTTCTTTTCCATAGCAGTTTACTATCTGGATTTATGTAATTGTGGTCTCATTCCAGCTGAGGAGTTTCTAATGGCTCTTTACTCCCACTCAAGCTCTGGACATGAAGTAGGAAAATGAAATTACAAGGGAAGTGTGTCAACAGAGGTGCCCCTCTCCAAAAAAGTTAAGTAGATGCTCCTGCTTGTGTTGAAGTCCTTTTATCTGTGCAAACTAGCCAGATGAGTTCACTGGACAAGGCCTCTACGATTGTGTTTCATAGAATCCACTTGGCCTCACCTGTCTCTTCAGTTGCATCTAGCTTGGTCTTTGGCATGACAGGACCATGAGCTACAGCAGTGATGTCAGGAATGTCTTAGCTACTGCTCTAAGGGCCAGCACAGTACCCCTTCTGGTCAGCTCTGGATGTTGTTCAGAAAAGTGGCACTCTTTGAATGGTCCCTATTTAGTCTGGTTTAGTGGGTCTCCAGGGCCATGTACCTGTCTTTGGATGATTTTTTAAATGTTTCCTTAGCCGGGAGAAAGCATGTTAATCTTCTTTCAAAGTGTAAGTTAGAATGGGCTCAGGAAGAACTAGAATATATTTTATTACAGAAAACATCACACGCATACATAATCTCCAGTTTTTCTATTCAGATTTTTAACTTCCCTATACCTATCTTTCTACCTGCTGTATATTAAATCTATTATGGCAAATCAGCATACCATGAAAGCAGGGCATCAGAAAAAAAAACACAGCCCCTTTTCCTACAATATAGGAGGGGATAATAAAGCACCAATGTCATTACTAAAGTGGAATGTAGTATGTAACAGGATGAGGAGGGTGCCATGGAAAGGGCAAAAATTAAATCATGGAATGTCAGCAGTAACCTAAAGAATAGATGCGATTTCGACAGATGAGGACAAGATTCCAGGCAGAGGGAACAGTATGAGCGAAAATATGGATGTTAAAAAAATAGACAGCACATTCCAGGTTATTATCCATTTGGATAAAGTGTAATCAATGGGAGACATGTTTGGGAAGACAGATTTAGAGTACATCGAAAGCTTAAAGGGTCAGGACTCATTAGTATAGCAGTTCTCAAAGACAAACCAATAGGGTGCTCCCTCACAAACAGAGCGGCTTTCTATCTTCTTTCCGTTAGCTGACACCTTCAGCCCAGCTCAGATTTCCCTGTACTTATTTTGAGAGAACTTAACTTTCCCTTTGTCTCAGAAGTAAGAGTACCCACTAGAAATTCACATCTTCAAGAGTGTCCGTTTGAACCAGTAAGTGCTACGCATTTAGTTTGTCCTAGGTAGCCACCAGAAAGGGGATAGATAGGTATGGTAAAGTCATGGTTTTACTATGAGCTCACTACTCTATATTTATTCTGAAAAAGTTATGTCTATGAGTTGTTTACCAAGGCAATACTTAGTACAATGAAGGTATTTCTAAAGGAGAGCTTTTGATCCAAACTATCACGTTTTATTGATCTAACTGAAATAGTAAACAGACCTGAGGAAAACAGTCTAGCATGTCCTTTTTTACACCCTCAGTTGCATCTGAAATTACTTCTCCCAATGAGTATCTCTATTCAAAGCATGAAAATCAGGTCCATAAAGAAAAAAGGTATACTGAGGGGAAAAGAAGCCAAATATGAGTAGAAAAAAAAATAAAGACAAACATGTATTGACTGGTATTAAGTCACTGCTAGTCCAAGTATGGAAAAGGAATAGTTTCTTTCACAAAAGTTTACATTTCTTAAGCAAATTCTTTAGAACACTGGGGAAAAAGAAAAGTTAGTATTATCTACCACAGTAAAGATTGCCTCAAATCTTTTTTAAAATTGGTGTTTACATATCAAATAAGCAGTTTGCTAAACTCAACTTTTTCCACATTAGATGTATTTCTACCTCATCTAAAAGCATACCATGCTCAACATGTCAATTTAGCCTGAATGGTATAGAAAAGGCTAAAAAATTGAGTTCCCACAAGGTACTTCAGAGCATTTTAAATTCATACTTCTTCATATTTTAGTAGTTCAATCTTCCAATACTTAAGCCATTATATTTTCAGCACTAACAACAGTTAAAATGATATAAGTAAATTAAATCCCAAACAGGTCCCACCTGCTTAGTATACTGAATGGATCTAGACAAAATACCTACTCAATGTGATTTTTGTGCTTATTAGACAGAAGGTTAGTGCAATGTTTAAAAAAAAAGAAAAAACAGCTTGAGTTCTACTTTCAAAACAAACATAGCAGGGACCTCAGTGGTCTCCAAGTACATCTGACAAACTGGATAAAACATGTCTTCAACTGCTTTGGACTTGAAATGGACAAAGTGAAACACAAAATGACCAAAACAAAAACCTAATACTTTTAAGCCCTCTTGATATTCCAAGACTGCCAAAGGCTATTCCACTCTCATTGTCTAGATCAGCATCACAGTAGACCTGTTGAATAAAAATCACCTTATCTAGAATTGATGCAAGTTACTGCAATGAATAACTTGTAGTACATTTAGGGTGAAGAGTGGCTGGTGCATGATTAGAATACTCAGTGACTGTTAACTTGGCAAGTGTTCAAACATACCACAGTGCTTCCAAATCACAAATCACTTGGTCCTCTCTCCCAGGACAGGCCACTTACGGAGACCTTATTCTCAAACTTGACTGGCCTAGGGAAGCTATAGAAAGAGACCAAATTACCTTGCAGCCATAGCTGTGAACACACTGGAGCCATACTTGAAAACTGGCGATGAACAGGACAACAGAGAGATACCAATTCATTGCTAAAACATTCCAAAATGAGTTTATTACAAAATAAATGCACAGTCACTGGAGGAAGGGGTTATTTTATTTATACACTCGATCTTAGATTTAGCAACCTTTCATTTTGACTCAGGATTCATTGACTAACTTAAGATGGGCTAGTTTCTGCCAACAGGGCAAGAGTGTGCAATCTCAGAGTCCCACCCAACCTGGCCAAAGCAAATGACTTCTGCATTAATTAGAAGTCATCCCCAAAGGACTTGCCCTTCATGTTTTCCCCATTTTGCCCGCTTAGATACTTGCACAAAAGATGCACCCTTTGTCTTTAAAGTTCCCTAGTTCGATGTTTAGGCAGAAGAGCAAATCCCAGGTTATTATTCTGCAAATAATTTTACATTTCCTTTATTCCAAAAATGTAGCTACCAACTTAAATGTATCATGACACACAAGGGGTAAAAGTTAGATACGAACTTCCAATAGCTAGGGCATGTTTCCTGAAACACTATCGTTCATTAGTACATTATTCAAGAAGTTACCTTAACCCCAAAGAATCTAAGAAGGGCACTGTGTAATTCTTCAGGTCACAATGCCAGCATGACTGTGGAGTCTGTTACAGGTAAGACAATCACAAGTTACAATGCTGTGATTCCAAATACTTTGGGGATGTAGAAAATGTGCTTAGCTGGGCAGCATGAATTAGCTCAGCAACATAGTGCTATGATGGAAGAGGTTCAAGATGATTCATACTTTCACGCCAGACCAGAAGTCACAAGCTCACATAGCGGCAACTCTGACAGCTAGCCAAAGTAGAAGATACTTCTAAAAAGCAGCCTGGGGACATTTTAATTAATTGGCCTGGAAAATCAGGTCAGAATTACAAAGTTCCTCATCCTTATGAAGAAGAAAATGTGATAGTATGTCTTTTATATGGAAATTTCTTTGTATATATGTATAAACTTGGTATGGCCTTAATGCTGCAGTTAAGGATTTGTCTGGCTACCACCTTAAGCAGCGTGTTAAGCAATCGCTTCCTTAATGTAACATTTTTACTTCTTACTGGACACTCAACCTTGAACAACTAATTCCCTTTTGCCCCTTACTCTTCCCCCCTTTTTTTGCATGAAGTCACAAAAGTTATGGCAGTTATTTTTTGGCTTGTAAAAAAAAAAAATCTATTTCTGCAGTTTGAAGATGGAATGTAAAATTTCTGTGAAACATGTATATAAAAGTATATTTATTGAACCATCCATATACACATATCCATGCTGATTCCAATGGAAAAAAATTAAAGTTTTCTGAAATTTTCTGTGGTTAACTCATAATTATTACTATTTAACCAACTTTATATGCAAGAACTTCCAATTACCCCAGGGAGAAACCTATGTATGACCTGGAAAACATCTCACTTTAGACAAGGCTTTATGTCGAGAAATGAGAATTCATTTGTTCATTCAAGAAGTATTTATTGATAGGTGCTAGGCAAGATACAAAGATGACTCAGACACAGATCCTGCCCATAAGGAGCTTACAGTCTAATAGGGGAGAGAGAACACATACATGGAATACATGGTCAGAACTATGTTTCAGTAAGATGAATCTAACATTGTGTATAAAGTAGGCTGGAGTAAGAGGTTAAGTGAAGCTGAGAGACTACTGAAATTACATAGGTGAGGAAGAAAGACGGGAAAGACTTGAGGTAGAACTGACAGGACTTAGCTGAAGACTGGATGTGGGGAATAACAAAAATGGAAGCAGATGACTCAGACTTTAGCATGGATGATGTCATGAACTGAAAGAAGGAACAAGTTTTTGCAAAGAAATGAAAATTTCATATAAAATTCTTCTGCATAGAAACAAACTGTCTGGGATATACTAGGCACAATCAGGAAGAAATGGCTAGTTACCCAGACCAATGGAAGCACCTCAAACTGGCCAGTGACTTCCTCCCCCTTATATATCCATCCCCCCAAATTTCCCAACAATTTTCTCCACTGAAATGGTATAGTGCCTAAAATTTATTAAATTCAAGGTCTATCTCCAGACATGGCCTCCCTTGGGAATGAAAACAGAAATATATTAAGTTATTCAACTCAGTAAGTTTCATCTAAAGACTCTAGTTATGAGTCACTGTACCTTCTGGTGGAATACAGAGATGAACTCCCTAGTCCTTATCTTCTAGGAGCTTACAGTCTAGTAAAGTAGTAAAACAGATAATGTAATTCTAATTCTAGACTGAAGGGGTAAGTTATGAACTACGAGAAAGACAAAGTGCTCTAGAACAGTTTCAGAAATGAAGGTTGGAACAGGACCTCAAACAAGAGGGAAAATGTGGAAAGTAGATGAGAATGGATTTGTTCCTCACTCCAAATTCTGGACAGATCAGCCCCAAAACGGGGCTACTCCCCATTCCTGTTGAAATTTTTTCTTAGGAAAAAATATAGCTCTTGTACTGATCTTTTAAAAAATTACTTACATGGCAAGAGATCAGAGGAAAGGGGGGATTGTAGATCTCAGTGGACCTTCGGGGAAGACAGAAGGCACTTGAAGCCAAGGAATCACAATGCCTGGCTTATCGGGAGGACCCTCAGTGTTTTAGCAAGGCTGGAGCATCACTTCCATGAAGAGTGGGAGAAATAACTCAAAAGTAATATTAAGACCTTGATATAAACATGGCATTGCCAGGCACTAAACAGGGTACACGCCTAAGACCAAATTGCTGCCCCCTAGGAGCTTACAGTTACAACAATACAAGGTGGAAAAAGCACCACAATGTACAGAATGCAAAATGCTGAAGTATTTAGGAGAAATTACAGCTGAGTTTCAGCTATTAACACATTAGGATACCCAATAGCTTTCTGACAGCTAGTAGTAAACCCATCCCTGAGGGGAGCACAAGTTAATGTCCTTAGACAACAAGCCCTGGTAGAGCTGGGCCATTAAAGACAGTTCTAAGAAAATTGAGAAAACAGGGGTATGAAAACTACAGAAGCAACTGGGTGAACATACAAAAAGTGATACCTTCCCTTTTTCTCCTGACAAACTTTAACAGGGCTGCCCTTCCTACAGTGAATCTAAACTGATGATCACCATATTACTTCTAAAAGCAGATTTGGGACTCTACTAACCAATTCTCTCTGATCCTTTGTAAAATGAAGGGGTTGTACAAGTCACTTCCTAGTCCTTTCCAGCACTAACATTCTATGATTCAAAGAATTCTGAGAGTTTCTCTGTTCCTTTTGGTAATAACCAAAATAGAAGAAAAAAATTTAAGTCTGATGCTTCTCACTCAAAAATATAATTATTTTCTATATAAATCACAAATGATCCCTATGCTATCAGCTAAATTTTACTTCCACCCTATCCTTCTTCAAAATCCATGAATTTTTTAAAACCACATGTCCTACAAGCTACCTTAGCATGCACCAAATGATTTTTCAAAAAGTTTTCTCATCTCCTACTCCCTTATACCAACTTCTTGGTATAATGTCATTTAAAGGGCCAAATCAGTGTACATCCAATCTTCATAACAAAATTTTAAAATTTAGGAGAACAACTGACATCAAAGCATGAGGACAGTGAGTAACCGAAGTGGTTTTTGTTGTTTTCTAATTTTTTGTTTTTTAGAGACAGGGTCTCACTCTGTCACCCAGGTTAGAGTGCAGTGGTATGATCATAACTCACTGCAGCCTCCAACTCCTGGGCTCAAGCAATCTCCTGCCTCAGCCTCCTGAGAGACGGAGACTATAGGAATGCGCCACCACATCTGGCTCACTTTTCAATTATCTGTAGAGACAGGGTCTTGCTATGTTGCCCAAGCTGGTCTCAAATTCCTGGCCTCGAGCAATCCTCTGGCCTCAGCCTCCCACAGCACTGGGATTACAGGCATGAGCCACCCCACCCCACCCCAAAGTGATTTTAACTTCAGCAATAGTTAAAACTGTTTCTATCCAGGTTAAACAGGATTTAATCTTCCATCTAATTACTATCAAAAATATAGGCAACCTTCCCCAAAAGTGGGCTTCTGAAAATAAATACTTGGTTCAGTAAATCAATAATTTCTGGTAAACATCCTTAATTTACTTAAAAAAATCCTAAGACACACTGTATGCACACTGTACCTTACAAATCTGGGACACTGGCCACATTTCAAAATACTACACTTAGGAATTTCTGTAATTGGCCAAGTCACATGATTTATTAAAGGAATAGTTGAACAGATTCCCTATATTATTTTCCTCTTACAGGGAATTAAAATAAGCTACTAGGTTCAAGTAGAAACTGTGGAGAGAAGACGAATCCAATGTTTTCAAAC
The DNA here is from genome assembly GCF_000001405.40 of Homo sapiens. Classification (NCBI taxonomy): domain Eukaryota; kingdom Metazoa; phylum Chordata; class Mammalia; order Primates; family Hominidae; genus Homo; species Homo sapiens. The sequence continues at coordinate 151,808,486 of NC_000005.10, read as the reverse complement.
AAGTCACATAAACAGAAACTAAAAACCTAATTGCAAGCCAACACATATGCATAATCAAAAACCAAAACTGGTTAAGGGTTTTAGGTAATCTGTAATCATCTTTTTACTCATTTAGGCCTTGATTTGAGACATGAAAGCATGAACAAGGCAGTTTAATTTCAGTGTTGTACTGAGGTGATATCTATCCACTAATAAGAATGTAAATATAAACAAGTTTTATCTCACATGTGCCACCATCTCTCCTTTACTATAGTCTGTTAAGAGTTGACAGGCCCACCTATGGTCCCCAGAATCTCAACATTAAACAAATATAAATCCCAAAAGGCATTACTACCTTAGAACCAGAAATTCTTAGTTATCATCTTGTGCCACACGGCCATTACTTGATCAGCAACTTTAACTTAACCCCTCATCCCACATAAGACATTGCTAATTTTTTTTTGGTACATTAGGCAGTTAGCTAAAACCTGATATTCAAATAAATGCTGATGTTACTTCAAGTTTAAAAACTGCTGAACTAAAAAGGTCAACAATTATCTATATGCAGCATTGCAAAGATTCCTTTAAGTAGCACAAAAAGAAAACTGCAATATAAAAAACATCTTTATAGATTTGACAAATGCAACCATTTAAAAGAAATGTCACTCAGCATAAACAGTGGTCTACAAATCTAAGCTCTTCAAAAAGGTTACCTGTAAGTTCTAAAATGGCCTTCTATAAAGTGCAACATTTTCCATTAAATCGTTAAATTCTACAAGGGTTTTTCAAATAGAGGGATGAAGAAAAGTATCAGAAGGTGACAGTTTATAAGCACAAAACACAAATTCTATAAACTCACCTGGATTATACTATAATAAAAATATTATTATTCACATCCAGATTTGAAGTTTGCATTAAATTATCAAACCTGATGAGAAAAAACTTAAAAACAAACCACCATTATTGTGTTACCATATATAATCTGCAAATCAAAAAAAGACTCACAAAACCCAAGTTTAATTATCTTGTTTGCCCTAAAGGAAATTAAGAACTGTAATGTTAACCTTGTTCTGAATGTATTCCAGACTCAAGTCTCCCTACAGTAGGAAGTTCATTGCGGTCTATGCTACTGAAATGTAATTAGGGGGGCATTATGGTTCTAGAGAAAAAGCATCAGTTTGGGAGGCAAATGTGCTCCTTGCTACATGGATGACTTGGAAGCCTGTCATTTAACTGTTCTGATTCAGTTTCTTCCTCATCTATTGTGCTGAGGACAATATCACCTAACCCGCAGCACAGATGTGAAAATTAACTTTTCTAACCTAAAGTGCAATTCAACTAACACTGTGGTAATGACATACTCAACCAAAGTCAAATTATTATTTTTGGATTATCTATCTCACTGGTCCCTAGCAATATCTGACAAAGTTGAGAACGCTGGAATACACAAAGTAAAACCCAACCTCACCACTAAAACAAAAATACAGTTTAAGGCCCAAGATGTCTAATTACAAATTAACAGGTCTTAAAAAACTAAGACCCACTGAACCAAACAAATCTTATCTAACTAAAATACTCATGAGGCCAGGTGCAATGGTGCACACCTGTAGTTCCGGCTACTTGGAAGGCAGGAGAACTGATGAGGCCAGGAGCTTGAGACCAGCCTGACAACATAGCAAGACCTTGCCTCTATAAAAATAAAAATTTAAAAAAAAAATCTCATGGGTCAAGAGTTCTAAGCTCAGTAGCTAATAACTATACATTGGGCCATTCCTACGGATGAAAATTTTCATTTTAAAATCTGAAAATGTTCAATGTGATGAGCTCCTACTGCTGCCACCTATAGAAAATGTTGCCCTAACTTATAATGATTTTCCAGCAGTGGAAACGTATACATCTCTAAGCTCTCAGGTTTACTCTACATGCAATAATGTACATAATTGTACAAGGATTCTCAACAGTTCTGATCATGATGCTAATCCTATTTCTTAGGTCCAATACTATCATTCAAAACCTCACAATCATCCCAACTCTGATGACAGAAAGCACTGGGGAAGCTTTCTATTTTCTGAGATTGTGCAGTAATTCCCTGCAACAAATTACAAGCAGCATCAGTATGTATTGCTACCACCTCTCCACATTTACACCAACATACACAACACACACATACATTTGGTACAAATAATAAAAAGTGAAATTACTAATTCCTTAGAGTAGATGTTACTGCAATTCTTGAAACAGATTTCCATTTCCTAGTTTGTTATTTATCTGAGGCTGAGTTTCAAAAGAATGAGTCTTCATTCCAGTTTTCCTAATCCCACAGCTCCACCCACCCACAGGAATAGGGACTATCAGTGTTCTCAATGGGGTTGCTTCATTTTTACACAACATTTGGTATCCTTAGACCCCACCCAATAAATGCCAGATGCATGTCTCTCCAACAACCCTTCCAAATTTCACACATTTCCAAATGTCCTCTAGTATGTGATAACACCAAGCTGAGGATTGCTGCATCTAGTTAATGCCCTTAAGTCTCCAAGTAGGAAGAACTTCTGTTTTGAAATGTATAATTTAGTATTCACTCATGAAGGATAATTTCTAGGCTATCCATAATTTATGACCTTGAAGTTACCACAAAGTAATTTTTTTTTCCAAAGTGACTCAGACTAAACTTTTCTTTCCACCCACCACATGCTTAATATAAGCTACAAAAGTATAAGTTGTATTTCTTCCTATTATCAGTGATCTGGGCCAAAAGTGGTTACCAAAGTTACTTTAACCCTACAAAAAAGCCATGTGATTCAGTTACATTAAGTTTATGTAAAGGAGATGCTGCCAATTTTCAAATATTTGAGGAACTGGAACCAAACTGGTAATACCAACTTCACTGTGGTCTTAACCATCACAGCAAACCTAGAGTTTCTCAGTAATGCAAACCAAATATTCCTATGCTATCCTCAAACGACAGTCCTAAAGATGAATACTGTTAAGAAAATAAATACGCTGAATTTTACAACCTGGTTGCCCTTCAATTAGTAATGACAATCACACAAAAGTTTGTTTCACACGTGTAAACAAAACCTTCACCCATCTCACACACAGCACTCAACAAATAACACATATGTGAAACGAGTATTAGTCTATATTGCCAGATTAAATTTTCTTCCAGAAATATTTTAATAAAAATTGGCCATTTCCAAGTAACACCCACTGCATGCCCATCAATAAAAGAGAACCATAACAAAATAGAAAATTTACCATATGGCTATGATTTTAAGAAAAAAAAAAATGCGGACACGAGCACATGAGCAAAGTCCAATATTAAAGTAACATTCCTTCTTACGGGCTATGATTAGGAATCTGATTAGATACCAGAATAAAAATACAAATGCTGAACTATTTAGGTCAAAGAACCTCTATAGAAGCATCTGTCTTCAAAGGCATTCCAGTTTGAGACTCAATTTTAGAATAAGGCATAACAAATATGTTAACAAAAGACATACACAAAGTGATGAAAGAGGGATTCTATAATTCCCCACATACTCTGAACCTAATAAAACAAATCTAGATTTTTTTTTTAAACAATTGCCAAGACTGAAATCAAAGATAAATAGAAGGCACAACAGTTTTGCTCTGGTTGTTATCTGGGTTTTGGGAATTTTTTTGCTTTTTGTTTTTTTACAAATACAAATTAAACATGAAAAAACTACTTCAAAAAAACTAACAGTTCAAGAAAAGCCTATCAGTTGCATTCTAGACATTTAAAACCTATTATCACAATTTAAATTTCAATGGTAAAAACAGTTAGGTTTTAGAATTGTTTTGTGATCCTTTATCAAAAAAAAATTCTATTCCTTTTATTCAGTTTTTAAACATACCAGTGAGAATCAAAATTGTCAAATTTTCCAATGGCAATTTCTCCACACCAGAAGGTAGTCATGACTCTCAAAGAAGAAACAATTTGGGTTTTTCCTGCCTTCAAAATATTATCAAATCCTGTATTTCTTACAGGCTTTTCAAACACGTAGAAAATAAGAAATATTCCAATGAATGAAACATACCAAATGTCAGTAATATGCAAGACATTCCTTTGGGGAAATGGCTGTAAAAAAAAAAAAAAAATCCAGTCTGTATATGCAAAGTAAGCAAGGAAATTCAGTCTTTTTTTTTGCTTCTTTAAAAGTCCGTTATTCCTAAAATATCATTCCACAAAATTGGAAGTGAAAGACTAAAGGTCAGGAAAGGGAAGAGAGGGAGAGGGAGCACACACCATTAACACACAAAAAAAGTAAAATTATACAAACTTAAGCAGTTTATAACAGACTGGGGTCATACTCCAAGATACCAAAGGCTGTCGAAAATTCACCATTCTGTTGGAACCAGGGTTTGTATGGCTGCATGAAGATCCATGAAGATTCACTGCCGTGGCGCAAGCCCCCTTCCCACTCCAAATCCTGGTTTCTGCACCATGCCTCCACGGGGAGGGCCTCTCATTCCACCACCCAGCCCACCTCGAGGGCCTCCAGGTCCCCGAAGGCGATTATCTCGTCGGTCGCCTTCCCTGGCAGCTCGAGTCTTCTTCTCTTCGACATTCAGACGGACCTCACCTCTGAACATGATGGGCTGTAAGAATCAAGGTGACCAGACTTAAGAGTACTGATGAGCTGGCTATCACTATCAAAGATAAAGAAAGCTGTAATAATGAACCAGCAGAGGCTGGGCACGGTGACTCATGCCTGTAATCCCAGCACTTTGGGAGGCCGAGACGGGTGGATTACGAGGTCAGGAGTTCAAGACCAGCCTGACCAACATGGTGAAACCCCGTCTCTACTAAAAAAACACAAAAATTAGCCAGACATGGTGACACACGCCTGTAGTTCCAGCTATTCAAGGAGGCTGAGGCAGGAGAATTGCTTGAACCCAGGAGGCGGAGGTTGCAGTGAGCCAAGATCACGCCATTGTACTCCAGTCTGGGAAAAAGAGCGAGACTCCGACTCAGAAAAAAAAAAGAACCAGCAGATTATAAATCAGCTAAGTTCTCACAGTTCAGTTTTTTGTTTGTTTTTTTAATGAGACAGAGTTTCACTCGTCACCCAGACTGGAGTGCAACTTGAACCCGGGTGGCGGAAGTTGTGGTGAGCCAAGGTCGTGCCACTGCACTCCAGCATGGGCGACAGAGTGAGACTCCGTCCCAATAAAAAATAAAAAATAAAAAAAATTGCCACCTTCTCCATAGATTTGGAGGCTTAGAATAAAACCTCATCATCACCAGTGTGAAAAGATGGTACTGTACATATTTATGCAAAGTACATATACATTTAAAATAAAAACTTCATTAATTTGACATAAACTTTAATTTGCTCTTTAACACCTCCTGAGAATTTTGGATAGTCTTGGCCTTCGTTTCCTCCTAACAGAGCCAAAGTAGTTAAGGGGCTACGAAACATTTCAATATATTCAATTTATGCTCTTCACCAGCAATGTAATTTTCTAATTTCTTAAAATGAGTATCTAAGAGTACTTACTATGTGTCGCGGAAGTGTTCTATTCAAATTTATTTATTTATTTATTTTTTGAGATGGAGTCTCGCTCTGCTGCCCAGGCTGGAGTGCAGTGGCGCGATCTCGGCTCACTGCAAGCTCCGCCTCCCAGATTCACGCCATTCTCCTGCCTCAGTCTCCCGAGTAGCTGGGACTACAGGCGTCCGCCACCACACCCAGCTAATTTTTTGTATTTTTAGTAGAGACGGGGTTTCACCGTGTTAGCCAGGATGGTCTCAATCTCCTGACCTCGTGATCCGCCCGCCTCGGCCTCCCAAAGTGCTGGGATTACAGGCGTGAGCCACTGTGCCCAGCTCTATTCAAATTTATTAGCTCACTTAACCTTTACAACAACCCTCTGATGGTAGATACCTACTTTAAGGACTAGCAAACTAAGGGCCGGGGAGGTTAAGTAACTTGTCCCATGGGTCACAACACTAATGAGTGATGAAAGGAGAATACAAACCAAGGCCTCCAGGGAAAAATAAGCTTTGAAACGGTAAGCTACACTACAGTATGTCATACACCACGGCAATCAGTCTTACATAAGCTATTTCTGCTCACACAAAAAATTAGTGAAGGGAGCATAGTAGACTTCTATCAATACCATGAAATGAAGGGTGGCCACTAGGCCTAATACATGCTGAATGATGGATTTATCTACAAAGCCTACTGGACATTTCTGGGTTCTTCAGTGGCTTTGGTGAGATAAACCACTGTTCTCTCATTTCTCAAACAGTATTTTGCAGGAGATGCTTCACAAAAATAAATGGTCAAATAATTTGAAAGATAATGTATATTTGCATACTCAGGTTGACATGTTATAACCACAACATTAAACTATGCAGTAAGGCCAGGTGCATTGGCTCGCACCTATAATCCCAGCACTTTGGGAGGCCAAGGTCAGCGGATCACCTGAGGTCAGGAGTTCGAGATCAGCCTGGTTAACATGGGGAAGCCCCATGTCTACTAAAAATACAAAAAAATCAGCTGGGCATGGTGGCGGGTGCCTGTAATCCCAGCTACTCAGGAAGTTGAGGCAGGAGAACTGCTTGAACCCAGGATGTGGAGGTTGCAGTGAGCCAAGATCACACCATTGCACTCCAGCCTGGGTGGCAGAGAGAGACACTGTCTCAAAAAAAAAAAAATAAAAAAATAAAAAACTTTGCAGTATGCCCATTAACATTCTGGAGAATATCACTGATCTGCAGTATTTTTATTATATGGTTTAAAGTACACAATTTTAATTCATAGGGACAGAAAGCAGATTAGTGGCTGCCAGGGGTTGGGAGACAGGTACAAGGAATGACTGCTTAGTGAGTAAAGAGCTTATGGCTTTTAGTAAAAAACTTTTGGAATTAAAGGTAATGGTTGCACAATAATGTGTTCTAAATGCAATTAAGTTGTACATTTTTAAATGGTTAATTTTGTTATGTAAATTTCACCTCAATAAAAAAGTATAGCTTAGTAAATTAATATTATTTATACACTTGTTCTTCTCTACTACTACAAAAAGTAGTTTTTTGCTAGAGGAAGGGAAGCTTTCTTTGGGGATCCCACAGTAAGATTTCCATTCTACAAATTCTTCTATTATTAGAACGTACAGAGTAAGAGTACTGTTAGTAAGGATGGTTCCAAGTAGGTTGACTATATAATTTATCTTCCAAATCCAATTTATTAACTTAAAGAAGAAGCTCTTAATAGTTATTCTCTAAAAACAGCAGTATACCAAAACTGTCCTGGGCAAACTGGCTCTTATCTTAGTTAATAGTTAGAAGTAGGTTTGTATTTCATCTCCTGTATACCAAAAGCCACCACCAAGGAAAGGTAGTTACGTAAATCTCAGTGCACTGATAACTATTCATTTTCTCATTCTCATAATTCATGTTTTCAAAAACTAAGTTACTTAAACATAAGGTTTGTTTTCCTAAACCCCCAGGCAAGTCTTTTAATAATGGTTGAAAATAATGAATAAATTACCTGAACATGTTGGAATAAACTGCACTTTACATAAAGACCCAGCTGTAAAGATATATTCTAAAGAACCAAAACCCTTTTTAAAAAAAAAAAAAAAAAATCAAGACAAAAAGCTGCTTACCCTGTTGCTAAGGACTTTCTGAACAGGCTCAGAATCATCAAACACAACAAAACCAAAATTGGGTAATTTCCCACCACTGTTAATGCGCAACTCCACCACGTTTCCATAACCTGCAAGTGAAACACATTCTCAGATAACTACTTAGACCATTATCTTTAAACATTACATGTACACAGTCCAATACAGTAGCCACTAGATGCATGTGACTACTGAGCACTTGAATTATAAATATAGCTAGTCTGAATTGAGATGTGCCTCTCATAAGTGTAAAATTATGGGAGGCACATTTGGATTTCAAAGATTATGAAAAAGTGTAAAATATCTCTCACAATATTCTTACATGTTGAAATGACAATGCCTTAAGTTAAATGTTATTAAAATTATCCAGTTTCTTTTTACCTTTTTTTTTTTAACCATGACTACTAGAAAATTTATAATTACATATGTGGCTCATTTTCTATTGCTACTGGACAGTGCTAGAGAGACACTAGATGAATTTAGTGTTCAAAACTCAATAACCTACTTTGAAAGAAATCTTTAAGCTCTGATTTGTCCACTTCATGAGGCAGGTTGCCAATGAAGAGTTGGTGACTGTCAGGGTGTCTCACCATTCTTCGGGGTTCAATGTCACCTTGCTCACCAGCCTCACGGACTTAAAAGGAGACAAAAACATCAATGAAAGACAAGAGAAAGAAGACATCTTTCAATGACTGCTCACATTCAATAGTTTTCCCTCTACACTAAAAACAGGTAATTCCATCAACCCTACAATATTTTTATTTTAAAGTATATAAATATCAACTGCCCTCCCAAAATAAGCTCTCACCTCAAAATCCCCCAAACGAGAAATCGCCCTTCTGAGCTCTTACTTGGTCTGGGTCCCCTTTGGGGAGGAATATTTATTCGTTGTTCTCGCACTCTTTGATCCCGCTGAGGTCTTTGTGGTGGAATCTGAGATTCAGGCTTAGACTCTGGACGGGGCTGAAAAATTTTAAGTTAACTTTTGTGTTAAAACAAAGCAGGCTTATCCTTTTTCTTAATGAAGTTTCTTAGCTAACAAGTTTTAAACTACAAAATGGACAATTCCCTCACAAGAAAAATCATTAAAAACCATCTTATACCCTTCTCTTCCGTCCTATATGTCAGTTCTGTTTCTACATTGATTTGGGTTGGTTTTTTTTTTTTGAGCCAGAGTCTCAGTATGTCGCCCATGATGCAGTGCAGTGGCACAATCATGACTCACTGCAGCCTCAACCTCCGGGACTCAAGCAATCCTCCCACCTCAGCTTCCTAAGTAGCTAGGACTACAGATGCATGCCACAAGGCCCAGCTAATTTCTTATTTTTTGTAGAGACAGGGTCTCACTATGTTGCCCAGACTGGTTTCAAACTCCTAGGCTCCAGTGATCAGCTGGCTTCAGCCTCCTAAAGTGCTGGGATTACAGGCATGAGCCACACTGCACCTGACCAGTTTTCACATTCTCTAAACCTCTGTTGAATCAAATTACCACAATAGAAGTAAATTTGCCTAATGTACAAGTTTTATTAGGACCTTACCTGTGAAGCTGGTACTTTAACAACATGAGGTGGTATCCCAGTAACTGGAACAGCTCCACTGGGTGGAAGATTCTTACTGGTCACAGATGCCCAAGAAAATGTCTAAGGGAGCAATACCAACATTACATAATTATACCAGGTATCAAAACAATATAAAAGCTACTAACTCTTGATTTCCTGTACAGAACAAACGGTAACACATTCTCATAGGCAGGATGGAGTTTATATATATATATTAAGATTCTTCTCTTTCAGCTATTCAAAATTTAGTACTGAAATTCCTTGGGACTGATGATCAAGTACCAAGCAAATCCGAGAGGCTTAGGTTCAAGAAACTACTCACTTTTTTTTTTGAGACAGAATCTTGCTCTGTTGCCCAGGCTGGAATGCAGTGGCATGCACACAGCTCATTGCAGCCTACATCTCCTGTGCTCAAGTGATCCTCCCACCTGTTTCCCAAGCAGCTGAAACTACAGGCATGTGCCACCATGTCCAGCTATTTTTTCTTTTTAGTAGAGATGAAGTCTCACTATATTGACCAGGCTGGTCTTGAACTCCTAAACTCAAGCAATCCTCCTGGCCTCAGCCTCCCAAAGTGCTGGGATTAAATGCGTAAGCCACAACGCCTGGCCCAACAAAAGCTACTTTCATTCAAATCTGTGAATCAAACAAAATTCCCTCTCCTCCAAAATCAGCTCAGCTCTTCCTACTGTGATTCCATCCAATCCATTGTACAAACATCGACTCAATTACATCAATTGTAGAATCATCATAAACACCTTTCTCGCACATTTAAAAATCGCCAGAACCTGTTATTCTACCTAATTATTTCTTTTCCATTTCCACTGCCACAACTCTAATTCAAGCCATCATTCTCTCTCACTAGGGTTACTATAATAACCAACTAAGTGGTCAGCTGGTCCAGCCAACCTACTTTTCCACTTGCTTCTTATGGTTTTGTTCTTGTGACAAGGTCTTACTCTATTACCCAGGCTGGAATGCAGTGGCATAATCATAGCTCACTGCAGCCTTGACTTCCCAGGCTAAGCCATCCTCCTACCTCAGCCTCCCAAGCAGGTGGGACCACACATAGGCACCACCATGCCCAGCTAATTTTTTCCACTTGCAAGCTAAAGTCATTTCAACATTGCTCTTTCCTACTCACCTATTAGCTGCCAGAGAACAAGAACCCCTATCTGTTTTGCCAATATAAAACCTACACTTTGAACAATGCCTAACACACAGCAGGAATTTGAATTATTGAACAAACAAATGACATAACCCTGAGCCTATAAACACAGCACTAAAAATTATATTCCTTTCCAGAGCACCAAATGCAAAGGTTTCAACGATAGTTCAGTTAACAATCACCCTGACGAGACTCAGAAGGACAAACTGAAAACTTCTGAAATCAGGTATGCCAACTAGAAAAGAAGTTTTACTTCAGCAGTTCATTTCTACTTCCACTATAAAGTTATCTTCAATAAAATTTCATAGAAAAAGTATATTCTGCCATGTTATTTTTCTTGAAAAGATGTTATGCACTTGTAGTAACAAGTATGTAATAATTTATAGTGTAAAAGATTAAATATTAAATAGAAAAGGAATCACTGATAGGGTGCTACAGTGGCACCTAAAATTTCTGGTCTAACAGGCATTCAAGTTACCTCGGGGAAGGGAGTGGTTTCTTTTGATGAAATAAACTAATACACATCTTACCTCTCTCTTATCAAACATATGGCTCAATATCTAAGAAATTTCCCTGAAATGAACCACCAATATGAAAATGTATCTACAAGTCAACCAAACAGCAATACAAAAGAACAGAAACTTTTTTTAAAAAAAATAACTAGGAATAGAATAAAAATGAAGACACGTTTCATACCCTCAAGTCTTCCTGTACTGTCTGAGCTATGTCTGCAGGTGCTGGAGAAGAACTCTTCTGAGCATCCTCAGGGGCAGTTTCTTCTAATACTGGCTCAGGCTTTTCCTCTTGGATTTCAGATACAGGTTCTTGTTCTGGTTCTGGTTCAGGATCAGGCTCTGGTTCAGCAACAGGCTCCTCTAAATGTTCTTCCATGTCATTACTTTGACAGGAAAATTTGAGAAATATCATTCTGCCACCATTTATTTCACAAAAAATTCCTCCATCATTTATTAATCAGAAACCAGAACACAGAGTTAGCTCCTTCTATCCAAAACAAAAATCTAAGAATTGTATATCTATCTGAGTTTTTAAAAAGTAATTTTTAAAATGCCACTCAATAACTTAACTGGAATCCATTTGTTTGGCAAATTCTGATAAGCAAATGAATCAGGACATCAAAATGAACCAAACCACTTTATGGCTGGAATCCCACAACTATTACAATTCATTTAGCATACAACATCAGAAAAACTCTCAAAATAGGCTGGGGCGGGGGGGGCGGGAAAGAAAGTTGCCATTCAATGGGTATAGTCTGTTTATAAGGTATATAAAGTTATCTTCAATAAAAGTTGTAAGGTGAAAAGTCCTAGATATCTGTCATAGAACCACATCTATACAGTTAACACTACTGTACTTTACACTTAAAAATGGTTAAGATGAAAAAAAGGTTAAGATGGCAAATTTTATGATATGTGGCTTTTAACACAAACACACAAAAACTCTTTCAAGCACATAAGGAATTTGGGGGAGAAAATAGTTATGATTCAGAATACAATTCTTAAAATTCCACATAAATCAACCAGAAATGCTGTTAAAACTGCAGAGGGGGCTGGGCACACACCTGTAATCCCAGCACTTTGCGAGGCCAAGGTGGGCAGATCACCTGAGATTAGGAGTTCCAGACCAGCCTGGCCAATATGGCGAAACCCCATCTCTACAAAAACACAAAACTTAGCCGGGCATGGTGGCGTGCGCCTGTAGTCCCAGCTACTCAGGAGGCTGAGGCAGGGGGATTGCTTGAATCCAGGAAGCGGAGGTTGCAGTCAGCCAAGATCGCGCCACTGCACTCCAGCCTGGGTAACAGAGCAAGACTCTGTCTCAATAGAACAAAAACAAACAAAACTGCAGATGTTTTGCCTCCTGAAAGTCTAATTCGGTAGGTTTGCAGTGGGACCATGAATCTTCATTTTCAACCAGCAACCCAAGTGAGTAACCTGATTAGTTCATCACACCTTAAGAAACACTTGAAAACACCCTTCAGGCACTGAATATTAACATTCAGTATCACATGGTAACAAGTAAATATGGATTTCTATTGCTATCAAACACATTTCTGTTCTAATCACAAGGGGGAAAAAACCCAAAGGTATAATGATGCACTTACTAACGTAATGAAATTCTTTATTGCTACTTAACTCACATATTGGTATTTATATCAATTTATGCCCGATCTCTAATTAAATAGGTCTCTGTCCACTTCATATTCCCTCAAAGCATTTAATACCTCAATACATTCAACTCTTGATAAACAATATGCAAGTTTTCACTTAACACCAAGAAAAAACTAAACCAAAAAGAAACTGATACTATTTAAACTAAGCAATAGTAGATTGCCTTCATAGTACAATTTACTATTAACAAACAAGTTACATATTTTTGTTTAGTCAAAATTACCAGAAACAAAACCATTCTTCTGAGAAATTATTATTTTGAGGTAATTCTCAGAATATGTAAATGCCCTCCAACAAAGGGAAAGACTAGACAATGCAAGTTCTTATGCAGCCCCGGACATGTGAACAAAATCTTCTTACCTGACAACTGCCTGATCATAGAAAGTTCCAGAATCATCAGGTACCACCTCAGGTGTTTGCTGTCTTTCTTCAGGTTCCTCTACTTCTTCTTCAGACTCTAAGTGAGAAAAAGATATTTAAAGTAATTTGTACTTACTGAATTCACATATACATTAACTTTCGCAATGTTCACAAAACAACAGTGAAGAAAAACATATATAAATAAACAAAGTAGGACAATTTGGTAAAATCATGGCACTGACTTTAAGGACAGAACTAAGGCTTTGAAGAACAGACTTTTTTTTGTTTTTTGTTTTTTGAGACGGAGTCTCGCTCTCTCGCCCAGGCTAGAGAGTGCAGTGGCGCGATCTCGGCTCATTGAAAGCCCCACCTCCTGGGTTCACGCCATTCTCCTGCCTCAGTCTCCCGAATAGCTAGGACTAAGGCGCCTGCCACCACGCCTGGCTAATTTTTTGTATTTTTAGTAGAGATGGGGTTTCACCATGTTAGCCAGGATGGCCTCGATCTCCTGACCTCGTGATCTGCCCGCCTGGGCCTCCCAAAGTGCTGGAATTACAGGCGTGAGCCACCGCGCCCAGCCTTAAGGATAGACTTTAAGGCTACTGTAGTGTCTTGGTTTTTAAGAGCATGGAGCCTAATGCAGGCTCTGTCACCTTACTGGCTACGTGACATTAGCCAAATTATATTAGGCAGTTATCTAATGCAGGCTCTACCACTTTACTAGGCAAATGATTGCTTATCTGTAAAACTGTATTACAAAATAAATATACTCTCAGCCATATAAACAACACTCAATTCTACTATTTTGGAGAAAATTTTCCATAAGTCTCTGTGTCTACACATCTTCCATGCCTACCCTTTCTTCTAGACTGTCTTTCAAGAACATTTATATAGCAAACAGCTTTGAAAGAGTATCTCCCTCCAGCACAAAGAGTAGTCATGTTTACTGCCTGTTGTAATAGATCTGGGTTCCCTAAACTCAGTGTCCCATGCCTTTAACACAACCCACTGCAGTAGAAGTATCACCTAGCCTTCTCCATGACATCCTATTGGTAAATGTGGCAAAAATACTACTACTGTCGCTGTGAGTTAGCCTGTCTCCTTCTGACCTAAGAGTCTTATGTCTTCTACTAACATCCATGATATAAGCTAACCTGTTAGCAGCTTCAAGTAGGGTAAAACCTCAGACTCTTCATATACCATAATTAGTTATTAATGAAGAACAGAGTGTAATGAAAACAGTAAAGAAACCCATAGTCTCTTAAGGGCAATCGGATGCCATTAAAAAAAATTTAGACAAGTAATTTAAAGTATTTCACTACTTACCCTCCTGAGGCTCAGTGACAAACCCACCAAAGACCTCATCTTGGTATCTGAAGATATCATTGTGAACATAGAATTTATTTGCAACAGACCCCTGCAATGCCAACAGAAAGTTTTAATTTATTCAACAGACTTTTAGAAAGTCAAATCACTCTACACCATTGGTGACTGGGACAAGTCTGCCTCCATGAGACATCTGGCAATATCTGGAGACATTTCAGTTTTTGTTGTTGTGGGGTTCTGAGACAGGGTCTTGCTGTCAGCCAGGTGGGAATGCAGTGAGCCACCACAGCTCACTGCAGCCTTGACATTCCAGGCTCAAGCAATCCTCCTGCCTCAGCCTCCTAAGTAGCTAGAACTACAGGGGCGCGCCACCATGCAAGGCTAATTTCTCTTTTTTCTTTTTTTTTTTTTTTTTTTTGAGTAGAGACGGGATCTTGTTATATTGCCCGGATTGGTCTTTAATTCCTGGGCTCAAGTGGTCCTCCCGCCTCAGCATCCCAAAGTTCTGAATTATGGGTATGAGCCAGCATGCCCTGCTGACATTTCAGTATTCACTACATGGAATGCTACTGACAACTTATAAGGTTAGGGATGCTGCTAAATTCCTACAATGCACAGGACAGGCTCCCACAACAAAGAATTAGTTAATCCAAAATGTCAACAGTGCCAAGACTGAAAATGCCCACTCTACAATAGCCGGTAAAAAGACTACACTCACATACATTTTGTTTGCTCAGAACACTTTACCTCACCACAAGATAAATATCCAAAAACTGACAAAGCCCTAAGCATGTAAATGCCACAGCCCACACCTCAAAACATTATAAGGCAATCATATCCCGGATGGGCACAGTGGCTCATGCCTGCAATCCCAGCACTTTGGGAGGCCGAGGCAGGCAGATCA
Source organism: Homo sapiens (assembly GCF_000001405.40). Lineage (NCBI taxonomy): Eukaryota > Metazoa > Chordata > Mammalia > Primates > Hominidae > Homo > Homo sapiens. The sequence goes on along the minus strand of NC_000005.10, from coordinate 151,793,345 downwards.
CCTAAGGTCAGGAGTTCAAGACCAGCCTGGCCAATATGGTGAAACCCCATCTCTACTAAAAATACAAAAATGAGACAGGCATAATGGCCCACACCTGTAGTCCCAGCTGCTAGGGAGGCTGAGGCGGGAGGATTGCTTGAACCCGGGAGGTGGAGGGTGCAGTAAGCCCAGACTGCACCTCTGCACTCCAGCCTGGGCGACAGAGTAAGACCTTGTCTCAAAAAAAAAGGCAATCATATTCCTAACTTCAGCAGATATTTAAAATTCCCCAAGTCTGTCTCCAAAAATATTGATATAAACACTCAAGGGTAGTGCAGCCTGAAAAAGATTGCTCGCAGTAGGTATAAGACACACCTGAGTGCAGATCCAATTATATATTATGAGTTATTCAGTTTCTAAGGCTGTTACTCCTCTGTAAAAAGAAAGGTACCAGCTAGGCACAGTGGCTCACTCCTGAAATCCCAACACTTTGGAGAGCTGAGGTAGGAGAACTGCTTAAGCCCAGGAGTTTGAGACTAGCCTGGGCAACAGTGAGTTTTTTGTAGAGTGAGTCTCCACAAAAGCAGAAACAAAAATCAGCCAGGAATGGTGGCCTGCACTTGTGGTCCCAGCTACTTAGGAGGCTCAGGTGGGATTATCATTTCAGCCCAGGCAGTCAAGGCTGCAGTAAGTCATGATCCTACCACTGCACTCCAGCCTGGGTAACACAGGGAGACTCTTCTCTCAAAAAACAAAAAAGAAAGATATCAACATATACCTCAATACTCTCTGTATTAAATGAGACAGTTTATATAATAGTGTATTATACTAAGAAGTTAGATACTTCCTTTAAAAGAAAAAAACTGTAATTAAACCTGTAATTCACAATCATACTCCATGTGATTCTTTGCATATTTAGAAGTCTACCACATCTTTACATTTTAATCTAAGCCTTCCTCTAAAAATTATGACTATAATTGGCTTCATGTAATTTTGCACAGACAAAAAGTTATCTCATATTCAAAGGTTAAAAGATTTTAGGCGTTTCAGGTTTGCTATCCTAAAAAGAAAACTTAAGATTAATGCTAGAGAAAACAATGATTTAATCAACAATTTCTTACTATGCCATTTCTATATACATGCTTAAGCAGACAGGATTCCTAACCTTGTTCAGTCTAGACCAATCCGGAAGAAAACACAAATGCAATCATTCAACATAAACTTGTCGTCCTTTCATAAGTATAACTAAAAAGAACCAGGCCTCCTTGAAGGAACAGCTGATTCAAGAATAGGGACTGGGCCAGGAACAGTGCAAGATGAACCTGGAAAATATTTTGCCATAAGTGTTCAAGAAAGATAAAAAGATAGAGAATCTCCCATCCTTCATTTACAAATCAAAAAGAGAAAAAATAAGGCTGGGCATGGTGGCTCACACCTGTAATCCCACTTTCGGAGGCTGAGGCAGGCAGATCACTTGAGGTCAGGAGTTAGAGACCAGCCTGACGAATATGGTGAAACCCCATCACTACTAAAAATACTAAAATCAGCCGAGTACGGTAGCACACGCCTATAGTCCCAGCTACTCGGGAGGCTGAGTCAGGAGGACAGCCTGAAACCAGGAGGCGGAGGTTGCAGTGGGCAGAGATGGAGCCACTGCACTCCAGCCTGGACGATACAGTGAGACTCCGTCTCAAAAAAAAAGAGAGAGAGAGAAAAGATATTTAACTTTACAGTGGCAAAACCTAACTAATCAAAATTCATATCACAACTAAATGACATAATATGCCTAATGTGAAGCACTGAATGACACCCATAAAGCATCCTACAAAAAAAGTGTGCTCTTCAAAAATGTCAATGCAATAAAAAAAAACAAAAGATTAAGGAACAAGTGCAGATTAGAAGAGACTAGAGACATGATAGCTAAATGCAATGTGTAATTATAGATTCCATGTTGGACAAGGAAAAAAAATTACTGTTAAGACATTATTGAGATAATTTCCAAATTTTAAAAATGGATTATAGATTATATTGCATCAACATTTCCTGAATTTGATAACTGTACTACAGAATGGAAGAGAATTATTCTTAGGAAATGCCCACTAAACTATTTTAGAGAAAGAATTATACACATGTGGGCAAGTGGTGACAGCTGCTCTAGGTAAGGAGTATATAGGAGTTAGTGTACTATTATTCCAAGTTTTCTGTAAGTCTGAAATTTCAAGTGTTTTTAAAGATATGCACAACAGTTCATTGTTTCTTTTTTCATGTATTGGATCACTACAAAATAATCATTCCTACACATACCTCAGGAGCAAGGACAAACGTTTGCATGAATCTCCTCAAAGCCTGGTTGTTGTTAGAGAGAAGCCCCATCACCTGGACTACCACACCATCATTTAGCGTGGCATGAGCATCAACATGGCGAATCTTGGTGTGGCAGTTGGTGAAGTTTTGTGACATCACTTTCCTGTGGATTTCCTTAAAAAAATAATAATAATAATAATAATCAACTGAGAATGCCTTAAAATTTAAATAACCTCCAACTAAAAAAAACCTTCCAACACAACACAAAGAGAATGTGTATATTTAAATTACAGGATATGCAGACTGAATTTTGATGTTTCTTTGTATACTCTATTCCCAGTGACCGCGCTTGAGTTTTTTAAATAACTGTCCTGAATTAACACACTTTTCAAAGTTTAGAAAAGATGATCCCCATGCTAAAGCCAATTATCTTCCAACACACAAAAGCTTTAGAATATATCATACAAAATTAACAAATCTGACATCACATAAGTATTTCAACAAATATATTAATCAAATAGTAATAAAACACATCAACTTTTACTAAAAAGTTGAGAAACTGGATCTTTATCAGCAAATCTATTAAGTATGATCCACTTCAATTTTATGAGTTATTTTCTACCTGCTTAACAGCCTAAATAAGGCTTGAAATGCTTACTTTCTGTCCGTAGACTGCATCTGCTGGCTTTCCATTTGAATCCAATCCCCCATGGACATAAGAAGAGTTCTTTCCATAAAATCTGTAAAATGGGAAGATGATTTACTTGTCATCTTCAAGTATCTTAAGTTTATTTTTCACGTCTGATACTGGCAAACTTTTTTTTTTTTTTTTGCAACGGGGTCTCATTCTGTCACCCAGGCTGGAGTGCAGTGATGCAATCATAGCTCATTGCAGCTTCGATGTGCCGGGGCTATGATCTTTGATGTGCACATTTTTTTTTTTTTTTTTTTTGCTCTTGCTGACCAGGCTGGAGTGCAATGGCACCTCAGCTTCCCAAAGTAGCTGGAACTACAGTCACATGCCACCATGCCTGGCTGATTATTTTTATTTAAGTAGAGATAAGGTCAACTATGTTGCCCAGGCTGGTCTCGAACTCAAACTCAAGCAATTCTACCTGCCTTGGCCTCCCAAAGTGCTGGAATTGTAGGTGTGAGTCACCGCGCCTGGCCCTGGCAGAAACGTTTTCTTTTTCATCTTTGTATGCAATCATCTCTGTATCCCCTACATGCCACTTGATCAACATTTGCTGAATGGGAATGGATTTGGTTCCAGGTTTCAGTGTAGGATGATACTGTTGGGAAGGATCTTGTAGTTTCATGTCAAGATGGCCACCAATACATAAGTTCCTATTTTCACTCAGGAAGAAAATGTGCGGTAAGGCTGGAACAGCTATCTTCTTCATAGACTTCAAGTGTCCTTTTATTAATGTATCTGAGAATAAGCGTGAGCGGTTCCCCTTAAACACCTAGTTCATGCAAGTGGTTTTAGAAGTACTTTTTAACTATTTCTGCTGATGCAATTAAGAATGTCAAAGTCAATTCCTCATGGTTTTCACCCATCTATGTCCTCCTTTGATCCATTTTCATTAAAACAATATTCTACCAGGAAAGCAACACACCAAAATGCTCTAATCCAGGGATAACCACTATTAAGATTTGACATTTGTCTTCCAGATAAATACATTTTTTTTTTTAAGACAGAGTCTTGTGCTGTTGCTCAGGCTGGAGTGCCATGGCGCAATCTTAGCTCACTGCAACCTCCGCCTTTTTTTGTATTTTTAGTATAGAGAGAAGGCTTTGCCATATTGGCCAGGCTGGTCTTGAACTCCTGACCTCAAGTGATCCGCCCACCTCAGCCTCTCAAAGTGCTAGAATTACAGGCATAAGCCACCATGCCTGGCCTATGCTTTTTTCTTTTTGTTATGTTTTATGTCAGTTTTATTCTATGGGGTAGAAAGAAATTAACCAAATATAAAAATACAAAAAAAGGCTGGGCACGGTGGCTCACGCCTGTAATCCCAACACTTTGGGAGGCCAAGGTGGGCGGATCACCTGAAGTCGGAAGTTCGAGACCAGCCTGACCAACACAGGGAAACCGTCTCCACCAAAAACACAAAATTAGCCAGGCATGGTGGCGCATGCCTGTAATCCTAGCTACTCGGGAGACTAAGGCAGGAGAACCACTTGAACCTGGGAGACAGAGGTTGTGGTGAGCCGAGATAGCGCCACTGCACTCCAGCCTGGTCAACAAGAGCAAAACTCTGTCTCCAGAAAAAAAAAGAGCCAGGCATGGTGGTGGTGCGCACCCATAGTCCCAGCTACTCAGGAGGCTGAGGCAGGAGGATCACCGGAACCTGGGAGGCAGAGGCTGCAGTGAGCTCTCACCACTGCATTCCAGGCTCGGTGACAGAGCGAGACTCCACCTACTAAAAATAAATAAATAAATAATACACACACACACACACACACACACACACACACACACACACATATAAACTTAGCTGGGCATGGTAGTGCATGCCTGTAGTCCTAGCTATGTAGGAAGCTGAGGCAGGAGGATCACTTGAGCCCTGGAGGTCAAGGCTGTAGTAAGCTATGATCTCACCACTGCACTCCAGCCTGGGCAACAGAGTAAGACTGTCTCAAAAAAAAAGAAAGAAAGGGTAAAAACAGCTTTGAGACTTGTTTTATCACTTAATAGTCATGTGCATATGTACCTGCAAATTTTTAACCCCTCTGAGTGTATCTGCAAAATGAAGTTAACTCTCTTACAATGCCCTACCTTTCAGTAAAGATTTTTGTAATGATCAGGAGGAAATGAGAAAAAATGTTCTGGAAATTTTAAAGCCTTAAAAAAAAACCCAATTACACCTGTAATCCCAGTATTTTGGAAGGCTGAAGCAGGCGAATTGCTTGAGCCCAGGAGTTCGAGATCAGCCTGGGCAACATGGTAAAACTGTCTCTACAAAAAATTAGCTGGGCGTGGTGGATTGCACCTCAGTCCCAGCTACTCAGGAGGCTGAGGTGGGAGGATCGTCTGAGCCCAAGAGTTCAAGGCTGCAGTGAGCTGTGACCTTGCCACTGCACTCCAGCCCGGGAGACAGCTGAGACTTAACTCTCTCTCTCTCTCTCACACACACACACACATGCACACACACACACACACGAGATATATTCCATTGTCAGAGCAATGTCAAAACATTCATAAATTTTATTTTATGAATTGAAAATATTCATATTGAATACATTCATAAATTTTATTTTATACCTGATAATCATGTGGTATCCAATATGCAAGCTGGTCAAGGTGTAAGGGAAAAAATAGTTCTGGTCCAGCAAATACACATTTTGAAACTTCTATGAAATTATTCTAACAAGTCCACATAAATAGACAGTTTTGTATAAAGCGACATTGTAAGAGAAAATAATAGAAGCAATCTATAGATCCATCATTAGGAGATTAAAGTACACTACATCTCTATAAAAAGCTGTGTAGCCACTAAAATTAATGGGATACAAGTATTACCCTGAAAGATGACTCCAGATTATCAAGTAAGAAAGTTAAGACAGTATATTAAAACATGTTTCTATATATATAGAAAAATTGTTTCTGTGGTTTTACTACTTTCATAATTTATCTGTGTTCTAATTTTCAATAAGCATGCATCATTTCTACTAAAGACACTAATTTTTTAAAGCGCATCAACACAAAAGTATGGTATTACAGGAACAGTCATGGATTGTCTTCAATACATTCTTATTTTTTACATCCACCTCAGCTCCAGCAATCTTTAATACATTCTTAGTAAATAATGCATGACTATACCTTTACATTTCAATTGTTATTTTCCAATAATGTACAAGTTTAGATAACTTAGTTTAACTTTCAAAAATTATTTTTTGGGGCTAGGCGCAGTGGCTCACGCCTGTAATCCCAGGACTTTGGGAGGCCAAGGCGGATCAATCACCTGAGGTTAGGAGTTTGAGACCAGCCTGGCCAACATGGTGAAACCCCGTCTCTACTTAAAAAAAAAAAAAAAAAAAATACAAAAATTAGCCGGGCATGGTTGTGGGCACCTGTGGTCCCAGCTACTCAGGAGGCTGGGGCAGAAGAATCACTTAAACTGGGGAGGTGGACGTTGCAGTCAGTCCAGATCGCACCACTGCACTCCAGTCTGGACAACAGGGCGAGACTCTGTCTCAAATAAAAAATTGGGGGATATTTATATGTAAATAAGTATTATGCAACAACCCTACAAAGCATAAGATGATGAGTGGGAGAATCTCAAAGATAAGTACCACATACTAAAAGACAGCATTAGATGATGCAGGAGAAAAATGTCTTACCTATGCAGCATGTCTGGGGCCTGGTTCAGCAGTGTGTAATACTGTCTCACAAATTCCCGCCCGACCAGCAGGGGACTAGGCTTCTCCATCACCATTGCTTTGGTCAATTCAACCTGGGGGGAAAAGAGTCAAATATGTCCAAACCTGAAGGATCAAACACAGGGGAAAAGACCGAATCATTTAGCTGAAACCAACTCAGAGACAAGATCATTTCAGCAAGTCGTTTAAAACATGAACAAACATCATAAAAACAAACAGAGCCCATACAGACCAGTTGAGATTTTATACAAATGTATTGCAATCATATGAATACAAAAGGGGGAAATCATTATGAAGAATTCATCATTATCCCCAATATTCAAGACGTAAGAACCTCAAAGGTATATATTTCCAACATACTTCCCACCATAATTTTCTTGTTTTGTTTTTGAGACAGAGTCTCTCTGTTGCCCAGGCTGGAGTGCAGTGGTGCGATCTCGGCTCACCACAACCTCCACCTCCCAGGTTCAAGCGATTCTCCTGCCTCAGCCTCCATAGTAGCTGGGACTACTGGCAAGCGCCATCATGCCCGGCTAATTTTTGTATTTTTTAGCACGGGATTTCACTATGTTATCCAGGCTGGTCTCAAACTCCTGACCTCATGATCTGCCCGCCTCAGCCTCCCAAAGTGCTGGGATTACAGGCGTGAGCCACAGCACCTGGTAATTTTCTTAAGTTATTAAGCCCAATTAAGAGTGTTCCAGTTGTAAAGTTACAAGCACATTCTTATTTGAGGCAATATTAGATTCAAAGGCAATAATCTTAAACAACATAGTTTTGACATCCGGGGACAAACTATCACATTTTCTGGCCCATCTAAATCAGATAAACTTTTAGTATAGCATCTTTTAAAAAGAAACTACAAGACTAAAAATTCTAAATATGCTTACTACTTCATTCTATCATGTAATTAAAAAATTTCAAAATAAAATGGGGAAGTTAACAAACAAGATGTTTATACTCAAAATAATTCCTACTGTATCAAAATTGTGATCATGTAAAATTAACACCTTTGAATGCCAAGAAAGGCACCTGTCCCATAAGAAGTCCAATTATTGTAAGCTATTACCAAAAAACACTTTCTGAATAAAAAACCTGCAATGAGATCATCCCAGCATTTCATTCACGGGGGAAGAGATAAAATTATCCCAAACTTAAACATACAGGCAAACAGAGAATATATACAGATTTAACTACCGCAGAAAAGAAAGAAAAATTTTAGCTGTTTTTTTTTAAACAGGGGTAGACAAAATAGATTGACTCTGGTTGATCCATTTCTAAACAAGCAATTTGTGAAGATATATTTACTCTCATCTAGTTCCATCTTTGCATTATTCTTGAATATCTACCCCAATTAGTATTTATTTCACCAATGCCTGTTATTGTCCCCAAAACTACAGCCACTAAGATCAATATGAAGAAGCTTCCCAGTCATACTAGGAGTATTTTGCCTTCAGGCATGTGTATTGAGCATATCAGTAACAATCTAGATCCTAAGTCTTAGACTAATGTACTTTAAAAGTTGGCTGGTCACGGTGGCTCACGCCTGTAATCCCAGCACCTTGGGAGGCTGAGGCAGGTGGATCATTTCGTCATTAGTTTAACATTTTAACAGTTTACATCATTTTGCAAATTAGGGTCTCAATTAGCATTTAATTTTCCAAACATTCTACTTTGAGTTGAGACTGTCAACTTCAGAAACATGCAACAGCTGTTAGTCAAACCAAATTTTCAACACTCTTGTACTGAAGTTAAGTTTCAACATTAGATTTGCCTCAAATACGCTTATAGTTTCCCATTTACACTATAAACAGTTCCATTTAAGTGGCAGCTGGCTCCTAAAGTCACTCCTTTAATGTAAATAAATATATTATCTATTGATAATAAATATCCACCAAAGAGCTCAAGGGAAACAGTAGCAGTACTTTTTTTAAATTCCACATGACTAAATATGTACTTCCTTTTAGTAAAAAAAATGAAAGTATACTGCTTCACTATTTAAAAAAAATCTAAGTGCTAAATTAAAATAATCAAAGGCTTCACAAATTCTACATTAGTTATGGTCAGATAAAACATACTGAATAAAGAATACAAACTTTTTCCCAAATATTAAGTTTTTTAAGAGCAGAGACCATTTCTTACCCAACGTTTTAGCCCCAAAACTTAATGTCTGACACATAACAGACACAATTTTTTTATTCAACCTTCTCACACAAAGGGAAGAGGTTAGAATTTTATACTAGCAGAGTTGATTTCTGACCATCTAACTATCAAAACTGACTTAGCAGGTTTTCCAGCATTTAGATTAAGATAGCAGACATAACACTGTTTAATTACTAAAAAATGTTGTTTGAGATTAGTCTGGGCAACAACAAAGCAAGACCCTATCTCTGAAAAAATGAAGAAAAAAAAATTAGCTAAGTGTAGTGGCACATTCCTGAAAGTCTCAGCTACTCAGGTGGCTGGGGCACGAGGAATGCTAGGGCCCAGAAGTTTGAGGCTGCAGTGAGCTATCATCATGCCACTGCACTTCGGCCTGGGTGCCAGAGCAAGACCCCATCTCAAAAAAATAAAGTACAAACATAAATATAAATATAAATAAATTAAAAAATGTTGGCCAGGTGTGGTGGCTCACGCCTGTTAATTCCAGCACTTTCGGAGGCCGAGGCGAGCGGATCACAGAATCAAGAGATCGAGACCATCCTGGCCAACATGGTGAAGCCCCATTTCTACTAAATATACAAAAATTAGCTGGCCGTGGTGGCACGCGCCTGTAATCCCAGCTATTCAGGAGGCTGAGGGAGGAGAACTGCTTGAACCCGGGAGGCGGAGGTTGCAGTTAGCTGAGATCGCACTACTGCACTCCAGCCTGGGCGACAGAGCGTGACTCCATCTCCAGAAAAAAAAGAATGTTTAGGTAAGTTCTTCACTGATCAAAGATCACACACTGAAAGTTTAGCGAGTAATTTTGTTATTCTCAGTTAAAAAAAAAAAATTGGGGCTGGCGCCTGTAATCCCAGCACTTTGGGAGGCCAACAGGGACAGATCACTTGAGGCCAGGAGTTTGAGATGAGCCTGGCCAACATGGTGAAACCCTGTCTCTCCTAAAAATACAAAAAATTAGCCAGGCATGGTGGCAAACTCAGGAGGCTGAAGCACGAGAATCACTTGAACCTGGGAGGCAGAGGTTGCAGCGAGCCAAGATTACACCACTGCACTCCACCTTGGGTGACAGAGCAAGACTCTGCCTTACAAAAAAAAAAAAATCTGTTTATTTGATCATTCACAGCAAAAAAAAAGAAAGAAAATGTAAATTTTGGCAATTTGAATCTATATAGTGTAATAAATCCTAAAAAATTGTCATCTCTCTGAAATCTTCATCTTTTCTGGACCAAAAATAAAACACAAGCTATGAGAAATGTGAACATAATACCTCTTGAGAAAGAATTCTCACTCTCTCAATTCTATCAAATCTAAAAATAATTAAAGTAAGCAAATTTAAACAGATTAGTCACAGAAAGGCTGGGTGCAGTGGCTCACGCTTGTAACCCCAGCACTTTGGGACACCAAGGCAGGCGGATCACGAGGTCAGGAGTTCAACACCAGCCTGACCAACATGGCGAAACCCCGCCTCTAATAAAAATACAAAAAATTAGCCAAGCATGGTGGCGTGCGCCTGTAATCCCAGCTACTCAGGAGGCTGAGGCAGGAGAATCGCTTGAACCTAGCAGACGGAGGTTGCAGTGAGCCGAGATCACGCCACTGCACTCCAGCCTGGGCGACAGAGCGAGAGTCCATCTCAAAAAAAAAAAAAAAAAAAAAAAAAAGATGAGTCACAGAAAAGACAGTGTTTTGCCAGTTACTAATCCACTGTGACAGATATTTTATGAAATCTATGAATTACCTCTGGGGGGGAATAATTTTTTTAAAAAATGTATGCATTATCAATGAAAACACATGCTAATATCAGAGGGGAAAAAAAAGAAAATATATGCTAAAAATTTCCAAGATTCTCCCTCATTTATAAACACTCTCAGCACACTAAGTCCTTTTCTAAAGATGTTTTTAAAATTTCTACAACTATGGACTTTGGCTGTTCCTAATATAACAGCATACACCAATGGATGTTGAAATATAAATAATATTCTTAAGAATGATATACACTGATACCAGTAAGATCTAGAAAGATATTATTAAACATGACCTTGAGTTTACCAGTTCTAACTGAACCATCCAAATTTAAGACAAAGTTTGAGAGTTGTCAAAGGCTACCTTTAACATGAGTAAAATATGACAAATGAACTTTAAAACTGAGTGTTATTTTTAAATAGTGAATAAACATTTCAAAGACAACAAAAGGAAACCCCCAAAATTTATTTAACCAACTCTCACTAGGGAAACTTCTCCAACACCATTCACTTGCTGTGACCTTGAGCTAGTAACTTAATCTCTCTCACCTCAATTCTTCTGTCTGTAAAATTAAAATCAGAATTATAACAATTAAGTGCCTAACAGTAAGCAGGAAATAAATGTTAGCTATTATTACTATCAGTATCAAAATTATTAACTATAAAGAAGAAAACCATTTCTACATCCCACTCTCTTGTGTCACCTGGATGGATATTTTCCTTATTTTCCTAGAGATTAAAATGGAGAATTTCCTAAAGGAGTTAAAAAAAAAAATCCCAAGCATTTAACATAAAACTGTATCTACCTTTTGGATGAACTACAGTTGAGCCTTCAACAAGGTGAGAATTAGGGGCATGGATAGCCCAGAGTTGAAAATCTGTGTATAACTTGACTCCTCAAAATTTTAACTACTAATAGCACACTGGTGATCAGAAGCTTTACCAATAATATAACCAATCATTTAACTATTTGTAGGTTATATACTGTATTCTTACAATAAAGCTAAAGAAAATAAGAAAATCATTTGCAAAATACATTTTCAGTATTGTATATGTTTATGCTGTCTGTTTAAAAGACAAATCGTCTCTCTGAAATGACAGGTAACCACAGCTGCACACCTCAACCTATGGTACAGATCAAGCAATTTAATATTTCCTTGTAATGTCATAACTTTTCTGTTTCTTGGGAGTGCTTTCAGCATCATTAGTGATATTTCGTATGGGTCCCATGGTGTTATTCAAGGCTTTCAGTATTGTACTAAACATGATGAAAACTACTCATTGAAGAGAAATCACTTTTTACTGCATCCAAATTTACTGGAGAGAAGAACTGCTCACATAAAGATGATTAGCATCACACAGTGTTGTAAGCAGATACTTGCAACACAAGCACATTGCAATATTTACAGGAGGTGGCTAGGAAAAAAATTATAGTACAGTATATACTAAAGTTCATTTTATGCAGTTATAACTTAATACTGTATCTTTACATTTGTTTACATTTCTCTTGACTGCAAATGGTGCCCTGAATGGTCTCAAAGTGTTTGTGTGGGTTCATTTTGATAAATTTTAACTCTGTAATAAATCTGTAATAGACTTGTGTATATTTTACAGTAGTAAATAACAGTATCCACATATATTTTATGCATTCATGAAATACCTTTTTCTTAATTTTTTTTATTATTTCTAGGCTATTCAGTTTGTGAGCTTTTTCAAATTGTTACAAATCTCCAAAAAAAATTTTCCAATATATTCATTGAAAAAAATCTGCTCAAGTGGACCTGAGCAGTTCATACCCACGTTTGTTCATGGTTCAACTGTACTACATTAACTTTCAAATTTTCCACTTGATCCCAAGTTTCCAGATTGCAAAGCAACTTCAAAGAAACTCCCCATCAATAATTGTGCTGAAGTTAACAGAAAAATGTTAAGGGTCTAAAGAACTATGAGCATTATCAGCCAGGCGCGGTGGCTCACACCTGTAATCCCAGCACTTTAGGAAGCCAAGGTGGGCGATCATGAGGCCAGGAGATAGAGACCATCCTGGCTAATGCGGTAAAACCCCGTCTCTACTAAAAATACAAAAAAACTGGCCAGGCATGGTGGTGGGCGCCTGTAGTCCCAGCAACTCAGGAGGCTGAGGCAGGAGAACAGAGTGAACCCGGGAGGCGGAGCTCTTGCAATGAGCCAAGATCGCACCACCGCACTCCAGCCTAGGCGAATGAGCAAGACTCCATCAGCTAGCGGCGGAGGGGGAAATAACTATGAGCATTATCCTCCAATTTTTAACAGACGGGCAGGGAAACATAAAGGCAGCCCATACTCCACCTGCATTTTTAATGGCAAAGCTCACTCCAACAAAATAAAAAGTAGCCAAATGCCTTCATAGCCCATTTTCAGTGCCAGTTTTATAGTAAGAAAATATAATATCATATAATAAAAGATTAGTAGAATGTATATAAACCTGCATACAAATCACTAAAAGAGTAACCCAAGAGAAAAACAGGCAAATGAAATGGAGCAGCCAATTCTCAGGAAAGTACTAAATGGACAGCAAACAAAACAGAGTAAGTAACCAGGAAAATGCAATTAATAAAATCACTTCTCACAGGAGATACCTTACAAGAGATGCGCCAAAGTATTAAAATCTCAGTCAACACCAAACATTGGCAACCAAGTAAAAAAAAGAGCCTACAGGACTGCTGAAGATGAAGTCTCAACTGGTACAACCACAGTGGAGAACAATTTTGCACTATCTAATAAAATCAAAAACACTCTGATGAAAATCTAGCAGTTCTCTTCTAGGTACATATACAAAAGAAACTCACCCAAGACAAAACAAACTCACACAAGACAAAAACAAATAACTGCCACCCTATCTGTAAAGTATAACATTGATAACAATCTACATGTCCATCAAATAAGGAATGGATATTAAGTTGTGGTTTATTCACATTAGGGAAACTTCTATACCTAAGACAACCATATGAGAGCACTTTTAAGATTGAAAACAACTACTATTAATAGTGTCAGGTTAACTGAAGTGAATCAGGACTGTCCCTGGCAAACCAAGACATATGTCACCCTATTTATGCCTGCCAGAAAGCGAGCACATAACTCAAAAACATTATTAAAAAGAAAAATCAGTTGCCAAATATGTACTGTGTGATAACGTTACATATATTTAAAAGTGTTTTTAGTATACACAAATACCAGATACCGTACATAGATACACAGGCTAGACATAAAGAGACAAATGGATCCATGAAACAGAATGGAGTTCACTAACATATCCACATGGACAACTATATTTCCAAGAAAAGTGCAAAGACAATTCAGTGGAAAAAGTATACTCTCTTCAACAACTGGTACTGAAACAATTAGATATCATATGGAAAAAACAAAAAAAAACCAGAACCTCAATTCATGTCTCACACCACATACAAAATTTAACTCAAAATGATTCAGTGTAATCAAAGTGTAAAACCCAAAACTGAACTTCTAAAGAAAACTTGCATGACACTAAGCAAAGATTTTAGACACACCAAAAGCAAATGAAGAAGAAAGCGAATTGATCACGTAGACTGCCTCAAAATTAAAACCATCTGCCCTGCAAAGACACCATCAAAAGAATGAAAAGGCACGCAGGCAAGCCACAGATTAGGAGTAAATATTTGCAAGGCATTTACCTGATTGATTGACTGACTGATTTTTTTTTTTTTAGAAGGAATCTTCCACTGTCGCCCAGGCTGGAGTGCAGTGGCGCTCACCGCAACCTCCACCTCCCAGGTTCAAGCAATTCTCATGCCTCAGTTTCTCAAGCAGCTGGGATTACAAGCACACACCACCACGCCCGACTAATTTTTGTATTTTTAGTAGAGATGAGGGTTCACCATGTTGCCCAGGCTGGTCTCGAACCCCTGGCCTCAAGTGATCCACCTGCCTCGGCCTCCCAAAGTGCTGGGATTACAGGTGTGAGCCACTGCGCCTGACCCATATCTCTAATTTTTAAAATACCTCTATCCAGAATATATAAAGTACTCTCATGCCTGTAATCCCAGCACTTTGGGAGGCCGAGGAGGGCATATCACCCGAAGTCAGTAGTTCGAGACTAGCTTGGCCAACATGGTGAAACCCCATCTCTACTAAAAATACAAAAATTAGCCGGGTGTGGTGGTGGATACCTGTAATCCCAGCTACTCAGGAGGCTGAGACAGGAGAATCACCTAAACCCAGGAGGCAGAGGTTGTAGTGAGCAGAGATGGCGCCACTGCACTCCAGCCCGGGCAACAAGAGCGAAACACTGTCTCAAAACAAAAAAATTAATAATTAAGTAACCAATCCCATAAAATATGAGCAAAAGACTTAAAGATATTTCGCCAAAGAAATTATATGAATGCCAAATGAAAAATGCTGATCACTAGCAATTACAGAAATGCAAATTAAAACCTGTGAGGTACCACTAAACACCTGTCACAATGACTAAAATTAAAAAGACTGACCATACACACTGTTAGCCAACATACTGGCAGAACTGGAACCCCCCAAACATCGCTGGTGGCAATGTAAAATGGTACAACCACTGTGGAAAACAGGGAGTTTCTTTAAAAGTTAGGCATACATCTACTACATGATCTAAACATTCCCCTATTAAGCATTTACCCAAGAGAAATAAAGGCGTATACCCATACAAAGACTTGTACACAAAGTTCAGAAGCTTTATTTGTAACAGTCAAAAAGCTGGAAACACACAGCTTCTGCCGTTTTTCAATGCCCACCAACAGGTAAACCAAAAAATTGTGATATGCCTACACAACAGACTAGCACTGAGCAATTAAAAAAAGAACATAATGTATTTACAAAAAAATTCTAAAAAACGCAAAGTAATCTACAGTGATAAAAAGATCAAGGATTTCCTGCAGGGAGAAGGGTGGAAGGAACAAGCAAGAAAGAGGGAAAAGGGACATGAGAAAACTTTTGGGGGTAATGGATAGGTTCACAATCTTGATTGTGGTGATGGTTTCATGGGTATACCTTCTTTTAAGAGTCTCCTGTGTCGCCCAGGCTGGAGTGCAGTAGCATGACCATAGGTCACTGCAGCCTCAAACATCTGGGCTCAAGTAATCCTCTCTGCTGCCTCAGTCTTTTGAGAAGCTGGGATTACAAAAGGTGTCTGAAATTATCAGGCAGTACATTTTAAAAACATGCAGTTTATTGTCAATTATACCTCAATAAAGCTATTTTTAAAAATTCCCCATCAATAAAACAGCCTGGAAAGATGTGAAAAAGATCCCTGGAAGGAAGGGAATGGAAGCCCGTATAGAAAAAAAGGAGTCTTAGAGGGCAATGCAAAATGTCAAATGTTAATTCTGAGTACGATAGTATTTAAGTGGTCTTTTTACTTTAAAAAAGTTGTCAAAAACACCAAGGAAAAACAGCAAGTGTTTGTGTGTACTAACTTGAGAATATATTAAATTTTTGTAAATTTTGTTTCAGGATTATGTCATGTATTCAAACATTTGATATCTGGTTCTCTAAATCGTGGGAATTTAGAAACAAAATCTTTTCCCAGAACTGGAGTAACATGAATACAGAAGCCAACATCTGTGCTCAGAGCAAGAAAAGTATCAACATCACTGGGCCTACTGTCAATCTATTTTTCCAAACTCTTCGCATTTACCACCTGTCACCTCCCTTCACAATTCTTCCTGACGCCTCCTTGGAGAAATGGTTGATTCTGGACCTGAGACAGGCAAAATGCAAGATGAGCCTGAAATACCTGGTAATTAATGAAAGAAAAAACATGCTTTTAAAAAACAGATAAGATAGGGAAGTGTCAAAAGGACAAAGGAGCCAAAAAAAAAAAAAAAAGCTGGAACAACATGAACAACAAAATAAACTGTGGCCAGCACAGTGGCTCACACCTGTAATCCCAGCACTTTGAGAGGCCAAGACAAGAGGATTGCTTGAGCCCAGGAGTGTGAGACAGCCTGGACGATATTTTATAAAAATATAAAATAAATAATAATCAAAAATAAGTAAACATCAGCAAGGATAATTGTGGATTACAACCCAAAGAATAAAATTAATATCCGTGGTCTATAGTGATATAAATGAAAAAAAGAAAAAACATGAAGAATACACAAATCTTCCTCACAGAAAATTTATACTGTAGAAGGAATGAGGAAAATAAAAAAAATCACCATTAGAACCCCGAAGTAATAATAGCTGCAGACGAGATCCATTAAAATGCTAAAATTAAGGAGGGGAACTTTATTTCCATGGCTTCGAAGCATCTCCCCCAAAATAATAACAGTAGCTTTAATATACTTCCACAAATTCACATTCTCCTCCCTCTAGAAAGTAGAGCCTAATTCCCCTCTCTCCTTGAGTGTGAGCTGGACTTGGTGACTAGCATCTAAGGAATAGTATCTAAAGGGGAAAAAAACACTAACCTGACAGATACCACCTGAACCAAATCATCAGGTTAAATTCAACCAGTTATATATTATGGACCCCCAATCTGATGTGATAAGGGTAATTTCTGTGGTATTCTTCCCCCAAAAATCTGTAACTTCAGTCTAATCCTTAACATCAAATCCAAATGAGATCAAGTGTCATGGTCACGAAAGACAAAAGGAAAGACAGAAACTGACACAGATCAGGAGACTACATACAATGTGGCATCTTGGACTGGATCCTAGAACAGAAAAAGGACATTAGTAGAAAAACTAAGGAAATCCAAATAAAGTCTTTCATTAACAGTATTTTATCGATGTTAATTTCTCAGTTCTGTTAAATGTACTTGGATTACATAAGATGTTAACAGTGGATAATGGGTATTCAAGACCTCTCTATTGCAACTCTTCCACAAATCTTACTTTATCTCAAAAATACTGTTTTCCTGAAAGAAAAAAAACTTCAGGAATCAGAATACTTAACAACTATCTTTTATCTTAGTGTATCCCTTCCCCACTCCAAAGTTAAAACCTACTCAGGTTCACAATTTAAAAAAATCTTTGTTCTTTCTCATCACGTGAAAAGATATGTTACAGTTAATACTAATGCTCATCCGCAAAATTCTTAAACAGATCAAGACAGGTGGATACACTCCAGGGAAATCTAGGCAACCTCAGTGCAGAAACAAGGGTGTACTTAAGGCACAGCCTATGGCTTTGCATAAACAGCATATGGGAGAAGCCTGCAAGGGCAGGCAGGTGTCACATTCATACATTCCAGATTCAAAATCCCTCTAAGATTTTTCAATTAAGGAAATAAGCTGGCTATAGTACCCTATTAGGTACCACATGCTTTTCAAAATAGTTTTGACAATTCGGTTTCAGAGCTCCAATTCACTTTTTAGTAAAAGTATGGTAATACCAAAGATGTGTGAAAGCACTCTCTAAATATGCAAAAGGTTACACAAATACATAATGATGCTTTATATAGCCAGTGAAGTTAATAGCCACCAAAGATTACATCCCTACTAAGTAGATGTGTATACCATCCAGGAAGCCAAATTTCTGTCAATCATCTTTAATCTTTACTTTTGATTAAGTACCTAAGATACAACACACATACCAAGAACTTATTACATGACAGACTGGCCACCTGACAGAAGAGGGACTCTATCACAAAGTCGCCTAAAGACCTTATTTACTAAGCTACAGGCTGTGAGGGCAATTTTTTTGAAATTGCTTTCCACCTTGTAAGACAGAATATTAAGACACTATTCGTGTGTGTGAATTATTCCTACTCTTAACCCTATCACCTGGCTTGCAACTTGACCTTCCCAACTAAAGACAGACAGGATGTCCAAGAATACTTTTTTAAAAAAAGTAAATAGCTGATTTCTGAGATATAAAATTATAAACCTAGTGTGCCACCACATTGTGATCACCAACTACATGTAAGATAATAGTTGCTGAATCTAAATTCAACTCCAGGGCTTGTACTGGAGTACTGGAAGGGCAGTACTGCACTACCAGAGATTTTTCCCACTTGCTTTTGACAAATTACTGGGGGGCGGGCGAGGCTTTCCTTTTTTTTTTTGACCTACCTACTTCCACAATTATCCATTCTTCTTTGTAAAGTCAGTAATAGTTTCGTCCAAGGAAGCCAAAGCACAATATAATTAAACAAACATACAATGCCTATTTAAATTCTGAAAGTTAAAAAAAAAATCAATTTGCAAAATGTTAAAAGACCAAGTGGGCAGTTTTATCAGACTGACAAAAATAAAGAAAAAAAATATAAAATTGGCTTTAGTCACAAATGTAAGCTTTATGTTAAATTTTATCTTTTAACACTAGCCCCATCAGTCCTAAGGACGATATAAAATTCACAAACTTTTACAAAAACTTAAAACTGCCTTCTGCCGTTCACTTTCTATGCAAAATACTAGAACGAGTGGGAAAAAAAAAAACCATAAGTTACAAAAGAAAAACTGCTCTAAGTAGGTCACAAACAAACATTACCAAAATCTCCTAATGTTCCCCTGGTGCAGTGTCAGCTCAGGAACAGCAAACTGAGTTAAACAAAGAACTGTCTACTTTTCTACCTGTAAGAGGTACAAAAGCTTAGACTTTTGTACCGGTAAGCAGCTCCAACAAAACTGACGTATGACTTGGTAGGGATGTAGGGCAGCCTTGCCAAGCCTTACATTACCACAATTTGCTTCAATTCACTTGTTCCTGATAAATGCACAAGTAATCAGTTAGAGCACCAGTTTGTGAAATAATCACGTAATTTTCATGTTCCTGCCCAAGTGATAACCATTTGCCTGAGGCCAAGAACTGTATTTTTTTAATATTTTAAGTAGAAACTAACGAAATTTTCCCTCAATAATGTGTAAGGTAATTTCATTCTATTTTGCCTCAAGCAGTAATAAAATTAGCTGGACTCAAGCTTAAACAGTTTAAATGTAGGTCATTCTAGTGTTTTTCCATTTGACAACTTAAATTGCTCAACTTTAAGTCTAAGTTAAAATGCTAATTCCATAGTTAACCAGTCTGTAAGGGCAAGTAACCGGAATCGCCACACCAGCAAAGTTCCAAGTAAATGTTACTTGGAACATTATTATAATACTGTTATAGAAACATGTTTATAGAAAGGGTTTCCAGAACACGATTATAGAAATCTTTATGTTTATAGAAGTGTTTCTATAACATAGAAGATTTATTTCACTAAGCCAAGGAGTATGTTGGCTTTTAAATAATCTAAAAGATGGTAACTACTAGAAAAATATAAGCTCCAGTCCCTGAAGAAAAGCATCTTGTTTCTGCATATACACAAGAACCCAGCAGAGTAAATGCTAAATAAACGGAGTGTACACAAACTTTCATCCACAGATCTCGACTGTCACAGTTGTTTTTTCCAACACATCTCCAACACCAGTAATTCATCCAGCATGACACGCTCCACAGAGGTCCAAATAGTATACTGTAACTGGGCGCCAACCTTTCTATTCCAATTCCGTATTTTAACCCACAGATGCTAGTGAGATCTTAAATTCGTCGCTTTGCACCTCATTCCCTTCAACTATAAAGTGAATCTTCTCAAGGTCTTTCTGCAAAAGTCTCCTCCAATTAAAAAAAAAGTAGAGAAAAAAAAATTCAACGTCTAAAACCGGAGCCTAACTTCCCGCTGGCGGGAATTTCCCATCAGCAATCTGAGATTCAAACCCGATGAGGAACACAGTCCATGTTCATTTGCACTTACTCATCGTTTTCCCTACTTTTTTCCAGAAGCTACGGTGGCGGCACATCTACCCAGGGCCTGTACAAGTACACGTAGAAAGGAAGCCCAAACCCTTTTCCTTTGTCACATTCCCACTTCCAACCCTTGTCTCCCTGGAAGCCCAGAACTAGCCCAAGTACAAATGCCGCTGCAGCCTTCTCGGCAGGTGGCCTTTTGAGGCTGATGCTGCCCCGAGGGACAAGTGCTCTGGGGGCAAAGACTAAAAACAGGCTTGGGAAGCGGGGAGCTCGGAGTCAGAGGGCCCGGCGTCAACAAATCCCCGCCCTTCCCGTGCGTGCCTGTGACCCCGCTCTCCAAACCCGTGCCTTGGGCCGCTAAGGAAGGAGGATAGCCGTACCCACCTCGCCAGCTCACTGCAAGAATCAAATGAAAGGCAGAAAAGTGGCTCCGCACAGTGCCGGACACACAGTGAGGGCGTGGAAAGAACATTGGTTGTTACTACCACTCCGTGCACTCGCTGCTCCCTCTTTGCTCTCTGCAAAACCGAAGGCGCTTCTGCGACGCGCGGACCGCAAGACTCCAATCAGACTTTAGTGCTGCCCCCACCCTAAACGAAAGCCTCCTTCTGGTCCGAACCGACTGGATCCCTTGGCCAGGGGAGGAAAAGGTGCCGCGGGCGCGTGGCGGAGAGGGTGGCGGGCGGGAAACGCTGGGCGCGGGACCCCTGGCCCCAGAGACCGCCCTGGGGCCCAGGCGGCGGCCGCGGCTTACTCCTGCCCCGCGAGGCCGTTGGACGCAGCACGCGCACGCGGCGGACACGGCCACGCGCCCCAGCCGGGACGGGAGCGGGAGCGAGGAGCCGCCGCGCGCCCGTCCGTCCGCCGCGCGCGCCTGCGGCCGTTGGGGTGGGGGTTGGGGTGGGGGACGCGACTGGCGCGGCCGCCGCGAGCGCCACTCAGACTTCTCCCTCTCACAAGTGCTGCGGCTCGGCTTAGTCCTCTGGCCTCCCTGCCCCGCCCACACCCCGGCGTACCTACGCGGCTGAGCTGGAGAGGAACTAGCTCTGCACCACAGCACCGAGGATAGTACAAACCCCTCACGCAACTGCGTCCGCACACACGCGTGCTCCGCCGCCGGTCTATATAACTGCCACTCACCCTAACTTGTTGCGGCCAGGTCGGGCGACGGGATGACCAATCCCGACCGCGTCCTCAGGGCTCTTCGAACAGTAATTGGGCACTGACTCGGGGATGAAGGCGTGGCTCTTGATTGGCTTTGACTCCTGCCTATGAGACTGTGAGGATCTCGTTTCCCTAGTAACAGATCGGCACTAAGAGAGACCAATAACCGAAAAGTACAATAGAAAGGCGAGTGAGCAGTTCTTTGACTGATACTCAAAGTAGCCAATAAATGTGTGGGGCTGCTCTTATTCGTTAACACGTCTTCCCCTGGGCGGAGATCCGTTTTCCATGCAGGAGCGGTTGCGCCACAAGGTGGGGCCCGTGTACTTTGGGGAAGTAAACCCCTAGCAACTAGGAGGCGGGCGTCCGAGAGGCCAAGACAGCCTGTGGCCAATCGCAACGCCGGAAGGAGCTGATAGACACGGAGGTTGCTCTGCTCGGAAGAGACCGAGCCCCAGGGCCGCCGTGCCCTCTGGGCGGTTGTGAGGCTGTGCAGCCTGCGGCTTCTGCCCTCTTTCTTTCCCTGACTGGTTGGGTCCGGCCTCCGAGGCCTGTACCCCGCCTTTTCCGCATAGGTTTGTACCTGGCGAACCAACTAGTAAAGTTTCCCGGGTTGTTTTCTTTTTATTACAACTTTTTTCTTACGTGCGGCGGCCAAGGGCCTTGCTGCTCTCACCATTACTCAGCACTGCTGCGGGGCAGAGGAAGGAGGGTCGTTCCTGCGCCGCCCGCAGGCTCCCGCCGGAAGGTCGCCGGTGGAAGGCCTGAGAGTGCGCCCTTCCGCCAGGCGCTTCTTGGCGGGCGCTGCGAGGCGGCCGCGGGCGTGTGGCGAGGCTCCCTTTGTGGCAGCTGAGGCACGGTGGTCCGCGCGTGCTCCAGTGGAGTGTGGGCCCTCGCACCACGTCCCGAGCTGCACCACTATTGTTCAGCCTCGAATTGCCGCGGGTGGGGGCTTATTCTCGTCGCTACGCCTTTAAAAGGCAACTCGTCCCCTCCTCCTGGCGTTTCAGGCACTGGCGGGGCTACAACTCAAGGCTGGCCGGCCCTATTTCTATGGAAATAGCTTTGGTTCCCAGCCGTCCGGCACAGACACGCCCCGGTTTGTTCTCGTTCCAGGCATGTGACCAGGGTCTCCCGCGGAGTTTTGCTGAGAATTTTGGAAATGAAGCATGTGGAGCGCCTATGTCGGGGGAGAGAGGCCGAGCTGAAGGAGCACGGGCGCCGGCCTCGGCCTCTGGGGAGCCGGGCCCGCTCGCCTCCCTGCGCGGGGCTAGCCCGAGCCTGGAACTCGGGAGGCCCAGGAGCGAAGTGAAAGCCCCTTCTGGTCCCCCAGGGCTCCACTCCCGCAGCAGCCCGGCTCCGTCGGCGTCAGTGGAGCCCCAGGCCTGGGTCCGAGATGAGCGAGACGCTGCTCTGGCTCGCGGTCGCCCGAGCGCTCCCAAAACCAGGGAACAGGCCCCAGGAGAGAAGCCCCTAGAAGTTTCCTGGAGCAGGGAGTCTCCTGTATCCTGTTAGCTCTGCAAAGGAATCTGGACTTTATTCTGAGGGCCTTGGAGAACCCCTGCAAAGTTTTTTAAAAGGTGGACTAAGAGATTGGCATTTCACAACATGACTCTCCGAATTGAAACACTAAGAAGATTGGCGAAATTTAACATTTACAGATTAGTAATTTAACCCAGGTGACTCGCGATGAGGGACATGGCTACCCTTCACTTTTGGAGGGAGTTTTAAGTGATACAGATCTTTTTGCCAAGCAATTTTTTTTTTTTTTTTGAGACGGAGCGTCGTTCTGTCGCCCTGGCTGGAGTGGAATGCCGTGATCTCGGCTCACTGCAACCTCCGCCTTCCTGAGTTCAAGCGATTCTCCTGCCTCAGCCTCCCTAGTAGCTGGGATTACAGGCGCGCGCCACCAGGATCTGCTAATTTTTTTGTATTTTTAGTAGAGACGGGGTTTCACCATGTTGGCCAGGCTGGTCTCGAACTCCTGACCTCAGGTGATCCACCTGCCTCGACCTCGCAAAGTGCTGAGATTAACAGGCGTGAGCCACCGCGCCCAGCAGCAATTTAAAAATCTAATAAAATTGTGCATATCCCCCAAAACAATAATGTCACTTGGTTGATAGCCACATTTGTTTACAAAGGCATGTGCCAAGACTTTCACTGCAGCTTTGTCAGCATTGCTAGAAGATTTAAAACCCGAACACTTAATGTTCATCAATTGATAAGCTGTTTTAACAGTGATATACACGTAATATAGAATATTATGCAGCATGCCGGGCGCGGTAGCTCACGCATGTAATCCCAGCATTTTGGGAGGACGAGGTGGGTGGATCACCTGAGGTCAGGAGTTTGCGCGACCAGCCTGAGCAACATGCGAAACCCCGTCTCTACAAAACAAATTCAAAAACTAGCCGGATGTGGTGGCACACGCCTGTAATCCCGGCACTTTGGGAGGCTGAGGTGGGAAAATCACTTGAGCTCAGAAGGCAGAGGTTGCGGCAAGCGGAGATCTGCACTCCAGCTTGGGCACCAAAGTAAGACTCTGTCTCAAAAAAAAAAAAAAAAGAAAAAGAATTTCGTCTTTAAAAAAAAAAAAGAAAACTCTGCAGAGTTACTAATAGTCATTGCAGAATTGTTTGTAGTAGAAAGAGCCAGAAAACAACCGAAATATCTGGCTGAATGAAACTGGTTAGATAGAGCACTGCAAAACAGTATACTTACAGTAGACTGTCATGCAGCCATACAGAAAATGGGGTAGATCTACTTGTATAGTTATAGAGCAGTCGCCAAGAGATATCAGTAAATGAAGGAAGCAAAGTGCAGAATAATGGGAAAAGTATTCCTGGGTTTGTATAATAAAGGAAGAGGGATATCATGGGGTGATTATGTCCATTAAGACATATGTATTGCTTTAGTTATCTGCACTACACATTTGTTCCCATATGTTTTTGCTGTTATACATGCACAGGTTATGTCTGGAAGGAGTCACAAGAAAATGTTAATGAATATTAATGATTGCTAAGGGAGACGAACTTTGTCTAGGACAGCAGAGAGTCTTAGTTTTCACTGTGTACCCTATAGTACTGTGTGATTTTTTTTTTTTTTTTTTGAGACAGGGTCTCACTCTGTCACCCAGCAGGAGTTCAGTGGCACAATCATAGCTCACTGTGACCCCGAGCTGCTGGGCTCAAGCAATTTTCTCGCTTCAGCCTCCCCAGTAGCTACAGGCCTGCATCATTGTACATAGCTAATTTTTTTTTTGTAGAGACAGGGTCTCAGTTTGTTGCCCAGGTTGATGTCAAATTCCTGGCCTCAAGTAGTGCTCCTGCCTTAGCCTCCCAAAGTGCTGGGATTATAGGTGTGAGCCACCATGCCTGGCTGTGTGATTTTAAAAAAAATAGAAATGCCCATATTATTATTTTAATTAGTGTTAGGTATAGATTTTAATAGTGATATGAGGAACTATAATATAGAAATTTTGATCTTTAAAACAAAAGGGATGTAATACATTAGGCCTTGTAGGTAGGTATATGAGAGGGGTGTTTTGGGGGGGTTTTCTTGTTTTTGAGACAAGGTCTCGCTCTGTCACCCAGGCTGGAGTGCACTAGCAAGATCACAGTTTACTTCAGTCTCAACCTCCTGGGTTCAAGTGATCCTCCTACCTCAGCTTCCCAAGTAGCTGGGACCACAGGTATGTATCACCAAGCCCACCTAATTTTTTAAATTTTTGTAGCGATAAGGTATCACTGTGTTGCCCAGACTGGTCTTGAACTCCTGGGCTCAAGCAATCCTCCAACCTCAACCTCCCAAAGTGCTGGGATTACAGGCGTGAGCCACTTCACCCAGCCTTACAAGAGGTTTTGAAAATGAGGTATCCACGTTTTAATTCACCTCCCCAAAAACTGCTAACCTCTTTGCCTTTTGCTCCTTACCATGCAAAGATCATACAAAGATCCAAGCCAGGTGTGGTGGCTCATGCCTGTAATCCCAGCACTTAGGGGGGCTGATGCGGATGGATCACTTGAGGCCAGGAGTTTGAGACCAGCCTGCCCAACATGGTGAAACCCCACTTCTACTAAAAATACAAAAATTAGCCAGGTGCCTGTAATCAGTTGCAGCTACTCGGGAGGCTGAGGCAGGAGAATTGCTAGAACCTGGGAGGCAGAGGTTGCAGTGAGCCAAGATTGTGCTACTGCACTCCAGCCTGGGCGACAGAGCAGGACTCCACCTCAAAAAATAAATAAATAAAATAAAATTAAAATAAATAAATAAAATAAAATCATACAAAGATCCAAAGAGGCCCTTTACTGGCTTAGAAAGACATGCCTAATTGCATTCCTCCCTTCTTTGGCATTGTCTCTTGGCAAATACATCACCTCCTCAGACTCTGTGGAGCACTGACCGTGCGCCAGGTACCTTGCTAATATTCTTTCCAAGAACGATCTCATTTAATATTCACAACATCCCTATTTCCTATTTCTCAAGTATGAAAACAGGCTCAGAGAGGGAAACAACTTGCCCTTGGTCACATAGCTAGGGCTAGAAGCTGGGACTCTCTGACTTCAAGTCCATGTTCTTTTACCCACTCTCAATACTGCCCAGAGAAAGAAGATACAGTTATGAATACAGAAAAGGGGCATATTCTTCTCAGAAACCCCTGAAAGGCTGGGGCTTTTCCTTCAATATCTCAGGCATGACACCAGATAATGCTGCATAGACAAATTTCCAAGTGATTTGAGAGTTCTGGAGTCCATGGCAAATCTTGAACATCTGCAGCCAAAGCTCTTTGCAGAAGGTTCTTTGCTGCACACTCTGGTACCACATATTAGAAGTCCTCACTTTCTGTGGCTTAGAAGAGGAATAAATAGCATATATATCAAGCACCCATTATGTGACAGTCACAGTGCTAGTTACAGTTTTTCAAGTCATCCTTACAAAAACTCTATGAAGTATTAACTCTTTTACAGATGTAGAAACTATGGCTCAGAAAGGCTAAATGACTGGCCTATAGCTGGAAGGGGGCAGAGCTCAGAATCAGACTCAGGTTTATGTCACTTGGAATTCAAAGCCCAATAAGGAAAAAAGAAACAAGAATAAAATATACATAAGACCTCATCTAAGGCCAGGCCCAGTGGCTCAGGCCTGTAATCCCAGCACTTTGGGAGGCCGAGTTGGGCAGATCACTTGAGGCCAGGAGTTCAACACTAGCCTGGCCAACATGGTACAACCCCGTCTCTACTAAAAATACAAAAAATACCGGGTGTGGTGATGCATGCCTGTAATCCCAGCTACTCAGGAGGCTGAGGCAGGAGAATCGCTTGAACCCAGGGGGTGAAGTTTGCAGTGAGCTGAGATTGTGCCGCTGCACTCCAGCCTGGGTGACAGAGTGAATGAGACTGTCTTAAAAAAAAAAAAAACTAATCTAATCTTCAAACAGCTCATTTCAACAGATAGGGAAACCAAAGCAAAAAGAAGTTAAATAATTGTTCAATCATGACATTGTGAAAAATGATACTTTGCCCTTTCCTCAGTTGCCACCAAGGTGCTTGGTCCTTCCGAGGAAGCTAAGGCCACATTGGGGTGAGGCCATCACTTCATCCAGTGACTAGCACCACCTCTGGCAATGTCAGCCCCACACTCGCCCGCGCCATGGCCTCCATCTCCGAGCTTGCCTGTGTCTACTTGGCCCTCATTCTGCACGATGACGAGGTGATCATCATGGAGGTTAATATCAATACCCTCATTAAAGCAGCCAGTGTAAATGTTGAACCTTTTGGCCTGGCTTGTTTGGAAAGGCCCTGGCCAACGTCAACATTGGAAGCCTCATCTGCAATGTAGGGGCTGGTGGACCTGCTCTAGCAGCTGGTGCTGCACCAGCAGGAGGTCCTGCCCCCTCCATTGCTGCTGCTTCAGCTGAGGAGAAGAAAATGGAAGCAAAGAAAGAAGAATCTGAGGAGTCTGATGATGACATGGGCTTTGGTCTTTTTACTAAACCTGTTTTATAATGTGTTCAATAAAAAGCTGACTTTACTGCTGTTGGTCTTGCCCATAGTTTGGGAATGTGCTCTGCAAAAATGGTCTCAGTTTTGTAATGTTGGCTTTTAACCTATTCTGCCATGACACAGGCTGGTTTTGCCTGCCACCGTTGCCTGATGTGAGATCTTGGACAATCCTGATGCCAACAAGAAGGCACCTCATGGTACAGTGTTGAAAGCTGAAGTGGGGTGGCAGGAGGAAGGATCAGAGCAGATGCTTTGTCCAAGTTACGTATAAACTTGATAATTATCAAGTATTATAAACTTAATAGAGCCACCATGTCCAATTTTTAATTGTGGTAAAACATACAGAACATAAAATTCCTCTTTCTAACCATTTTTAAGTGTATAATTCAGTGGCATTAAGTATATTCACAATGTTGTACAAGCATACTCAGAGTTCTTAACTGTTGTCAACTAATCAAAAAATATTTTGAATACTTTAGGAACTGAAGTTATCAAGTTTATAATACTTGATATAAATATCAAGTTTATAATATGTGATAAACTACACTCTTTATACTGATAGACTACACTGGAGGTGGAGGGTAATACAGACTTCAGCTTTAGAAAGCCTCCTGGGTAATTACCCTATACAACCCTGCCTAAGAATTTTGACCTATGCTGAATGTTGACTGCTACATCCCAAGGTTGTAAAGCAACAAGACCTAGCTATGTAGTGTCTCAACAAATGCTTGGAAGTTTTACAGTAACACTGAAGGAGTACAGAAACTAAACCATTAAGGTCCCCAGTTACACAATGTGGATAAAACAAGATTCAAACCTGTGTTCCAAAAACTAAGAGCTTTTTTTGTTTGCCAATTAATAATAGCATGAATGGAAATTTTGACTTTTCAGGCTTGGATTTATATAATAAACTGTGGGTATTGTGTGTTCAGAGTAGCTATTATGTGCCAGGCACTTGGCATATGAATGAGTCTTATCCTTACCTCCATCAGCATTTAATAGATAGACATTCAGTGATGAAAAGAAAAAGAAAAATGATACTTTGCCAATACCAAATGTTGGCAAGGGTGTGAGAAATAATTACTCTCATATACTGCTAGCACAAAATATAAATTAGCATAGCCTTTCTGAGGGTAGTTTGCTAGCATCTAGTAAAATTTAAAATCCACACACCCTATGATGCAGAAATTCTACTTTTTGGTATCTACTTTGAAGAAACACTCCCACATGTATACAGAGAGCAAAAATATTATTATAGCATTGTTTATAATATGGCAAAATAGTCTGTTTTTTATGGAATAGCTAAATTTACTGTAATATATCCATACTAGAAAAATTTTTGTAGCAATTTAAAAGATTGAGCTAGTTCATATATGTGCATATATGTGTGTTTATATTCAAATATTTTTAAAATATTTATATATAAAAAACACACATTTCCAAAGCAGATTGATAATTTTAAAAAGTGTCTTGCAAATTATGTATAGTATATCATATATGCTTTAAAAATACCAACAACTGGCCAGGTGCGGTGGCTCACGCCTGTAATCCCAGCACTTTGGGAGGCTGAGGCGGGTGGATCACAAGATCAGGAGTTCAAGACCAGCCTGGGCAACATGGTGAAGCCCCATTTCTACTAAAAATACAAAAATTAGCCAGCCATGGTGGTACATGCCTGTAGTCCCAGCTACTCAGGAGGCTGAGGCAAGAGAATTGCTTGAACCCAGGAGGCAGAGGTTGCAGTGAGCCAAGATCGCACCACTGCACTCCTGCTTGGGCAACAGGGCAAAACTCCATCTCAAAAAAAAAAAAAAAAAAAAAAAAAAAAAAAAAATATATATATATATATATATATATATATACACCAACTATCCATTCACGTATGTTTATTAATGTTTGTAAATGCATTTAAAAAGTCAGGATGGATTATACAGCAATCTGATAGCATTGCTACTTCTGCGGAAGAGAGTGATATAAGGGTTTTTAAGAGATTTTCATTTTATATGTATTGTTTTGAAAGTTTTTTACATTAAGAAATTTTCCCCAGATGTGGTAGCTCATGCCTGTAATCCCAGCACTTTGGGAGGCCAAAGTGGGTGGATCATTTGAGGTCAGGAGTTTGAGACCAGCCTGATCACCATGGTGAAACCCCATCTCTACTAAAAATACAAAAAAAAAAAAAAAGAAAAAAATTAGCTGGGCCTGGTGGCGCATGCCTGTAATCTTAGCTTCTCAGGACGCTGAGGCAGGAGAATAACTTGAACTCAGGAGATGGTAGTTGCAGTGAGCCAAGATCATGCCAATACACTCCAGCCTGAGCAACAGAGCAAGACTCCATCTCAAAAAAAAAAAAAAAAAAAAAAAGAAACTTTTCATACTGCTCACCACAGCACGATGAGCTACGTCTAATTATTATCTTTATTTTACAAGAGAAGAGACAGAGTCAGAGAGATTAAATGCCTGAAACAGCAAGGAACTGAACGCAGGTTTGTCTGGGTTGTCTCATTAAACACATCTTTAGAAACCTGAAGCCCCAGGGGTACAGAGAACAAAGGAGGAAGAGGAGAGCATGGCAGATGTTCCCTGACCATTGGCTGCTATGTTGGGAGTCCACTAAAGAGTGCTGGGGACTATGATGGCTTCTAAGATGATCACTGTCCCCTCACATGGCAGAAGGGCAAAAAAGGCTTACGGTACTCCCTTCAACATCTTTTATAAATTCTCTAATCCCTTCCATGAGGGTTCTTCCCTCATTACTTAATCACTTCCCAAAGGCCCCACTTCTTAATACTATCACATTGGCAATTAGGTTTCAACATACGAATTTTGGTGGGACACTTTCAGATCAGTGCCATTCTATATGGTGACTCTTCCTCAAACCAGGTGCTTGAGCAAAACCAATTTGCACAGAGCCACTCCTCCAGCTTCAACCCACTCAGCCAGTTATGGGCATATCACAGGAGAGATAAATCTTCGTCATTTTAAGCCATTGAGGCTTTGGGATTGTTTGTTACTACAATATTACTTGGCCTATCCTGTCAGTCATAGACATGTTTCCAGATCTTTCAGTTTTTCAGGAAATATTAAAACTCTAGGTTATGTGACTCAATGTTCTTTTTTTAAAACATTTACTGATAGTACGAAAACTTTTGGTCTTGCCTAAAAAATACAATGGAAATATTCTGAGGACTTTAACTGAATAGGTTTCACCCTTTTTATTATCATTATTATTATTGAGACAGAGTTTCGCTCTGTTGCCCAGGCTTGAGTGCAGTGGCGCGATCTCGGCTCACTGCAACCTCCACCTCCGGGGTTCAAGCGATTCTCCTGCCTCAGCCTCCCAAGTAGCTGGGACTACAGGCACCCACCACAATGCCCAGCTAATTTTTGTACTTTTAGTAGAGACGGGGTTTCGCCATGTTGGCCAGGTTGGTCTTGAACTCCTGACCTCAAGTAATCTGCCTGCCTCTGCCTCCCAAAGTGCTGGGATTACAGGCGTGAGCCACTGCACCCGCCCATCACCCTTTTTAAAAACTTATTTAGGCCAGGTGCGGTGGTTCACGCCTGTAATCCCAGCACTTTGAGAGGCCGAGGCAGGAGGATTGCTTATGAGAGCAACCTGATCAACATGCCAAGACCCCATCTCTACAAAAACATACAAAAAAATAGCTGGGTGTGGGGACATGCACCTGTGGTCCCAGCTACTCAGGAGGCTGAGGTCAGGGGATCCCTTGAGCCCAGGAGGTCACAGCTGCAGTGTGCCATGTTCACGCTACTGCACTCCAGCCTAGGTGACACAGCAAGACCCTGTCTCAAAAAATAAAAATTAAAAACTATTTAGAATTTTTATTTTTAAAAATGCTTTTCCTAGTCTTGTAATAAGAAAGCAACTAATTTTACATGTCAGTCTAGAAATAAATAAATTTATTTATTTATTTTTATTTTGAGACAGGGTCTTGCTCTGTCACACAGGCTGGAGTGTGGTGGCACGATCACGGCTCAGTGCAGCCTTGACCTCCTGGGCTCAAGTGATCTTCCCACCTCCGCCTCCCAAGTAGCTGGGACTACAGGTGCACAACACCATGTCCAACTAATTTTTAAATTTTTTGTAGAGACAAAATCTCGCTATATTGCCAGGCTGGACTTGAAGCAATTCTCCTGCCTGGGACTCCTAAAGTGTTGGGATTACAAGCATGAGCCACCATGCCCTATTTTTAATTGTGGTAAAACATACAGAACATA
The DNA here is from genome assembly GCF_000001405.40 of Homo sapiens. NCBI lineage: Eukaryota > Metazoa > Chordata > Mammalia > Primates > Hominidae > Homo > Homo sapiens. The sequence continues at coordinate 151,761,644 of NC_000005.10, read as the reverse complement.
AAATTCCTCTTTCTAACCATTTTTAAGTGTATAATTCAGTGGCATTAAATATATTCACAATGTTGTACAAGCATACTCAGAGTTCTTAACTGTTGTCAACTAATCAAAAAATATTTTGAATACTTTAGGGACTGAATAAAATGTGTCTGTAGACCCAGTTCTGCCAGCATGTGGCTCTGCAGGACACCATGCTCCCTCTCCCAAGCCTGCAGTCCACGCTCCCTCAGCTTCCACTTCATAGCCCTTCTCTTCTCATGCATGCCTTGGCTGCTCTGAGGGCCCTTTCAGCTCAGAATCTTTGGTCCCAGATAAAGGGTCCGTTGGTGGATAAAGCAGTGAGGCAAGTGGTGTATACCTGTGTTATGATACAAAAAACAGACACTTGGTTTCCTGCGGTGGGGATATCGGGGAGCAGGCAGCAGCTACAAAACCTTTCTTTGCAAAGAATTAAACTCCTCAGCATCTGTCAAAGAAAGGGTCATCCCAGGAGGCTGGGTCTAGAAGTAGATTACACCAGGAAGAACCCACCATCTATACATGCCTACAGTGTGCACATTCCTATCCTTGCAACAACACTTTCAGCCAGAAAGCAGGGATTCTATATGCCCATTTCCCAGGCTCACTGGCTTAGTGATGGCTCATTGCCTGTAATCCCAGCACTTTGGGAGGCCAAAGTGGGCAGATCACGAGGTCAGGAATTCGAGACCAGCCTGGCCAACATGGTGAAACTCTGTCTCTACTAAAAATACTAAAAATACAAAAATTAGCCGGGCATGGTGGTGGGCGCCTATAATCCCAGCTACTTGGGAGGCTGAGGCAGGAGAGTTGCTTGAACCCAGGAGGCGGACGTTGCAGTGAGCCAAGATCACGTCACTGCACTCCAGCCTGGGCGACAGAGCAAGACTCCATCTCGGGGAAAAAAAAAAAAAAAGCTAAGAAAGAAAAGGGTTGATATGTACTATTAAGGAATAATCTTTTTTTTTTTTTTTTTTTAAATACAGGGTCATATTCTGTCACCCAGGCTGGAGTGCAGTGGTGTACTTATGGCTCAATGCAGCCTTGACCTCCTGAGCTCAAGTGATGCTCCCACCTCAGTCTCCTGAGTAGCTGGGACCACAGGCATATGCCACCACACCCGGCTAATTTTTGTATTTTTTGTAGAGCCAGGGTTTCACCATGTTTCTTAGTCTGGTCTCAAACTCCTGGGCTCAAGTGATCCTCCCACTTAGGCCTCTCAAAGCAATGCGATTACAGGTATGAGCCACTGCATCTGGCCCAGGAATAATCTCTAAGATATTTTATAAAGTGAGAAAAGCAGGATGCAAAACTGTGTATACTATGCCTTTTGTTTAAGAAGGAGAGGTCAGGGTAGGAGGAAGACCTACTTTTCACTGTACGCTACTTTGTGTTATTTGAAAATTAAACAGTAGGTACATTGGGATTCCACCTGCAAATCCTACACTTATCCAAGATAACTTCTAGTAACATTGGCTGTGGTTCATTTCATGCTTATTTTAATGTAAATACACGGAATGTATGTATATATTTATGCAGGAACTACAGTCTGGCATATTTTCTTCTCCTCTTTAATAGGTCTTTATTTGTGATCTTTAACAGATCTTTATAAAGCTGTCTTCTCTTTAAATTGCTGTCTCTAGGCTTAGCCATCCCCCCAACCCATACCCCTAATTCTCTAAAACATGCCGTGGGTGGTTCGCCCTGTGTACTGTTGCTTTGGGAAGGATTTCCTTCCCTCATGTCCACTCTCCGCCTTCCCTCATGGCAATCTAGCTATCCCTAGCCCCAGGGCACAGTTGTACCCAGGACTACCAAGATGCTAAGCCTTGCCCGTACAGGACCTAATGTGCCAGTACCCTCTTTCCCTCTCCTCCTCGCCCCCTTCCCTTCCATCTTTAGGGAATTCCTGGCAGGTTGGGTAGGGGATGAATGGTTAAGGGGTATTTTGTGAGCAGCGGAAGACCCAGTGCCAGGGAGGCCAACAGAGGGCCTAGCAATTAGAGAATACTTATATATATTTTTGGTGCCTACCATGTGCCAAGCAATGTATTAAGAAGTTTGCACACATTACATGTATTCCAACAATACTGCAAAGTAGGTTTCTTGGAGGGAACCATGTGTCGTTGTTTGCCTGAAACAGTCATGGTGTTTGCCTGTTGTCCTGGCAAAATTATTAATAGCATCTCCTTTCTCTAGCAAAAGGTTCAGATAAAAAATTGTATAGTGACCTTAACTGTCCCCATCTTATACGTGAGGATATTGAGGCTTAGAGAGGTAAGTTCATCTGCCCAGGGTCACATGGCTAATAAATGATAGGGCTGAGATTAAAACTCTAGTCAGTATGGCTCTGCTAGGGACTGAACTCTGACATGGACATGAATTGTGTCCCCGCAAATTCCTATGTTGATACCCTAACCCCCAATGCGACTGTATTTAGAGACAAAGCCTGTAACAGGGCGATAAAGGCTAACCGAGGTCCAGATTATTGCCTTCTCCCCAGGCCGCCTCTCTTCCACAACCGCCCCCACCCCACTGCAGTCAGGGCCCTTCCTCCTCTGTCACAACAGCTCTGCTAACCCTGCACTATCACTGCCTGCGTCCTTCGCAGCCTCCTGCTGCTGCTCTTCCACCGCTGCGTCCTCGTTGGCTGGCGCTTAATAAAAATTGACTCGGTGAATAAATGAGTGAAACTGTCCTTTTAGGGATGGATGGATGATGTCCTGTTCAAGGCGGTGCCCTTCTCTGGCATTCCCTAACACAAGCTTGACCCGAAGTAGGCGTTCTGAAAAAGGCCGACAGTCGATGGAGGCCAACGCAGCGCCCCTCTCACCTCCTCTCTCCGTCCAGGCCGGGTGACCACGGGCCCGGCCCGCAGAAAGGAGGCGGCGCGGCCGGCAGGGATCAGGACTGGAGGGGGCGGAGCCTCCCTCGCGGCCGGGCCCGGAGTGGGAGGGGCCTCCGGGACCAGGCCTCTAGTGCGCACTCTCGGAAGCGCAGCCGAACCCGCCCTCCGAATCCAGAGAGGCGCTGCTGACACCGCCGCCACACCGCCGCCACACCGCCGCTGCCTCAGTCATGCCGGTGAGTGGTTGCGCCGTCCCCGCCACGCAGACTTGCAGTCCCGGGTTGCTTCTCGGCTGCACAGCCGCTTGACCGGATGCTGATCTTGAAGGGCTCAGGCGGCGGCCGGAGCCGCTGTTGTCCCCTAGCTTACCCCACCCAGCCCCCAGCTTTTGCGACCCTTCAGAAAATGGGATCCGAAGGGAGTTTAATCTGGGAGCCAGGCTTCAAAACGTCGGAGCTGGAAGGCCTCCAGGGGCGACAAGCCCACACCTTCCCTGCGTACACAGAGAAACAGAACCAGAGAGGGGGCAGGGGATGGGGGAGTTGGTGGCCAGCGGGAACTGAGACGCCTAGTCCCTGAGCCTTCCTCCTGGCTGCCCTGCCCGCGGAGCTGGCCTGAAGGAGGGCGGTGGGGAGGCTCTGGACAAGGGAGTGGACCCGGTTATTTCCTCACGGACCGGGCAGGTTTTCAGAGGTTCATGCTTTTCTTAATTTCCCTGCCCACTCTGGCCTACTTTTCAGATCAACTCTGGGCGACACTGAATGGAGACACTTTCTCAGCCTGAACCCATGAGCCCCAGAGAGGTTCAGGAACCCCCCCGCACAGTCACCAGTTGCTCAGTGGCTGTGTCTGGGAAGTCAGTCTTAGCCTGCCTTTGCAGATCACTCAGTCTTATCACATATATTGTTGCTCGTGGCCTCGTTTTTTATATAAAGAATTGAGGCCTTTGGCAGATAAAAATATAAAAAGCCCAGTAACTTATTCCAGGTCGTGTTGAAGTTGGCAGAGCCAGGATTCAGCTCCTTATCCTTAGGCTCCCCATCTCTCCAGGCCTGACCACATGGGAGGTGCCAGGCAAAAGCAGTCACACCGGCTTGGGAAGATGCTCTGATCTCAGTTGCATCTTGGTTAGGGTCATGTGGTGTTTAGCATTTTCTTCAGGGTGCCTAATTCATGGCTCTGGGCCAGGTGGATACCCAGAGGTATCCCACAGTTGCCATGTGTCTTTGCATCCTGTCTTTAGGGAGCTGGCAGGTGAGCCTGAGGCCTCCTGGGCAGAGCCACTGACATCTCAGGTGTCATTTCCTGTGGGTCTTGCCAGGTGCCTTGAGACAAATCCTCCAACAACAAAGTATGGATAAGGAATCTGATAGAATCAGCCCTACCAGTTGGGCAAGTCAGCCTGTGGCAATGGTAGAAGACAGTATTAATTGCCCTGGGGCTTGGGGAGTGAAGGCCACCAGGATTTTTTGTGGGGGGTGGCAATGAGGAAAAGGCTAGCTTGATCATCACTGTATTCTGTATCTTCTGGGGATTTTGACAAAAAACCCTCTGGAGCAGATGATGGGAATGAGGAGGGCACTTGGCACCATGTACCACAAGATAACAGCTGAAGGAAAGAGGGTGTTAGTCAAGGGATTTCCTCAAAACTGGAAAGGGAAGAAAAAAATATATCTATATACACATACTGGAAGGGGAAGAGTGTGTTACCTGAGAGTTTTCTCAGACAAATGCCCGAGAGCACAGGGTTTGGAATCCCAGAAACCTCTGAAAATCTGTGCCCCAGCTTGCCAACTGGGTGACCTCAGGCAAGTTGCTTTATCTCACTGCCTTGATTTCCTCATCTGTAAGATAGGGACAAAAACTTTGACCTCACAGGACTGTTGTTAGTATTAACTGGAAAAATGCCAGTAAAATATGTCACACAGCCACTGATATATCTAGTCCCCAAGAAATGGTAGCTCCTGTGTAGACGTAGGACAGGTGGGCTAGAGCTATAGGCAGGTGAGGCCGGGCATGGTGGCTCACGCCTGTAATCCCAGCACTTTGGGAGGCCCAGGCGGGCAGATCACTTTAATGCAGGAGCTTGAGACCAACTTTGGCAACATGATGAAACCCTGGCTCTACAAAAAATACAAAAAATTAGCCAGACGTGGTGGCCCGTGCCTATAGTCCCAGCTACTTGGGAGGCTGAAGTGGGAGGATTGCTGGAGCCTGGGAGGTTGAGGCTGCAGTGAGCCGTGATCGTGCCACTGCATTCCAGCTTGGGTGACAGAGTGAAAGTGAAACCCTGTCTCAAAAGAAAAAAAAAAAAGGAAGGAAGGAGAGAGAAAGAAAAGAAAGAAAGAAAGAAGAGAAGAGAAGAGAAAACTATAGGCAGGCAGCTTTCAATCCCATTTTAACAAGATCTCAGTGGTTAAGCATTGAGGTTTTAGAGGCTGACTATGTTCAATTCAGGCCCTACTCAGCCGAATCACCGTGAGTGTGTGAACTAACCCCTAAATCTCAGTTTCCTCATCTGTCAAGAAGGGATAATAATAGGCCAGGTGCGGCGGGTAATGCCTGTAATCCCAGCACTTTGGGAGGCTAAGGCAGGCAGATCACAAAGTCAGGACTTTGAGACCAGCCTGGCCAACATGGTGAAACCCCGTCTCTACTAAATATACAAAAAAATTAGCCGGGCATGGTGGCGGACGCCTGTAGTCCCAGCTACTCGGGAGTCTGAGGCAGGAGAATCGCTTGAACCCAGGAGGCGGAGGTTGCAGTGAGCTGAGATCGTGCCACTGCACTGCAGCCTGGGTGACACTGTGAGACTCAGTCTCAAAAAAAAAAAAAAAAAAAAAGAATCATCCCACTTACTGACTTTAAAAACCTACTTTAAACCTACTGGCTTTTAAAATCTACCCATTTTATAAGTCTTTATAAAAGACCCCAGAGGCCATGAGGAACCAGAACTACCCAGTTATGCATCTGGTGGTAGAGCCAATCTTGAGATTCTCCTATAAAGAAGTGATTACTCTGTCCATGAAATAGATTTTCCATCACCCTCAAATTTATTTTTGCCCCTCAGAGGTGGAGGAGGAGAGCACTGAACTGTAATGTTTATACCCAGAAGCTGGTTTCTGGCTTCTGACCTTTATACTGTGGGGGATGGGACCTACTCCCTGTAGTCAGCGACAGAAAGTTTCAGGTATCTGTTGACTTTAGGTCCTTGGGCAGCAAAAAACTGTGCTCCCTAAAAATGTGTTTCTAGTTTCAGAGCTTCTGCTGAGAGTCAGGGTTATGAGGGCTGGCGGTGTACTTTGCTTTTCCAGAACCAGCAAGATTTCCCTGGAGCGAAGAAAGCCTAGGTTCATATTCCATACTCAGTAGTTATTTGCCACATGACTGCAAGCTACCTAGTGAACTCTTGGGAACTTCACTTTCCTCCTGAGTGAAATAAGATAAATAGCTCTCTTTCCAGGCTCAGTGAGGACTAACTTAGATACTGTACAAAGATAATTTGACATGTAATAGACAATCAGTAGATTTAGCTCTTATGTTGATCTTGCAAACCCTTCAAAGCTTTGGCTCAGTATATAAGTACAAACCATAGATGAATTGATTTTCTGCTGGTTATCCTAGAGCAAGACTCAGCAAACTTTTTTTTTTACACGGCACCGATAGTAAACATTTTAGTCTTCACAAACCATAGGGTCTCTGGTACAACTACTCAACTCTGCCATTCTAGTGCAAAAGTAAACAAATGAGTTTGGCTGTAGTTTTTTGTTTTTGTGTTTCTTTTTTTTTTTTTTTTTTTTTGGACGGTGTCTCGCTCTCTTGCCAGGCTGGAGTGCAATGGCATGGTCTTGGCTCACTGCAACCTCCGCCTCCTGGGTCAAGCGATTCTCCTGCCTCAGCCTCTTGAGTAGCTGGGACTACAGGCGCATGCCACCACTACCAGCTAATTTTTGTATTTTTAGTAGAGATGGGGTTTCACCATGTTGGCCAGAATGGTCTCGATCTCTTGACCTCGTGATCCTCCCGCCTCAGCCTCCCAAAAATGCTGGGATTACAGGCATGAGCCACCACACCTGGCCCGATTTGGGCTATGTTTTAACAAAACTCTTTGTAAAACAGGTAGTTTGTAGTGTGCCAATCCATGTTCCAGAGCATCATCATTTTTTTTTCCAAAACAATTTTTTTCTTTTAAATTAAATGGAGCCATGATCTCACTGTATTGCCCAGGCTAGTCTCAAACTCCTGGGTTTAAGTGATTTTCCTGCCTCAGCCTCCTAAGTAGCTGGGATTACAGGCACCTGCCACCATGCCTGGCTAATTTTTTTTCTATTTTTAGTAGAGAAACAGGTTTTGCCATGTTGGCCAGACTGGTCTCAAACTTGTGACCTCAGGTGATCTACCTGCCTCAGCCTCCCAAAGTGTTGAGATTATAGGCATGAGCCACATTGCCCAGCCTAAAAAAACTTTTTAATAGAGGAGAGCATCATCTCAGACTGTAATGTGGGGAGGAATGACTTGGGTGTCTTGTTAAAATGAGGATTCTGATTCCGGACTTCTGGGAAGGGACCTGAGATTCTGCATTTCTGACAGGCTCTCAGGTGATGCTCATATTGTTGGGCTGAGGACCACATTTTAAAGACAAGATTTTGTAATACTTACTACAAATCCTTCTTTCCAGAATCTGTTATTGTTGCTGTCTGTGAATAGTCAGGAAACAAGATGAAAAAATCAGAGATGTTTAGAAGAAAGGAAAGACTGACCATTTTCTTTAAGACAGATTTTGCAGATTTGGCCTTAATAAAAGGAGTGGTTTACTAGTCACAAAGGTCAAACAGTCTGCACTGGAAAATCGAGCTGCTTAATTCTTGGTCTTCGTTTCCTCTGTAGAGCACAGTGACAATCCAGACTCAGCGGTGTTTAGAGACTTGGAAAGAGTTTGAGAAGCCACTTAGCCACTTTATTTTCAGGTTTGTAGTTTTGCCTCCCGTTCTCTCCCCAGTAGGTTAAAAATGGGGAGTGGCAGGGCCCGCTCCACATCCACAGAGTCAGTTGAGGCAGGTGTCTGGGAGCTGCACTTTCCACAAGGTCCCCAGATTCTTCCTATGCACACTAAAGTTGAAAAAAATTGAGTTAGCTAATACCCTTTTGGTATAGATTAGGGAACTGGAGCCCTTCTGGAGCAGAGATTTTGCCTGTGGTTTTCTAGCAAGATATATCACTACACCCAGGATTCCAACTGAGGTAATAGACTTCAAATATTTTGAAGTGCTCCATGAAAAATGTAGCCATTGATTTTTGAAGGGAAACAGGAGAGACAAATGGAAGAAATTAATAATCCAATAGCTAACCTTTTACCCAACGGAACCTAGTACTAGGCTCTAATTTCCTTAATGTGTTAGTTATCTATTGCTCCTTAGTAATTATCCCAAAACTTTGTAGTATAAAACAACAAATATATTTATAGTAACTCACACAGTTTCTGAGAGTCAGGAATTTGGGAACAGCTTGGCCTAGTGGCTCCAGCTCAGAGGCTCTCATAAAGCTGCAGTGAGATGTTGGCTGGAGCTGCATTCATCTGAAGGCTTGACTGGAGCTGGAGAATCCACTTCCAACATGTCTCACTCACATGCTTGTTAGCTCGAGGGTTCAATCTCTCACTTTGTGGACCTCTCCTTGTGGTTGCTGGAATTTCTTTGTAATTTAGTAGCTGACTTCCTCTAGTGCAAGTGACCCCAGAAATGGAGCAAGACAGAAGTCACAGTGTCCTTTATGACATTGTGATAGCTTCAGAAGCCACATAACCTCACTTCAAGCCATATTCTATAAGACACACAGACCAACCCGAGACATGTGGAATGGGATTACTCAAGGGCATAAATACCAGAGGCAGAGATCATTGAGGCCATCTTGGATGCTGGCTAACCGTACTTAAAATCCTGTGTTCATCCCATTCACAAATCTAGAGAGGGACTCTTACCCTCAATTTTCAGATGTGGAAACTAAGGCACAGAGAAGTAACATATTGATGATCATGCAACTAGTAGTGCCAGAGCTGGTATCTGAAGCCATATTTATCTGATTTCAGATGGTCTCATTTCCAGAGATTTTAAAATAAAGTATTGGTATAAGTAATCCTTGTGTGAAAGCAAAGCAAAAGATCCAGAAGTTCAAACCAGCCATGTCAATTATCCATTGACTCAAAAATAAGTTTTAAGCACCTACTCTGTCCAGGCACTGTTCCAAGTATTAGGAATCCAGTAGTGAACTGAACAAAACCTCTGTCTTCTGGGAGCTTACCTTCAGACCCTTGATCTGTTAGATATCCTAGAGACTGTAGAATGTAGAGCTTACATGAAGACTAGGAGCCGGGGATCCCTTCCTGCCTGGCCTCCAACCCACTGGGGAACCCAGGCAATCCTTTCTTTCCCTGGACCCAGATGCTGCCTCTGAGAATGCGGCCCTTGGATGAAAGCAGAATCACCTGGGGTAATGAGTAGACATAACAGATTCCCCAGCCCAGACCTGCTGACCAGAACCTGTAGTTTTTGCAAGCTGTAGGTGACTCTAGTGCAGAAAATAATTTTGTGGTTCATAAGTGGGCCCACCAGATCAGCATTGCTCAGAGTATGGGGGCCCATCCCTGTCAGAGTTACTGGTGGCCCTGAGACAAAGCTCATAGCTCAAGAATCAGTGTTTTGAAGGTAGGACTGGGAAAAAGCATTTTAAACTAGATCTCCAGGTGATTCTATTTACTATGTGCCAGACACTGCTAAAGGATTTATAGGGATGATTCCATTGAATACAACTTGTGAGGTAGAAACTCTTAGCTACTCTATAGTTGAAGAGACGGGCTCAGAAACAGGCTTCTGATGAGTCTGATGCCAACCAGGTCCTGCCCAGTCTCTCTGTCTTCTGTCTTGACCCTGAGTGGGCCTGTCTGCTGGCACTGTGTGGGGGTCACTCTACAGGGCTCGGGTCATGGTCCCCCTGTGTTTGTTTCAGAAGCACGAGTTCTCTGTGGACATGACCTGTGGAGGCTGTGCTGAAGCTGTCTCTCGGGTCCTCAATAAGCTTGGAGGTGAGTGAGTGGCCCTGAGTTGGGTGCACTTATGCCATGTTCAGATGCATGCAGATGTTGCAGGAGAGACTTAGGGTTAAGCTGATCATAACAGTAAAACTAAAATATATTGAGTACTTAGCACGTGCCAACTACTCTTGTTATTTTCTTAGTGGCTTATGTGAATCACATCATTTAATCCTCACCACGGCCATTTCAGATAGTTTTTTTTTTACTAGCTCCATGTTAAACAGGAGACAGCTGAAGTTCAGAAACATTAAATAACTTATCTGGGATCACATGGTCAGTAAATGGCAGAGCTGGGATTTAGCCAAATTAACTAGTACTGCCAGGAGTAGCTCTGGAGCCATGGCAGTACTAGTTCATATGTTGGTCATCTCCAGTGTGTACTGCATGACACATCTGAGTGTCATTTTCTATTGAATTTTTTTTTTTTTTTTTTTTTTTGAGACAGAGTTTCGCTCTTCTTGCTCAGCCTGGAGTGCAATGGTGCAATCTCGGCTTGTTGCAACCTCCGCCTCCCAGGTTCAAGCAATTCTCTTGCCTCAGCCTTCCAAGTAGCTGGGATTACAGGCATGCACCACCACGCCTGGCTCATTTTGTATTTTCAGTACAGACGGGGTTTCTCCATGTTGGTCAGGCTGGTCTCGAACCCCTGACCTCAGGTGATCTGCCCGCCTCGGCCTCCCAAAGTGCTGGGATTACAGGCGCGAGCCACCCTACGCAGCCTCTATTAAGGTTTTTTAAATGGGGCTGGGCACGGTGGCTCACACCTGTGATCCCAGCATTTCGGAAGGCTGAGGCGGGCAGATTGCCTGAGCTCAGGAGTTCCCGAGACCAGCCTGGGCAACATGGTAAAATGCCATCTCTACAAAAAATACCAAAAAAATTAGCCAGGCATGGTGTTACATGCCTGTACTCACAGCTAATTTAGGGGGCTGAGGTGGGAAGATCGCTTGAGCCTGGGAGGTTAAGGCCACAGTGAGCCTAGATCGTGCCACTGCACTGCAGTGGGGGCAACAGAGCAAGACCCTGTCTCCAAAAAAAAAAAAAAAAAAAGAAAGAAAAAAAGGAAAGATTTAAAAAAAGGTAAAAATTTTTAAAATTTTGTCTTTTTCTGTTTCTTTACTTCAAAAAAAAAAATTTAAATTAATTTTGAATCACTCACATGCAGATTTTTTTTTTTTTTTTTTTGAGATGAAGTCTCACTCTGTTTGTTGCCCAGGCTGGAGTGCAGTGGCATGATCTCAGCTCATTGCAGCCTCTGCCTCCTGGGTTCAGGCGATTTCCGGTGAATTTTTGTACTTTTCATAGATATGGATTTCACCATGTTGGCCAGGCTGGTCTTGAACTCTTGACCTCAAGTAATCCGCCTGCTTTGGTCTCCCAAAGTGCTAGGGTTACAGGCATGAGCCACCGCACCTGGCCACATGCAGATATTCTTAAAGCACCTCTTTTGAACAATCAGTCTCATCCAGCCTTGTCATTTTACAGCTGGGGAAACTGAGGCCCAGAGAGGACTGGGATCTGGTCCTGGGACTCAGTGAGGTAATAACTGAGTTGTGATCAGAGTTTTGGCAATGCCAGTGCTCAGTCAGCCTTCTAAGATTTTTTCTTTTCTTTTTCTTCCACATGAACTATCACACAATCTTCTAAAATTTTCTTTTTTAAAACCCTAAATAATAATGACATTAAGTTTTCAAATGGCTTCCACATGGACGTGATCTCATTAGCAGTCCTCTGAGCTGTACTTTCCATCTTTGGAATGGGGATGTCGATGCCAGTGTCCAGGAGGTTAAGTGACTTGCCCGTAGTCCCGCAGCAAGTCAGTGGCTGGCCTCTAGCCCTGTAAACTGGGATCTTAATCTGAAAGAAACTGAAACAGTGGAAAGAACCTAGCTGCTGACTTGTCATGTGACTGTGGGCCCTTCTTTCTCGGGCCTGGGTTTCCCCAGCTGTGGTATGGGAATGTATATCTTGTATGTCTGTATCAGCTTTTGCTGTTGATGCTTTTTTTTTTCTTTTTCTTTTTTTTTTTTTTTGGAGATGGAGTTTGCTCTTTCACCCAGGCTAGAGTGGAGTGAAGTGGCATGATCTCTGCTCACTGCAACCTGCTCCACTCTGCCCCGGGTTCAAGCGATTCTCCTGCCTCAGCCTCCCGAGTAGCTGGGATTATAGGTGCCCGCCACCACGCCTGGCTAATTTTTTTTTTTTTTCTGAGGCAGAATTTCGCTCTTGTTGCCCAGGCTAGAGTGCAATGGCGTGATCTCAGCCCACCGCAACCTCCACCTCCCAGGTTCAAGCGATTCTCCTGCCTCAGCCTCCTGAGTATCTGGGATTACAGGCTCAGGCCACCATGCCCGGCTAATTTTGTATTTTTAGTAGAGACGGGGTTTCTCTATCTTGGCCAGGCTGGTCTCAAACTCCTGACCTTAGGTGACCTGCCCACCTTGGTCCCCCAAAGTGCTGGGATTACAGGCGTGAGCCACCGTGCCCAGCCTGTTGATGCTTTAAAAATGAAACTGTACAGGAGCTCCTCAAATACAAAGCAGCAGGCTCTGGATGAAGTGGGGATGGGCCTAATTTCGTTTGACAGCTCAAAGACATCTACCCATCCCAGGAACTTCATCCAGGCTGGAGTGCAGTGGCGCGGTCTTGGCTCACTGCAGCCTCAACTTCCCAGGCTCAAGCCATCCTCCCACCTCAGCCTCCTGAGTAGCTGGGACTACAGGACCACACCCGGCTATTTTTTTGTTTTTGTTTTTGTTTTTTGTAGAGACAGGGTCTTGCTTTGTTATGCAGGCTGGGAAACCATATGTTTTGTTTGTTTGTTTGTTTGTTTTGAGAGGGAGTCTCACTCTGTCTCCCAGGCTGGAGTGCAGTGGCATGATCTTGGCTCACTGCAACCTCTGCCTCCCAGGTTCAAGTGATTCTCCTGCCCCAGCCTCCCGAGAAGCTGGGATTACAGGCACATGCCACACACTGAGCTAATTTTTGTATTTTTAGTAGAGATGGGGTTTCACCACGTTAGCCAGGCTGGTCTTGAACTTCTGACCTCAAGTGATCCACTCGCCTCAGCCTCCCAAAGTGCTGGGATTACAGACATGAGCCACCACGCCTGGCCAACCATATGATTTTTAAGGCCCCTTGCTGGAAGATCTGCCTTTAAGCTTCGGCAGGTTTCTGCCCATCTTTTCCTACTGTCCCTGCTTGGGTGGCCTCTTGAGAAGGGTCAGGAGGGTTTTTTGAGTTGCTTATGGCCCTAAAAGAACAGTGGTAGGGCTGAGGAATCACAGACTGATGGCATCCTTGAGCTGGAAAGGCCACAGGAGCTGGCCAGCCCTGACTCCTTCATGTACAGATGAGGTAGCTGAGGCCTGTGAGAAGCAGGACCCTCCTCCCACCGACTCCCTGCCCATGGTCACCCAGCAAGTCAATGGTGAGGCCAGGCCTAGAACCTATCAAGAGTTTTCCTTTCTTTTTGCACTCTTTTGTCAGAGTAAAACTCTGGGTCCTCCCATGTGCTGCTGGGGAGCTGTAAATTGGCATAGCCATTTAGGAGGGCGATTTTGCAATGTCTATTAAACATTCAAAATGTGCCAAATATCTGTTGCCCCACAATTTCCATTCTGTGAATTCATGGTATAACAATATTTTTATAAGTGTTTTAAGACAAGTTCAAATATGTTTACTATAACATTGTGATAGTGGTGAAAAATTAGAAGCATCCTCAATGACCTTTAACAGTGGATTAATTAAGTGGATGTGTGGTACGTCCACACTGTGGAAGATTGTAGCTTTTAAAAAAAGAATAGGGCCGGGCACTGTGGCTCACGCCTATAGTCCCAACACTTTGGGAGGCCAATGCAGGTGGATCACCTGAGATCAGGAATTCAAGACCAACCTGGCCAACATGGCGAAACCCCATCTCTACTAAAAATACAAAAATTAGCTCAGTGTGGTGGCTCATGCCTGTAATCCCAGCCACTCGGGAGGCTGGCTGAGGCAGAAGAATCGCTTGAACCCGGGAGTCAGGCTACAATGAGCTGAGATTGTGCCACTGCACTCCAGCCTGGGTGACACAGCGAGACTCTGTGTCAAAAAAAAAAAAAAAGAATGGACCGGGTGCAGTGGCTCACACCTGTAGTCCCAGCACTTTGGGAAGCCAAGGCAGGCGGATCGCTTGAGCCTAGAAGTTCAAGACCAGCCTGGGCAATATGCGAAACCCTGTCTCTACATAAAATACAAAACTTAACCAGGCATAGTGGCATGTGCCTGTAGTCACAACAACTTGGGAGGCTGAGAAGGGAGGATCACCTGAGCCCAGGTATTCAAGGATACAGTGATTTGTGATTGTGCCACTGCACTCCAGCCTGTATAACACAGTGAGACCCTGTCTCTAAATAAATAAATAAATAAAAATGAATAAATAAAGAGAAAAGTAAAATATTAGCAAGACCTGTTTATATAGTGTGATGCGATTTGGAGGAATTATTTTTCATTTGTCTATCTAGGACAAAGTCTAGATAGAAGCCAGACTGTTCACAGTGATCTCTAGGGGCAGGATCAGTAGGGGGCCTTACTGCTTCTACTTTTATTTAGAAATGTTTGCTTTTTTGAAAAAAAAAAAAAAAGTGTCTATATTACTTTTGCAATTAAAAAAAAAAGGTGGCTGGGCACGGTGGCTCATGCCTATACTCCCAGCACTTTGGGAGGCCAAGGCGGGCAGATCACTTGAGATTAGGAGTTTGAGACCAGCCTGGGCAACATGACAAAACCCTGTCTCTACTAAAAATACAAAAATTAACCAGGTGTGGTGGCATACGCCTGTAATCCCAGCTGCTCCAAAGGCTGAGGCATGACAATCACTTGAACCCAGGAGGTGGAGGTTGCAGTGAGCTGAGATCATGCCACTGCACTCCAGCCTGGGCAACAGAGTGCGTCTCTGTCTCAGAAAGCCCTAGTATAGAACAGAGATCAGCACATGGGCCAAATCCTGCTCACAGCCTGTTTTTGTATGTTCAGGAATAGAGTTATAAAAAAAATACACAGAATATACAACAGAGTCTATATGTGACCCACAATGCCTAAAACATTTGCTTTCTGGCCTGTTACAGAAGAAGTTTGCCGATCCCTGCTCTAGAGGAAAGGGCAAGGGTGGTTGTGAGTAGTAATTTAGAGCCTGAACTCTTTCTTGCTGTAACTGGGAGGGTCTGTGCTTCCTCTCCCCATACCCCATTTCCTCTTCCTGCAGGAGTTAAGTATGACATTGACCTGCCCAACAAGAAGGTCTGCATTGAATCTGAGCACAGCATGGACACTCTGCTTGCAACCCTGAAGAAAACAGGAAAGACTGTTTCCTACCTTGGCCTTGAGTAGCAGGGGCCTGGTCCCCACAGCCCACAGGATGGACCAAAGGGGGCAGGTGGGTAAGGCCCCAGCACTTGCTGAACAAACCTACAGCTCACACCTCTCATCAGAGCGAACACCTTGGCCTTTGAGAGCTTGAGTGGAGCGGGAGAGCCCTCTGGGTTCTTTTCAATCCACTGTCCACCTTCTTTGGAGTGGTTACAAATATTTTATTATTGTCTAATGCAAATCACAAGTTCAGGGAATTCTTACAGACCCTGTGAGTGGACAGAGCACTGTGTAATGTCTCCCAGAGTCCTCTTTCAGACTTGAGGGTTGCAGTTCATGGTTAGCAGGGTTTAAGTTTACAGTATGTGACCCTAAGCAGTGCACCTTTGACTTCTTTATTTGTTCATTGGTTTGAGACAGTGTTTCACTATATGGCCCAGGCTGGAGGGTAGTAACTCTTCATAGGTGTGATCATAGTGCACTATAGCCTTTAACTCCTGGGCTCAAGTGATGCTCCTGCCTCAGCCTTCTAAGTAACTGGAACTATAGGCACCTATCACCACACATGGCTCTGGCTTTGATAAACTGACTATCTCATCAGAGTTGACACTTGTGCCTTGGGCCTTGTTCTCCTGTGCCCTGACCAAGTGAGTTAATTCAGACTGTGCCGCTCTCTCTACTTGAAACTGTTGTCAGCTTCCTGAGCATGCCCTCTGTCCAGACTGGTACAAAAACAATAGCATGTTTGAGCTAGATGTTCCCTTCACTTTTATGTAATCCAGTGATGCAGTAAGGGGCACTGTGCCAGCACTCTTCGCTCTGGAACCAGGCAGACCTTACTCATTGATCCAGCCACAGTCTCAGCAGGGCACTCCTGGCTGCCACTGCCCATGTAGTGCATTTGACTCGTGAATTACAATGATCGCCACACCTCTGATGTGGTTTGGTGCCCTGACGTGACTGAGAAAAATGAGGCCAAGAGAGGGGAAGTGATTCAACCAGAGTCCCACCCTGGTGAGTAGCAGAGGCAGGAAGAAAGTCAGATATCCTGAATCGGAGTTCTGTAACTGTTACTGGTGGCATTGTCCCTGTGAATGGGCCCACAGAGACCCCCTGGACAGAGGCTAGCCACACTGACTGGTAGGTCCTCTTTGAGGATAGCCTCCTTCCCAAAGGCATACATTTGGAACCTGAGTCATAGCAGTGTTCTGTGTATGTGGTAACATCACATGCAAGTTACAAGATGTCAGATGCATCTGTTTTCGTCATGCACTTTCCATCCATAGATAGAACCCATATTCAGGAATGAACCCAGGATGAATAATGAGGAATCTAGGATTCTAATTCCAACTTTCCTCATTTCACACTGACTTTGGGGACTTTTTACATTACAGAGATTTGGTCTTCCCATCGGTAAAATGGGGCTAAAACCTCCAACCTGCTTTCCTGCCTTGTGGGGACTGCTGTGCAATCTCTCCACATATGAAAGTTTATCCTCTAGGGAAGTAAAACATCAGCGGTTTCCAGCATGTTGAAGAACAGTGTTTCTTACATCATTCCTCCACCCCTAGGGTTTTGTAGGGAGGGTGAGTGGATGGGGCTTTGGACCCTCCATAGCTCCCAAACGGTCCTGTGTCATATTGGGCTTCCCGTAAGACTGTATTTTATAAAAACGCTCTGTAACAAGAAGGAATGGAGGCAGAGAAGGAAAAAAATACTCTTCCTGAACTAGCTATATACATGGGGAGCCCTAATGCACACATCTTGGATTAGAAACTCCAGGCCTGGGCATACGAACTTTTTTAACTAAAAAAGTAATATCTGTTGGATGTAAACCATGTGTAGCTTAATGTGTTTTTCTCATAGAAAACATGTTTTCTCATGTTATTTTATTGAGATGAAATTCACAAGACATAATAACTATTTTAACCCATTTATGCTGAATATTGCAAAGTTTTTTATGTGAAAAATCAAACCTTGGTGATGACCTTGAACAGTAGGATATAAATAACTCCTGCAAGCTTAGCGTTCCAATAATGGAACACTAGGCATAAATGGGTTAAAGTCTATCATTTAGTGGCATTTGGTGTGTTCACAATGTTGTATGACCACCATCTCTCTCTAGTTTCAAAATTTTTTCATCATCTCAGAAACACACCCTGTATCCATTAAGAAGTCACTCCCCACTACCCATCTCTCCATCCCCTGGCAGCCACTAATTTGCTTTCTGCTACTCTGGATTTGCCTACCCTGGACATGTCATATAAAAAGAATTACATTATATGTGACCTTTTTGTGTCTGCCTTTTTCCATGTAGCATAATGTTTTCAAGATTCATTCAAGTCATAGCATGTGTTGTAAATCATTCCTTCCAATACTTAATAATTTTCATGGTACTTTTAATCTACTTTAGATTTTTTATGATAGGAAGTTTCAAACATGTGTAAGTAGAGTAATAGAATGAATCCCCAAGTACCCGTCACTCAGATCCAACAGTTAGTATTTATTTCACCAAGGCCTGTTATTTTTTGATAAAAGTGCTCTGTGACAAGAAGGAATTAAGGAAGAGAAGGAAAAAAACTCTTCTGGAGCTATCTGTATCCATGTGGGGGAGCCCTAATGCACACATCTTGGATTAGAAACTCCACTGTCCTCATTGTTTCATCTGGGTGATGAAACACCCAGATTATTTTGAAGCAAATTCTAGACATCATGCCCACTCCCTCCTGCCCAGATTATTTTGAAGCAAATTCTAGACATCATGCAATCTTACCTGTACATATTTCAGTAACCATGTATTGTTTGGAAAGGCTCCTGGAAATTCAGATGCACAGTACTCAGTAAGAATCACCCAATAAGCCAGCTTTAGTCCACATGCTCAGGCAGCATGTCTTTGAAGTCTGTTTTAAGAGGCTCCTCAGTGACTGATTTGAAGCCAGGCTTGGGAACCTCAAAGATAGAGTGTTTATTGGTTTTGAAGTCACCTTGATCATCTGACTCTTGGCAGATTTATTTGCCATGATTTTGTTCATTGCCTTTCCAACCTGTAACAGGATAGAGAGTGCTGTTGACTGGGTATCCTGGCAGCCCTGGAAATTCCCCAGAAGAGGGCTTTGGCAGTGATTGGCTTAGCAAGGTTAATGCGTTCCAGCCAACCTAAGTATAACAGACTTCATGGGAGCAGTGTGCAGGGCTGGACACTGGGGCTCTAGTCCTGCTCCTGCATCTGCACCCTGCGTTTTCCACCTCACCCCTGCCTTTTAGTGCAAGACTCTTAGTGCACCCCTGCGTCACCCCTGTCTCTTAGTGCATTTATTGCCTTTGCAATGTCGCTATGTCCACACCAGATGGCACCTTTGTTCCATCTAACTTTCCATCTTTCCTAGGATGCTGATCCTCCCGCTGGCTTCCAGACAGACCTGGGACTTGGCAGTCATGCCGGGTGATGGTGTTCCTGCGGAGACCCTCAGTTGTCCTATTCCTTCCTAGCTTCCCTGCAATAAAATCAAGCTGCTTTTGTTGGAGATGTTGTCTTGCCTGGTCTTGGTGTTGCTTGCTCACATGTAGGTGGTTATGCTTACTTGGGTTGGAGTTTTGAGAGTTCCCACCTGGGAGTCAGACACCCTGTAGATTCTGATTCTTTGCTGTGTGATCTTTAGCAAATCACTTCCCCTCTCTGGGCCTCATTTTTTCCTCACCTATAAAGTGGAGGCATTGACCCAGAACAGTGATCCCCTTTCTTTTCACCAGTTTCATAGACTCTATATTTTGAAAAAATTTGTCTATCAAGTGAATTGCACAAGAGATTATCAAATGTTAAGCAAGTGGAATAGTAGGAAGAGGCTGTGGAGACAAACTGCCTGGGATAGAGTTCAAGCTCCAGTACCTCCTAGCTGGGCCACTTAACCTCTCAGTGTCCACAGACAAAATGTGATGATAGCATCTACTGCAAATGGTGGTTGTGGGGATTAAATGAAATGAAACATGTAAATTAATTACAGCAGTGATTGCTGGTTAAAAAATCACTCAGAAAATATTAGTGATTCATTTTTGGCTTTTTGTTTGTTTGTTTTGAGATGGGGTTTCACTCTGTCACCCAGGCTGGAGTGCAGTGGCGCAATCAGGGCTCACTGCAGTTTTGACCTCCCGGGCTCAAGCAATACTCCCACCTTAGCCTCCCAAGTAGCTGGCACTACAGGCACATGTCATCATGCCCAGTTAACCTTGTTTTTTTTTTAGTTTTTTTCTAGAAATGGGGTTTTGCTATGTTGCCCAGGTTGGTCTTGAACTGCTGAGCTCAAGCAATCCTCCTGCCTTGGCCTCCCAAAGGGGCTTGAACTCCTGCCCTCAGGTGATCCACCTGCCTCAGCCTCCGAAAGTTCTGGGATTACAGGCATGAGCCACTGCACCTGGCTGCCACTCATTTTTAAAATATTTCATTAGTCAAAAATCTGTCAAAATGGCCATTTGAATTCCAGTCAGGCTAAGTCAGGCTGAGACTAGTCAGGTTGGAATGCAGTGGCATGATCATAGCTCACTGTAACCTCTAACTTCCGGGATCAAGTAATCCTCCTGCTTCAGCCTCCTGAGTAGATCTTATATACTCTTAAAAATTTTTGAGGATCTCGGCTGGGTGCAGTGGCTCACGTCTGTAATCCTAGCACTTTGGGAGGCCGAGGCAGGTGGATTACCTGAAGTCAAGAGTTTGGGACCAGCCTGGCCAACATGGTGAAACCCCGTCTCTACTAAAAATACAAAAGTTAGTCGGGCGTGGTGGCACATGCCTGTAATCCCATGTACTCGGGAGGCTGAGGCAGGAGAATCGCTTGAACCCGGGGGGTGGAGGTTGCAGTGAGCCAAGATTGCACCACTTCACTGCAGCCTGGGTGAAAGAGTGAAACTCTGTCTCAAAAAAAATTTAAAAATTATTATCAAACAGTTTTGGTTATGTGGGTTATACTACATTAGAAATTAAAACAGGAATTTTTAAAACAAAAATACCCAGGCACACATCCCATTAGTCATTAGGACTAGATGAAGTCACTGCATTCCTTTAGACTCTAGAAAACTTTACCGTACAATTGTTAAGGAGGAAAAGGCATCTTACAGAAGCTTTTAAATTGAACCTCATGTGCCTTCTGAAAGGCTCTTGGGGGTCACATGTTGAGAATCACCACTTTAGCCATTTATTGGGCACTTACTGGGGACCCAGGGCTGCTGGAGACTGGAATAAGATCTGGCTCTGCATTTGACCAGCTCAGACATGGAAGCAGCCACCTCATCTATCTCATGGACAGTTTCCTCATCTGCCCAATGCATAATTGCTGCACCTCGGGGAACTGAGTAGCCAGAAATAACACTTTATTTCAACTCTAAACTGGTTGCAAGCATAATTTCCATCCCTTTCTATCCCATTATGAAAGTACTAAACAAATCTCAGGGCCATTTCTGCCTTCGTGGCCCCTCCGGGGTGCAGGGACTCCTTCCCAGCCCACCAGGTAAATGTGTTTCTTGACCACCAGATGGCAGTGTCTCCTGGACTTGACCATCCACAGAGACGTTTAAGACAGTTTCTTCTAAAAAAAAGTTTCTCTGGGCTCTGAGAGAACAAACTTGAGGATTTTTTCCATTTTCAGTTGCCCTAGGAGGTCTGGCTGGCCCACTGGGAACGCCCAAGAGTTGAGACACTGGTGTCTCTTAGAGTGAGTGCTTCTCAGAGGGGTTCATTTCCTTTGAGTTCTCTCTATACCACCACCCCCAGCTGAAATCCAAGTTTCTAGCTGAGGCACTTGGCTCTGTTCTTCCAAGGCCACAGAGGCATTAGGGAAGCTCCCACGCCTGCCATCAGCCCAGCTGGCTGTCCACGGAATGAATGAATCACACAGCGGAGCTCAGGCTTCTGCAGGGGTGGGGGTGGGGAGCAGACGTGGCCACGTATTTCTCCGAGGCTTCCCTGTGCACTTGGCCCCAGCCCACCCTTCCAGGCTTTCTCACTCCTCGCTGCAGCCAGCCAGCCCGCTCCTCAGGTGCCTTGCTTTTATTCATGCTGCCTGCCCCCTGTAAGCGGAATGATCTCCTCCACCAGCCTCCCTTGTCTCCATATACAAATTCCTTTCCCTCCCTTGCATACCACAGCCTCCATGAAACCTCTCCACAGCTGGAAGTAATTTATTTCTCCTCTTGGCCCTCAAAGCATTTATCACACAAATTTCAGTGTTGTGGCAAAGCTTTCTGTCCACGTATCTTTCCTGGCCTCGAGGATCAGCCCAAGTATCTGTTCCCTCTGCACACAGAGCAAGGACTTAGGGGATATTTGATAGATGAGTAATGGCTACTATTTGGGGGATGCCTATTTAGTGTGTCATGCCCTTGCATTTATCTCATTCCATCCTTACCTAGACTGCATAAGATAGTGAGCTAGGACAGACCCTCACACATGGTAGATGCTCAGTAGGTGTTGGTCCAGATAATTTGACAAAGGAAGAGATTGTCTCTTCTAATCTTTCTAGCAGGTTTATATTTTTGTCAAAGATTCCTGGTTGTGAGTACAGCCTACCCTAGGGTGTTCCCAGTAACCAGCCCTTGTTTCTGGGCTTGATGGGGTGAAGCTCCCACCAACTTTGCCTTGTTGACCTACCCATTTGCCTGGTGGCCAGAGCCCGGGCTTGTCCAGTACCCACATTACCATGACTGGAGAGAAACCACCTGGCCCTCAGTACAGGGTGAAGCCTGGGGGCTGTATGTGGGGGAGGCTTCCTTCCTCACAGTGGTGTGAGCCACAGGGGGAGCTCTGGCCTGGCCTGGCTCCCCATCAGCGTGCTGAGTGAGCTTGAGCAAATCTTTTGAATTTTGAAGTGGGGTGTGTGTGTGTGTGTGTGTGTGTGTGTGTGTGTTATTGTTGTTGTTTTTCTTTTTCTGAGACAGGGTCTCTGTTACTCAGGCTGGAATGCAGTGGCACAATCTCCATTCACTGCAATCTCCGCCTCCCGGGCTCAAGCAATCCTCCCACCTTAGCCTCCCAAGTAGCTGGGACCACAGGCACACACCACCATGCCCAACTAATTTATATATATATATATATTTAGAGACGAGGTTTCACCATGTTGCCCAGGCTGGTCTCAAACTCATGTGATCAAGCGATCTGCCCACCTCAGCCTCCCAAAGTATTGGGATTACAGGCATGAGCCACCACACCCAGCTGAAGTTTTTTTTTAACTGCTTTTTTGAGGTGTAATTTCATTCAATAAACTGCACATATTTAAAGTGTAAACTTTTTTTTTGCTATCTCCTACCTAAAGAATAAAGTGTATAATTAAGATACATACATATCTAACACACACACACACACACACACACACTCATGAAACCATCACCACAATCAAGATAGTGACCATATTAATCACCTAAAAAGTTTCCTGGCACCTCTTGGTAATCCCTCCCACCCTCTCCTTGCCCCCAAGTAAGCACTGATCTGCTTACTGTCACTATTGATTAGTTTGCATTTTCTAGAGTTTTATATAGATGCAATCACACGGTATGCTCCATTTTTGTCTAGCTTTTTCATTCAGCATAATTATTTTGAAATGTTATCTTTTTATCACTGAGTAGTAAGTATTCCGTTGAATGAATATACCAGAAGGTGTGATTCATTCCTCTGTTGAAGGACATTTGTTTCCAGTTTTTTTAACTGCTCTGGTGCTATCAAGCTTTCCAAGGGCCCTACAGGGCACAAGGGGAAGTCTCAATGAGCTGGCCTCTTCGAAACCAACACACCCAAACCCAAACCGAGGCAGCTTAACTCATCATTTTATTTGTATCTTTTAATTTGTTTTTATTTTTTAGAGATGGGGCCTTGCTCTTTGGCCCAGGCTGGAATGCAGTGGTGCAATTACGGCTCACTGCAGCCTTGAACTCCTGGGTTCAAGTGATCATCCCTCCTTGGCCTCCCGAAGTGCTGGGATTACAGACGTGAGCCACTGTGCCTGGCCCAACTCACAGTTTTATCTACTGGGCTTCCTCCTACAGCCCCAGTGGTACTAAGCCACGTTCTGGACTTCAGCAGATCCGGATTTAAATTCCTTCACCACTTAAAAACTGTGTGACCTTGGGAAAGTTCCTGATTCTTTTGTGCAACTCAGTTTCCTTATCTGGAAAATGGAGGTCATAACAGTACTCTGACCATGGTGAGAATTAAAGATCTTCATGTGCCTCATTCTTGATAATGACATTCCACAAATAAAACTTTCTGTTTGGCCAAAAAGTCACAATTATACGACTTGAAGTTTGAAAACTGAAGTCTGAAAAATTTCAGATCTAGATTCTTTCAACCCTGGCAGATTAAGAAAAGTAAAATGGAACCTCAAGATTGTGCCATGTGGGAGGTGAATGGTTGTTCAGGTCACCGCCCTCTCCATGACTTTCGCCTTTAATTAGTGCCAGTCTCTAAAAGACCCAAGTCTGTAATTTCTTGGGAGTGCCCATCAGAGCTTCTTTTAGATTTCCATGTCTTTAAGGGCTGTGGCCACTTAGTTTAAGAAGACAAGTTTTCTAATCTGCTTCTTCGGAGAAGGAAAGTCTTCATGTCCCTAGGTAAATCTCATGACTGCTGACTAGGGCCTTGCAATAAAATCAAAGCCTCTAAAAATAAGGATGTCACCTCCCATTGGTCTGTTTATCATGGGCTCCAAGGATCTAAATCCCCGGATGCCTAGAAGTAGGCTGTATGTTGCATAAGAATGCTGGCTCTGCAGATAAACAGACTGTTTACCAGATGTGTGAGCTTGAGCAAATAGCTTAACTGTCCAGGACAAATTAGCTGGGCATGGTGGTAGGTGCCTATAGTCTCAGCTGCTAGGGAGGCTGAGGCAGGAGGAATACTTGAGCCCAGGAAGTCACGGCTGCAGTGAAGTATGATCACACCACTGCACTCCAGCCTGTGTGACAGAGCAAGACACCATCTCTGAAAAATAAATAAATAGAACTGTCCAGGACCTCGGTTTTCACACCTGTAAGGTGAGAGTAATACCTTCTTAGGGTGAAGTGAGATGACGCGTGCACATAGAAGGAGCTCAGTTTCGCTATTGTTATTATCATTGTTGGATCTTAGGAACAGATGTCCCCATGCCCTCCTTCTGATGGGTGGTCCGTGAGCCTTCCTTCACCTGCACAGCAGCCCTGACCCTGAAAGGGAGCACTGCGAGCTGCTGGCTCTGCTCTGGACAGCTCTGTCAGGGGAAGTTCTGATGTTGAACCCACCCTTATCTATCTCCCTGGCAGTTCTCTGGACGGGGGCTGGGTTTGTCTTGATATGTGGGGCATCAGCCTAGCCCTTCCCTATGGTGGTTCCTCAGAGGCAGGTCTTTCCCTTTGTCCTCGCTACTACTCCCTTTCTGCTCTACCTCCCAAGGCAGATCCCAAATTCCCTCCCTCAGCCATTCCTTGGAGACAGAGTTTTGAATGAGTATGACCACCTGGTCACTAGTCCCTTTGTTGATGCCTTTTTGAGAGTGGAAGCTGAGAAAACATGGAAAAGCCAAACCATTCTGGGCCTCCACTGATCCTATGCCAGCTCACAGGTTCCTGACTTAGTAAGGAGAGAGCTTACTGAGGGAAGTTACTGAAGGATGGCTGGAGGTGAAAGGTTAAGGCTGGGAGCACAGCCTGGAATCACACAGAGGGAACCCAGGTGGGCTACTCCCTCTGTTCTTATCTGGGGAATGTGGCTCTGGATGGTACCTACATTGGAAGTAACGCAAATAAAGCACCCAGCGTGGTAGGAGCTCAACAAAGCCTGTCTTCTCTGTTATGTTTTTGTTTTGAGACAGGGTCCCACTCTGTCACCCAGGCTGGAGTGCAGTGGTGTGATCATGGCTCATTCATTACATCCTTTACCTCCTGGGCTCAAGTGATCTTCCTATCTCAACCTCCCAAATAGCTGGGACCATAGGTGCATGCCATCACACCTGGCTAATTTTAAATTTTTTTTATGGAGATGATGGGGTCTTACTTATGTTATCCAGGCTGCTCTCAAACTCCTGGGCTCAAGCAATCCTCCCACCTCAGCTTCTCAAAGTGCTAGGATTACAGGCGTCAGCCACCGCACCTGGCCTGGCTTCTCCATTTTACACCTTTGAGAACGTGTCCCTGGATCTTACAACTTTGTAAAAGGACTGAGCCTGCTAGGGCAGGCTACTTCCAACATCAAGCCTGGCCCCTACATTTTCCTCAGTCACTGCCCCTTCCAGAGTCCAATTTGGTGACAACCCTCATTGAAGCACTGGTTTGTGGGTATATGACTTCTTTTTTACCAAAACAAAAGCTGTGCCTCTCCCTATGTTCCTACTAATTAGAGAGGCCACTAAAGCCATTGAGATGGCAAGGAGGGCTGGAAGTGGAAGGTTAAGGCTAGAAGAACAGCCCAGAGTCTCCAAAAGCTCAAATTCACCACGCCCCACCACCCACTACCCTGAGAGCTGAGAAACCCTCCTACTGCCACCTCAAGCCTCTGCCTCTGCCTCTGACCAAACCTCCAGAGATGTCAGGGGCCTTGGGAATTCCAGAGTGTTAGAAGTGGACAGTCCTTTTGAAATCAAAAGTCCTACTGCCTCTTTTTTTGTAGTTATTAATGCAAATACCTAATTTACTATATTACAGGATAACTGTAAAAAATTAAAATAATTTTATTTGTGTGACACCCTCCCCCATAGTCTCCATATGACAAAGAAAATTCTCTCTTACAGTTTGGAGTATATCCTTTTTAGGCTTCTGTAAATAAATACAATATAAGTAAAGCTAAATGGTGATATATGGTAGTGTTTCATATAACTCAGGTTCCAGAGTTAGACTAGCTCCATATTTTATTGACAAGTTATGTAACCCATCTAGCCCATTGTTTCCTTAACAGTAAATTGAGGATAATAGCATTTACCTCATAGGGTAGTTCTCAGAATTAAATGAGATAATCCAGGGAAATCATTTTGCACAGAGGGTAGCATGCTGTAAGCACTCAATAAGTGCTAACTAACCATTTTATTAGTATCGATGTTTTATTACCTGCTTCTTTCACTAACTGAATAGTTAATGGACACATTTTCATATCAAATTTTATTTCATTTCAGAGCAACATTGATCCCCTTTTTTAAAAAAAAAAACTTTTAATAATTTTTTTTTTTTTGGTAGAGATGAGGGGTCTCACCATGTTACCCAGGCCAGTCTTGAACTCCTGGGCTCAGGCAATTCTCCCACCGTGTCCTCCCAAAGTGCTGGGATTACAGGTGTGAGCCACTGCACTCAGCAAATTTTATTTTGGAATAATCTTAGATTTACAGAAAACTTGGAAAGATAGTACAGAGAGTTTCCATATATCCTTCACTTAGCTTCCTCTGATGTTAATGTGTTATATGACTATGACATATTTGTCAAAACTAAGATCTAATTGGTACATTGGTACCAAAGCTCCTTGGCACATTGGTTTTTGTTTTGTTTGAGATGGAGTCTCACTCTGTTGCCCAGGCTGGAGTGCAGTAGAGTGATCTTGGCTCAACTGCAACCTCTGCCTCCCAGATTCAAGCAATTCTCCCGCCTCAGCCTGCCTGGCTAATTTTTTTTTTTCTTTTTTTAAGACGGAGTCTTGCTCTGTCACCAGGCTGGAGTACAGTGGCGCTATCTCGGCTCACTGCAACTTCCGCCTCCCTGGTTCAGGCTATTCTCCTGCCTTAGCCTCCCGAGTAGATGGAATTACAGGCACGCACCACCATGCTCAGCTAATTTTTGTATTTTTAGTAGAGACAGGGTTTCACCATGTTGGACAGGATGGTCTTGATCTCCTGACCTTGTGATCCACCCACCTCGGCCTCCCAAAGTGCTGGGATTACAACCGTGAGCCACCACTCCCGACCTAATTTTTGTATTTTTAGTAGAGATGAGGCTTTGCCATGTTGGCCAGGCTGGAATCGAACTTGTGACCTCAGGTGATCTGCCCATCTCGGCCTCCCAAAGTGCTGGGATGACAGGTGTGAGCAACTGCTTGGCCGGTACAGTGTCAACTGGACTCCAGATGTTATTTGGATTTTACCAGCTTTCTCATAAGTGTTCTCTTTCTGGCCACAGATCTAATCCAGGGTACCACATTGCCTTTAGTCATCAGGTCTCCTTCATCTCCTCTGACCTTTGAGAGTTTAGCAGTCATTTCTTGTTTTTCATGACTTTAATAGTTGTGAAGACTATTGGCCAAGTATTATATAGCCTGTCCCTCTAATTTGGTTTGTCTGGCATGTTTCTCACGATTAAACTGGAGTTGGGGGAGGAACATACACAGAGGTAAAGTCTCCATCTTATTTCATTGTCTCAGGGGGTGCATAGATACTGACATGATCTATTACTGATGATGTTAGGGTTCCTGGCAAACTCCTGGCCATGAGGTTCCTGGAAAACTCTCAAAGATCAGAGAAGATTAAGAAGACCTGATGACTAAACCCGATGTGGTACACTGGATTGGATCTGTGTCCAGAAACTTACCATTTTTTCCTTTTCATTCTCTATTCTCAGGAAGCAAGTCACTAAGTCCAGCCATATTCAAGGGTGCATATGGAAATAAACTCCACTCCCCGAAGGGAGAAATATGTTGTCTGGAATTCTAAGAAGATTTGTCCCTTCTTGCCCATTTAAGTGACTGGAAAGTATTTATTGGTTACAAAAATACTGATTTTAGTGGCTGGAAAGCATTCCACTGTGCAAATGCACCTTAATTTGTTTAGCTAATTTATACAGAGTGGTGCATGCATATAGTTCACCGGCACTACACATCAATTCCAACCTCTTTCCTGTGTGCTTTCCCACATATGAGGCTGGAAGGCCAAGCCCCACGTGAACCTAATTTCCTGGTAGTTAAGTTTCTCATTGAAATTAGGTTTCACTGGCCGGGCGCGGTGGTTCACGCCTGTAATCCTAGCACTTTGGGAGGCCGAGGCAGGTGGATTGCCTGAGTTCAGGAGTTCGAGACCAGCCCGGGCAACACAGTGAAATCCTGTCTTTACTAAAATACAAAAAATTAGCTGGGCATGGGGGCATAAGCCTGTAATCCCAGCTACTCGGGAGGCTGAGACAGGAGAATCGCTTGAACCCAGGAGACGGAGATTGCAGTGAGCTGAGATCGTGCCACTGCATTCCAGCCTGGGTGACAGAGCAGAACTCCATCTCAAAAAAAAAAAAAAAAAATTAAGTTTCATTGATTAGGTTCACTCCTGCTAGATTTGGAAGGTGGAAATCAGGAAAAGCCATTGTCCCACAGATTTTGGCTGTTCCAGCCCAGCATGGAGACATTGGTTATTTGGCAGCAGTGTTCCCGTGTCTAGTCACTAGTTTCGTACGTGTTGAGAGGTGCTGGTGGCTGTGATTTCCTGACCCCTTGGATCACAGCCATGGCAGTGCCTACTTGAACTTCATAGTCCAGCAGCCACCCTCTGCTTCCCTGCCCTCCTGATGGGGCAATGTGGCTGCCCCTCTGGTAGCCAGTTCACCTATACTGCTCTGAGAGTCATAATGCTGGAAGCTCAGCCTCAGCCCCTTCCTCCTGCCCTTCCAATCCTTTTGTAAGCACCTGATGAAGTCCCTTTCTGAGCTCAGGTCGTGCCTGTGCCCCACAACTGAACTCAGATGGATAGAATGATCTATTAATAGGTTGTTTCCAGAACTTATTAAAGTGTATATGGTCTGGTATCAGGTAACTCAGTATTTCCTAGGAATAAAATCCTACAAGTGGAACTGTTAGAGCCCTTTCACTGTGCATATGGCTAAAGTAAAGCAACAGAGAAGTGCAGGTACTTGTCTGAGTTCACATAGGGAAATGGGAGCAGCTTGGGGTGCTCCTTCCATTAATTCATGCTGCTTTGTCATGGTCATTAAACACCCCTGGCGTTTTTCAGGTGAAGAGGACCAACTCAGTTTATTCAAATAACTTGTGAGAGAGACTGCTAATTTTCTATTCAAAAGTCTTTCGGCCGGGCACAGTGGCTCATGCCTGTAATCCCAGCACTTTGGGAGGCCAAGGCTGGCGGATCATCTGAGACCACCCTGACCAACATGGAGAAACCCTGTCTCTACTAAAAATACAAAATTAGCTGGGTGTGGTGGCGCATGCCTATAATCCCCGCTACTTGGGAGGTGAGGCAGGAGAATCGCTTGAACCTGGGAGGTGGAGGTTGTGGTGAGCCGAGATCGCGCCATTGCACTCCAGCCTGGGCAACAAGAGCAAGACTCCATCTCAAGAAGAAAGAGAGAGAGAGAGAGGGAGGGAGGGAGGGAGAGAGAGAGAGAGAGAAAGAAAAGAAAGAAAGAAAGAAAGAAAGAAAGAAAGAAAGAAAGAAAGAAAGAAAGAAAGAAAGAAAGAGAAAGAAAGAAAGAAAAAGGAAGGAAGGAAGAAAAAGGAAGGAAGGAAGGAAGAGAGAAGGAAAGCCTTTCATCCCCTTTTCCTTAGTAATTTATGGCTGGGCACATGGCAACCTAAAATAAAGACGACATTCCCTAGTTTCCTGTTCCCCTAAGTGTGACATATAACTAAGTTCTGGCTAATGCGATGCAAATAAATTCCAGAAAGACTCCTTAAAATGAGCTGATGCAATTAGAAGGCCCTCACCATTCTTTATTCTTCCTCCTGCCTGAAATAAGGATGTAATCTAGTAGCCGTATCAGGCCATGATGTCACCTTCCTTAGCACTTGAAGCCGTGGCCTAAGGATAGTACCTGGGTCTCCAAAGATTATTCTTCTTATTATTATTAATTTATTATTTTTTAGAGATGGGGGTCTCACTCTGTTGCCCAGGCCAAAGTGCAGTGCTGAGGGCATAGCTCACTGCAACCTCAAACTCTTGGGCTCAAGTGATCCTCCTGCCTCAGCCTTTAGAGTAGCTGAGACTACAGGTATGCACCATGGCACTTAGCTAGAAGATGATGGATTCTATACATGAGCCTTAAACTATTTCCAGATTTTGTTTCTATGTGAGAATGAAATAATCTTCATTTTTGTTACAGCTACTGTTACTTTGAGCTTACTGGTATATACATACAGCTGAACCTAACACTAACTGATACATAAGCTTGTGCTTCCCTGATTTCTTCCACCCACCTGCCATATGCTTGCTTTCATTTGCCCATAATACCAAGATACGCAGGCCTAAAGTCAAGATTGGGATCTGCAGCAGTTGCTTTCACAAGGTCCTGGTTTTTTTGGTGTGTGTGTGTGTGTGTGTGTGTGTGTGTGTGTGTGTGTGTGTGTTTGTGTGTGTGATCTTGAGCCACTTTAACCGCCTGGGTCTCAGTTTCCACAACTTTAAAAGGAAGGGGTTAGGCTGGACATGATGGCTGATGCCTGTAATCCCAACACTTTAGGAGGCCAAGGCAGAAGGATTGCTTGAGGCCAGGAGTTCAAGACCAGCCTGGGCAACATAGTGAGACCCCAACTCTAAAAAAATTTTAAAAATTAGCCAGGTGGTGGCACCTGCCTGTAGTCCTAGCTACTCAGGAGGCTGAGGTGAGAGGATTGCTTGAACCCAGGAGACTGGGGCTGCAGGAAGCTATGATCACACCACGGCACTCAGCCTGGGTGACAGACTGAGACCTTGTCTCAATAATAATAATAATAATAATAAAACAAATGAAGGGGTTGGTCTAGATCAAAGATTGGCACACGACAGCCTGCAGGCCAAATCAAGCCACCATCTGTTTTTGTAAATAAAGTTTTATTGAAACACAGTCATATTCATTTTTGTATTATCTATGGCTGCTTCCACACTATAACAGCTGAGTTGGAGAATGGCAACGAAGACCATTTGGCCCACATAGCCTAGACTGTTTACTATTTTGCCCTTTTCAGAAGAAAATTGTCTGTCCATTGTTGCGGGAAGTCACAGACCCTGAATGGAGAGACCGGCTGAAGCCGCGGCAGAAGAACATAAATTGTGAAGATTTAATGGACATTTATCAGTTCCCAAAATTAATACTTTTATAATTTCTTACGCCTGTTTTTACTGCAGTCTCGGAACATAAAGTGTGAAGATTTCATGGACATTTATCACTTCCCCAATCAATACCCTTGTGATTTCCTATGCTTGTCTTTACTTTAATCTCTTAATCCTGTCATCTTCATAAGCTGAGGATGCATGTCACTTCAGGACCCTGTGATGACTGCGTTAACTGTACAAATTGTTTGTAAAGCATATGTGTTTGAACAATATGAAATCAGTGCACCCTGAAAAAGAACAGAATAACAGCAATTTTCAGGGAACAAGGGAGATAACCATAAGGTCTGACTGCCTGCGGGGTTGGGCAGAATAGAGCCATATTTTTCTTCTCACAGAAAGCCTATAGATGGATGTGCAAGTAGGAGAAATATCGCTGAATTCTTTTCCCAACAAGGAATATTAATAATTGATAGCCCTGGGGAAGGAATGCATTCCTGGGGGAGGTCTATGAATGGCCGCTCTGGGAATGTCTGTCTTATGCGGTAGAGATAAGGACTGAAATATGCCCTGGTCTCCTGCAGTGCCCTCAGGCTTGCTAGGACTGGGAAATTCCAGCCTGGTGAATTCTAGTCAGACCAGTTGTCTGCTCTCGAACTCTGTTTCCTGTTAAGATGTTTATCAAGACAATGCATGCACAGCGGGACACAGACTCTCATCAGTAATTCTAATTTTGCCCTTGCCTTGTGATCTTTTATTGCCCTTTGAAGCATGTGATCCTTGTGACCTACTCCCTGTTCGTACATCCCCTCCCCTTTTAAAATCCCTAATAAAAACTTGCTGGTTTTGTGGCTTGGGGTTGCCATCACAGTCCTACCAATATGCGATGACACCCCCGGAGGCCCAGCTGTAAAATTTCTCTCTTTGTACTCTTTCTCTTTATTTCTCAGACTGGCCGACACTTAGGGAAAATATAAAGAACCGAAATTGAAATATTGGGGGCTGGTTCCCCCAATAATCCATGGTCTAGATCAGTGATTTCAAACTGTTCTACAGAGACCTAAGGCTCTGTGCAGGTACCTCAGGGAAAAGGGAGGAACTGAGAGTGGGGCTCCAACCCCTGGCATCTTCCTACCAAGACTACACCTCTTATTTGTTGAAATTAACTAGTTGAGGCCAGTCACGGTGGCTCATGCCTGTAATCCCAGCACTTTGGGAGGCCGCGGCGGTGGATCACCTGAGGTCAAGAATTCAAGACCAGCCTGGCCAACATGGTGAAACCCTGTCTCTACTAAAAATACAAAAATTAGCCGGGCATGGTGGCATGTGCCTATAATCCCAGCTACTCCAGAGGCTGAGACAGGAGAATAGCTTGAACCCGGGAAGCAGAGGATGCAGTGAGCCAAGATCACATCACTGCACTCCAGCCTGGGCAACAAAGAGTGAAACTCCATCTCAAAAAAAAAAAAAAAAAGAAATTAACTAGCTGGATTTTATTTAAATATTTTATTATGGAAGTTTCCAAAAATATCTGAAAGTAAAGTGAATAATATCATGAACCCCATACACTCATCTCCCAGCTTCAAGAATTACCAAGTCATAGCCGGTTTCGGTGCATCTTCCACTGCCCGCCCCCACCCCACACAGGGTTATTCTGAAACAAACACCAGCATCATTTAATTTTATTATTGTATTTCTTTTTTCTTTTCTTTTCTTTCTTTCTTTTTTTTTTTTTTTTTGAGATGGAGTCTTGCTCTGTTGCTCAGGCTGGAGTGCAGTGGCGCAACCTTGGCTGACTGCAACCTCTGCCTTCTGAGTTCAAGCAATTCTCTTGCCTCAACCTCCTGAGTAGCAGGGGCTACTGGCACACACCACCACACCCGGCTAATTTTTGTATTATTGTATTTCTTCTGAGAGATAGGATTTAAAAAAAAAACCTATCCATCATGACACCTAAAAGTTAATACAAATTTCTTAATATCATAAAATATCCAGTGCTCAAATTTCCTCTATTGTTATTTATTTATTCTTTTCTTAAGCCCTTGGTTTGTTCAAATCAGGATGCAAACAAAGTCCATACATTGCATTTGATTGATGTTTCTTAAGTCTTTCAGTCTGTAGCAACCCTACTCCTGCCCTTTTTTGTTTTTCTCCGCAAATTATCTGTTGAGGAAGTTGGGTCTTCTGTGCAGGAGGGTCTTCTGTAATTCTGGATTTTACTGAGTGCACCCCATAATGCAATGTGTTCCTTAGTCCCCTCAAGTTCCTGTAAAATGGTGGTTAGGTTTATACTTCATCAGAACCACCTTTGATTTTTTGCTGACAATCTTTCATAGACGGTGCTATGAAATCCTCTTATATCATATCAGGCAGCACATAATATCTGCTTGTCTTTCTGTGTGTAATATCAAGATGGATGGATGGATTCAGATGTTGTCAGCCTAGTCCATCCATTATAAACTCCCCATCAGCTCTTCAACTCATGGTTTTAGCAGACATTGATGATTATTGTTGCACCCATTATTTTTTTAATCACAAAAGTCATACATGTAGGCTGAGAATGGTGGCTCACGCCTGTAATCCCAGCACTTTGAGAGGCTGAGATGGGTGGATCACTTGAGGCCAGGAGTTCGAGACCAGCCTGGTCAACATGGTGAAACTCCATCTCTACTAAAACTACAAAAATTAGCTGGGTGTGGTGGCACACGCCTGTAATCCCAGCTACTCGAGAGGCTGAGGCATAAGAATCTCTTGAACCTGCGAGGCAGAGGCTGCAGTGAGCCAAGACTGTGCCATTGCACTCCAGCCTGGGTGACACAGCAAGCGTCTGTCTCAAAAAAAAAAAAAAAAGTCATACATGTAAAATTGTAAAAAAAAAAAACCCAAATATCCATCCAAAGGAGACTGAAAAGATAAAAGCAGTAATTATATCACACTGTATTTATACATCAGGCAATATAGCAGTCAGAATTTAAAATCTAAATATATCATTTGGGGAGGCATACATATGTGTTAAAAGTAAAAAATATGTATAGGAATGATAAACTCCAAATGTAAGGTATTGTTTACTTCTTTTTGTATGGGAGAATGAGGAATAGGACTGGGTTTCAATTATATATATGATTCAATCATATATATATATATATATATATATATATATATATATATATATATACACACACACACACACACACACATTTTGTTTATTAACAGAGGTCTGTCTGAACTATTTATTGCAAAATGTTAAGATTTGTCAAAGCCAGAAGGTGTTAACTTTATCTCTGTAGTTTCTTTGTAAGTTTAAAATATAATTTTTTAAAAAAGGACTTGACATATAAACATGGAAAATATTGCCAACTCAAAAGGATGCATAATAAAAAATATATTCTGTTCATTTCAGACCCATGGTTCTCCTCCTCGGAGACACTGATTATTACCCATTTCATATGCATCTTTCAGGAATTGTCTATGTAAATGAAAGACTTAATATCCAAAAGAGCTGCTCCTTTCAGAAAAACCACTTTAAAACATTTTTCATTTTTCGGGACTTGCTCTATTGCCTAGGTGCAGTGATACAATCATAGCTCACTGCAGCCTCAAACTCCTGGGCTCGAGCAATCCTCCCACCTCACCCTCCTGCATATTTGGGACTACAGGTACATACCATGCCCAGCTAATTCAGAAAAACCATGAGCCATCTTTACACACATGGACATCTGACTGCACCCACCCATGTGGGAGGCAGCCTATAGACTGAGGCCTTCCATCTGGAGAGTCCACTTTGTGAGCTTTTATTTTGGAGACTCCCTGGAAACCAGTCTTTGTTTTCCCTGTCAACGGACCTGAAGCTATCTGGTTAGTCTTTTCTTTTTTTTCTTTTTTCTTTTCTTTTCTTTTCTTGTTTGAGATGGAGTCTTGCTGTCACTCAGGCTGGAGTGCAGTGGTGCGATCTCGGCTCACTGCAACCTCTACCTCCTGGGTTCAAGTCTCCCAAATAGCTGGGATTACGGGTGCCTGCCACCATGCTTGGCTAATTTTTTTTTTTTTTTTTAGTAGAGACGGGGTTTCACCATGTTAGCCAGACTGGTCTTGAACTCCTGACCTCAGGTGATCTGCCCGCCTCGGCCTCCCAAAGTACTAGAATTACAGGCATGAGCCACCATGTCCGGCCTGGTTAGTCTTTTCTGATTGGTGATCTCATAGGCCTTGTCTGTTAAACTAGCGTCAGCTTTGGGGAGTGGCTGCTTATCTCTTCAAGTTTCCTCTCCAGGAGGAAGGGTTACTAGGATCAATTTTCATATGCCAAACAATCTGTATTTAAGTCAGACCACCCCAAGTATATCCTCCAAGTTTGGTGAAAATCAGCCCAGCTATTTTCTTATGATGGAGTAGACAAGTCACAAACTTCATTTTATTATGTGGACAAATCCCCCCCTGCTCTGACCTTTGGGGGTGGGGGAAAGAGAGAGTAAAGAACTTAAAAAAATGAGAGCACACTCAGTTCACTGTTCTGTACTTGCCTTTTCCCCCACTTTTTACTGCACCTTGAGATAGTTTCATGTTTCGTATCAGTTCATATGGTTTTGCCCTCGTATTTAAAGTACAAATACTGGCCGGGTGTGGTAGCTCATGCCTGTAATCCCAGCACTTTGGGAGGCCGAGGTGGGCAGATCATGAGGTCAGGAGTTCGAGACCAGCCTGACCAACATGGTGAAACCCCATCTCTACTAAAGATATAAAAATTAGCTGGGCCTGGTGGCACATGCCTGTAATCCCAGCTACTCGGGAGGCTGAGGCAGGAGAATCGCTTGAACCTGGGAGGCGGAGGTTGCAGTAAGCCGAGATCCCACCATTGCACTCCAGCCTGGGCAACAGAGTGTGACTCTGTTTCAAAAAAATTAAATAAAAATAAATAAGTAAAGTACAAATACTGGTTGTTTTATTTGTGAATATATTGGCTTATTAACATGGGCTAAAATTAGTAATAATAATCTACCTATTCTTTCTAAAATAACATGTTGACTTCTGTTAAGTATAGGGTGACCAACTCATTCCTTTGCCTGGAATTTTCCGTTTTAGCACTTAAAGTCCTATATCCCAGGAAACCCTTCAGTTCTAAGCAAACTGGGATATTTGGTCACCATATTTAAGTTCCAAATAAACATTGGACAAGTTTGAATAGGAGGTGGCACATTTTAACAAAACAAGTAGTAATCTTGGTCTTTGCCCTAAAATGGAACTGTTAACCAAATACTGTCCATATAAAGTAAAGATTTTCTCAGAACTTGTGCTATTATTGTTGGGAGGTGCCTCACGCTTTTAGACAGCAGAATAGTATTCCATTGTATGACTTCACCATCATCTTATTAAATCTGTTCCTTACTGATGGACTTTTCGTGTCTTTCCAGTGTTGTGCTACAATAAACAAGTCTGCCATAAATGTCTTTATTCATCTGTTCTGTAAACTGGCAAATTCTGTGTAACAATTTGTTTTGAAAATAAGGTCTTCCTGCTAAAAACAAAACTCAAAAAGCCACAGGATTAAAGAGTCTTTCATCTTGGGCCTTCTGTGAGTCTCCTTTTCTTCAGGTGACTGACTGGGCTTCGCATGGGTGTAAAATGGGTTGGCAGCTAAGGCCTTGGGAAGAAAGCCCAGGCAAAGAGGAGAGGCTTCCTGGGGTGCATGAGGGAGAAAAACAGCCCACTGCTGTGGTTCCCAGCATGAGGGGGTTGTTTATCAAGGCGCTGGAAGAGGAGTTGGCTAGACTTTGAGAGGTCCAGTGTTGGCCAGGAGCAGGACTGAAAGACTGGAACCATTCAGCTGTCTTCTAAAAGGAGGAGAGAAAGGAAGGAAAAACAAGTCAAGACACACACTGGGTGGCTGCCGGCTGGCCAGGGCTCTTGGTACAATAAGTCTGGTGCCAGGCTGTAGGGCCCAGCCAGCTATCCCTGGGGAACCCATCCCAGACTGGTTTAGATCATTTCTGCAGTGGCTTCTTGGGGCTATTAGAAATGGATTTTTACAGAGTCAGAGATAATGCAGTACTTTTCCAGAGGGATGGCTACCTGGGCCAGAAAGGTGATTTTCCAGCCATGTTGTCTATCCTATGTGTATTAATACATCCTTTATCCATCAAAGAGGCGGCTAGTATCATTTGCCAAACTGTTTCGTGCAGAATGCTATTAGTGAAACATGAGGTCTCAAAGCCAAAAAAGTTTGAAAAATGCCAGGCCCATCAAAATCAAGCAAAATAATTTACTGTAGAAATTTGCAGATCCTTCAAGGTACTAATACTGTAATTGAGACTTTTCAAAAAGGAGATAAAGTATGAACTTGTTTCCCAAGTTTTTAGTCCTTGGAACACCTTTTTCTCCCCCACAGAACACACAGTCACATCTTTGCTAATGTTGTCTGCTAATTCTAACCTATAGGAAAAGGGAGAAGCCAATAGGCCTGACCCAAAAACTTCCAAGAATCTGAGACAAAGAAGGCTATGGAATCTGGCCAGTGAGCTATCTTGGACACTGCCATGTCCTACACAAAAGCATGACGGGCATCTGTCATAATATAAAATAATTGATTTTTGGCCAGGCGTGGTGGCTCACACCTGTAATCCCAGCACTTTGGGAGGCCGAGGGGGATGGATCACTTGAGGACAGGAGTTTGAGACCAGCCTAGCCAATATGGCCAAACCCCATCTCTACTAAAAATACAAAAAAATTAGCCAGGCATGGTGGCTGGCACCTATAGTCCCAGCTACTTAGAGGCTGAGGTGGGGGAATCGCTTGAACCTGGGAGGTGGAGGCTGCAGTGAGCTGAGATTGTGTCACTGCACTCCAGTCTGGGCAGTAGAGTGAGACTCTGTCTTAAAAATAAATAAATAATTGACTTTCATGAGCATGAAGGATTCTCCAGAAATTGAGTTAGGTGCAGCCGCATGCTGGTCAGAACAGTCTAGCAAAGATGGCAAAGAGAGCTGGGGCTCGCCTGCATCTCTGCATTTCACACCTCTGATCTCGAGACTCAGCATCACCCTTGGCCACAGTGATCTCCAAGGGCCTCTGTGTGTCAGGCTCAGGGCACACAGTAGCTATGGGGGAGATGCCCTGGTGCAGGGTTCTGAGGAGGCCTACAAAGATCACTTCATCCAATCGGCATCCCCACTGTGTCACTCTGTGTCTGACTCCATCTTTGCTGATGTGTTTGTGTTAAAATGCAAAGCCATCTGGGAAGAACCATTGTCAGAATCCTTGGTAGCATCCTTCCCCTGAGATTTGGGTGGAAAGAGGCAGGTTTTGTGTTTGTTGAAGATAAAATGTCCTGTACTAGAGACTGTATTTGCAAGTCTTTCCCATCCTTGAGCCATTGCACAAGGCTGGTACCTTGTATCTAGGATTGCTTCCCCTGAAATGGATTGGAAAATAAAATGTTAAAATGTTAAAAAGTCAGAGAGAACATGAGTTCTAGTCCACTCTACCTCTAATTTGCTGGTTGACATTAGAAAATCCTTTTGCATATATACATACATCAAAACATCATGTTGTACACCATAAATACATACAATTTTTATTTGTCAGTTTTAAAATAAGGAAGTTCTTTCCCCTCTCTGACTTCATGTTCTTCCTCTGTAAAATGAAGGGGTCAGACTATTTCAGTTATTGGCCAACTTTTTTATTAGAAGAAGCCTTCTGTCAAGCAAAGTCTTAAGGAGCATCTCAAATAAAACAGATAAAAGTAGTCTCTGACCAAAATGTTTTTAAGGAAATGTTATGTCATTACTGTATAACAGGATATGTTTACTATACAAATTGGGACAGAGGTTGCTTTTAGAAGCAAGGAGGTAGTTGTGATTGGGACAGGGCACACAGAGAGCTTCTGGGGTGGCTGCAAAATGTTATTTTTTGACCTGAGTGGTTTCCTTGACCTGAGTGGTTTTCCTTAGGGTTATTCAGTAAGCTATTTTTATATTTATATTATGAATGCATTATAAAGTCAATTACTGAGAACACAAATGTGTCCATTAGATTTAGCTGCAAAAGGCAGAAAACCCCAAATAGAAGTGGCCTCAATAAGACAGAATTGTATGTCTCTTTTATGTAAATGAAATCTGGAGGTGAGCAGTCCAGGGCACTCACTGTAGGGAAGTGAGTCAGCAAGGTAACTCAGTGATCATCAGGACCAAGCCTCCTTCTCTCTATCAATTCAAAGTCCAAGATGACTGATTGAGTTCTGCCATCATGTCCACATTAGAGCTAGCTAGAAGAGGAATGAGAAGAGCATTCCCATTCACTTGAAGAAAACTCCCATAAGTCACACTCACAACCTTTGCTTACAACCCACTGACTAAAGCTTAACTGCACTGCCTTACCTATCTGCAAGGAAGGCTGGGAGATGTAGTTTAATCAGGGCACTATGGCCCCACTCAAGTGTAGTTTCTACAACAAAGGGAAAGGGGACCACTAGCAAAATCTGCCACAATGTATAAATGAATTTTGGTCTCTGATGTGTTCACATTTGACAGATGACTGATTTAGGTGTCTTTGTTGTTTTGCAGCCACAGTTTTAAATGCAGTCTCTGGTATACAAAATAAGGTGAATATTAATAGTTTGTGGAACTGCAGAAGTACAGAATGTGACTTAAAACCCCTGAACTAGAAACTCCCTGAGAGCTTTTCCAGCTTTGACATTCCAGAATTCTGTGGAAGTCCTGCCCACATATATGAGCTTACAGAGGTTTTCCTCTCTGGAGATTGGCAAGGGTGTTCTTGTTACCTTCAGGACTGAGAACTGTGCTCATTGTTTAAGTTAGCACAGCCCTAGCCAAGTATCATGAAAAGCGCTCTGTCATTCAGCAGTCTTCCCCCTTGGGCTGGGAGTTCCCCAGAGGTGGTATAGTTTACTGAGGCATTGAAAACTCAGGCATCCAAGCAGTAACAGCTTCTTAGTGGGGAGTGGCTCAGACTTTCCCTCCACAGTTTCAGAGATTGTTGTAGTAGAAGAGTCTACCCTTGATTCAACCCTTTTCATTTTTCAGAGGAGGAAGCATGGATCCAGAGAGGCTGAGAGATTTACTTGACGTGACCAGCAACTTATAGCAGGACTGGGCCTAGTACCAACTTGTTCTGATACTTTCTTTTTTGTCATTTTACAGATGAAACTGCAACCTAGAAAGGTAGCTTGCCCAGAGCCACATTGTTACTCAGAATAGATCAGAATTTGAATGCATACAATGCACGGCAGAGACTACACTTTAGCCTCTATGCTAAGAACTACTGCCTCCCACTGTGTGAGGACAGACTTTACTATGGGAGCAGGAACACTTCATCACACCACTTAGATGTCACATCCCTTCAGATCACCCTTTGCTCCAATTCTGTACTCCTTCATCAACCTCTTGATGTCTAATTCAACACCTTGGCATAGGGAATAATATGGCTTTAGGTGTAGAAACAAACTTTCTGCTAGTGCAAAAGCTCATCCTCCAGATGAGGGGGATGGGACATGTTGGTATTTTCCAGGAGCATCTGTCTTTCTCTGTGCAGCAATCCCCCAACACTGCAAACTGATCAGACGGAGCTTCAAAACCTGCAAAGGTTATGACCCTAGGTAGTGGGGACCACAACCTGTGGAGTCCTAATTAGGGAAAAGGAGTCAGGCTGGTGGGAGCAGGGGAAAGAAAAAAGAAAAAGTAGATAAGCTATACATCTGCCTTTCTTCATGGTCCAGGACACATAGCCCTCCTGTGCAAATAACTCACAATCTTCCTGTGCCCAACTATCACCAGACACCTCGGCTGATAGAATAATGTACATTAGCTCACTGCAACCTTGGCATTATCTGTACTGTACAAAGCCCTCTTCAGCACACAGCACAAGCACCATCCTAAAAAATCCCCAGCAAGCCTTTGACTCCTTGCAGTCAGCTACTCTCTTGCTGACTTACCCATTGCACCCTTGCAACATACTTTCATACTTCCTCTAACAAATCTGCTTTGCTGACCTACAACTGTCTTGGTAAATTCTTTCTACCACCTGCGTAGCACTGGCCCAAATAGTCACTACCTGAGACACAACTTCCCTGAAAAGCAGTGCCATCTCTGGGAGCTGCCCAAGCAACCTTCAAGTCTCTCTTTGCTGCAGCTTTCTAGGTTGTGCACAGTGGCACTACAGCAGCAAGGCCTTCCTGCCTGCTATCACTTACTTTTCCCTAGGCAAAGGGGCTGGGGGAAACATCCATTGGGTCTCCTGGACAACAGGAAAGTCTCAGGATAAGAGGCACTTTGGAGAATCACTGGAGCAACTCTAGCAGTTCAGCTAGTTGGCTCTTCAGGATTCTCCTTGTCCTCCAGCACAGAAGGCTTTTAATCCAGACAGAGGTGGAGGGAGGGTGGGATGAGCTAACGGGCCTGAGAGGAGACTTTGTATCTTAGAAGACATTCCAGAAGGACCTAGAGACAGAGGGTGTTGTTTTTGTCCTTATTCCGACAACTCTTCTGAGAGGATAGTTGGGGCTGGAGGATGCTGTGCAGCCTGTTTAGAGGGCAGGGAAGTTGAAACAGTGTGAGGGAACCAGTAGAGCTGACCTCCTGCCTCTGTAAAGAACATGACCCTGGGAAATCCCAAAGCTTCACATGGCCCAGTCTGTGAAGAGCCACATTGAAGAAAACAAAGTGTTACAGTTACAAATCATTTAAAAGTGCTACAATCTTCATTTTTATATCTCTAAGAGTATTAAAAGGGATCTAATTAATAATTCATAGAAAACTCCATTTCAGGCTGGG
This sequence comes from Homo sapiens, assembly GCF_000001405.40. Taxonomy (NCBI): domain Eukaryota; kingdom Metazoa; phylum Chordata; class Mammalia; order Primates; family Hominidae; genus Homo; species Homo sapiens. The sequence continues at coordinate 151,719,611 of NC_000005.10, read as the reverse complement.
TGTAGTGGTTCACGCCTATAATCCCAGCACTTTGGGAGGCCAAGGCAGGAGGATTGCTTGAGCCCAGGAGTTAGAGACCAGCCTGGGCAACAGGCTCTATTAAAAAAATTTAAAAATTAACTGGCATGGTGGTGCACACCTATAGTCCCAGCCACTAGGGGGTGCTGAGGTAGAAGAATCACTTGACCCTGGGAGGTTGAGGCTGCAGTGAGCCATGTTCGTGCCACTGCACTTCAGCCTGGGCAACAGAACGAGACCCCTGTCTCAAAAACAAAACAAAAAACTCCATTTTGACCAGACACTGGTTCATGCCCGTAATCTCAGCACTTTGGGAGGCCAAGACAGGAGGATGGCTTGTGACCAGGAGTTCAAAACCAGCCCTGGCAAGATAGTGAGACCCTGTCTCTACAAAAAATTTAAAAACTAGCTGAGCGTGGTGACATGTGCCTGTAGGCCCACCTACTTGGGAGGCTGAGGCGGGACGATCACTTAAGCCCAGGAGTTCAAAGTTATAGTGAGCTATGGTTGTGCCACTGCATTCCAGCCTGGGTGATAGAGCAAGACTCTGTCTCAAAAAAACAAAAAAACTGAGATCTTACTGATTCCAGAATTTTCTCATGCTCACATTGATGCTTAGTCTTTCCCCCACTCACCTCCCTGGCCCTCTCCAGGAAAGAGAAAAAGTCTTGAAGAGGCCCAGCCCCTTGAAGAATGTAGTTCTTCACATGCCTCAAAAGAGTAAGGGCCAACTACAGTTTGCTAAAAGTTGGAGGAGCTTCCCCTACATAGTTTGGCCACAGAGTCATCCAAATTATTTTTGTGACCCAGACAGCAGCCCCAGACACTGCATCAGCTCGGTTCTGAAGCCAGAAGAAACTTTCTGCTCTCCGTAAGGCTCCTCTTCACCCCATTACATTCCTTTTCTCTCTCCACCTCCTGCTTTAATGTTCCCCTGCAGCCACACGTAAGGAATATCATCTTCTTTCTCTTAAAGGGACAATTATCGTTCACCTTGTCTCATAGATGTGAGACATTTACCTGTTGAGTAAACAGGATGTCTCCTCCGAGTCAGAAATGGATTTCTTCTGTTGAAAGGGATAGAAAACCCAACCCAAACCAGTATAAGCAAAAAGGCTTATGGAAAGAAAAAGTCCAGGAGCAGGGCTGTATATTACATAGGATTGCACTCTGCTGTGTGTCACAGAAACCTGATTCCAGCAGCTTTTATACCACTTTGCAAGCAATCTGGCCATCTGAGGATGACGCTGGGTCCATGCCATCATCAGGCTGCAGTTCCTTCTGTCAGCCTTTCCTTGTGGATTCCATTCTCCTGTGGCTCCACTTTGTCTTACATATGCCATCCAAGAAGGAAGAAGAGGGACAAAAAGCAAAGTCTCCCTCTTTCACAAGCTTCCCCAGAAGCTCCATGCACTGATTTCTGCTTACAAGTTCATTGGTGAGAAGCATGTCCCATGGCCTCTCTGCACTGCAAAGGAGTCTAGAAAGATTAGTATTTTGAGATGGACACAGAGCTCCCTAAGCAGAATTGAGGGTCTGTTGATTAGGCAGAAGAGGAGAATGGATGTTGAGCAGACAAATAACAGTGTCTGCCCCAGGCTAGCTTAGGGGCTTGGACCAGTGTCCCATGAGTATCTTTCTGTGTCTCTGTCTCTATCTTTGTCTTTCTCTCTCTCTCTCTCTCTCTCTTAGTCTCTCTTTCTCTGTCTCTCTTTGTCTGTCTGCCCTTTTCTGTCTGGCTCTGTTTCTCTCTGTTTCTCTGTCTCTTTCTCTTTCTCTCTTTCTGTTTCTCTGCTGTCTCTGTTTCTCTCTGTCTGTCTGTCTGTCTCTCCACTCTATTCTCTTTCCTGTTGGCTTCATGTTCATGCAGCCTTCCCCTGTGGTCTCAGGGAGGCTCCTGCTACTTGGGATCTCACATGCATTCCTAGTCAAGCCCAGGAGAAGGCCAGATTCTCTGTTGCAGTCCTATATCCCATCTCATGTCCGTCCCTGAAAGAGTTACTGTGGCCCTGGGGAATGGCATGGCGTAGGCTAGTCACATGCCCTTTTTCTAAGTGGGGCTAAGAGTGTAGGAGAGGGTATTGCCCAAGAGGAAAATCAAGGCACAGTTCCCGAGAAGGGGAAATGGATGCTGGTGGCCCCAAATCAAACTCAATAAATCATAAACAAACATCTACTGCAGAATCTTAGACATCATCCTATTAAGAGATATTTAAATCACTGAAAGTGTATCAGAGCTTCCCTAAACATTTGGTTAAAATAATGTTGGTTTTTTTTTTGTTTTTTGAGACACAGCTTTGCTCTTATTGCCCAGGCTGGAATGCAATGGCACAATCTTGGCCCACTGCAACCTCCACCTCCCGGGTTCCAGAGATTCTCCTGCCTCAGCCTCCCAATTAGCTGGGATTACAGACGCCTGCCACCATGCCCAGCTAATTTTTTTGTATTTTTAGTAGAGATGGGGTTTCATCAGGTTGGCCAGGCTGGTCTTGAACACCCAACCTCAGGTGATCCACCCGCCTCAGCCTCCCGAAGTGCTGGGATTACAAGCGTGAGACACTGTGCCCAGCCTTGTTTTTGTTTTGAGACGGAGTCTCATTCTGTTGCCCAGGCTGGAATGCAGTGGTGCAATCTCAGCTCACTGCAACCTCCACCTCCCGGGTTCAAGCGATTCTCCTGCCTCAGCTTCCCAGGTGGCTGGGACTACAGGCGCGCGCCACCATGCCTGGCTAATTTTTGTATTTTTAGTAGAGATGGGGTTTTACTGTGTTGGCCAGGATAGTCTCAATCTCCTGACCTCATGATCCTCCCGCCTCGGCCTCCCAAAGTGCTGGGATTACAGACATGAGCCACTGTGCCTGGACTTATTCTCTGTTTAATTGCCAATGCATTAAATATTGACAGATTAAAAACTACTAAATATAAGTTTATTGGAATTAATAATAATTTTTAAGGAAATAAAGGGACTCTGAGACCAAAAGTTTAAGAACTACAGTTTTAGATACGAGGCTTGCTTGGAAATCTTAAATAAGGAGCTACAGACACACTTATAAATGTTACATATCAAATTTTAACATACTTGCCTAGACGAGGTGGCTCATGCCTGTAATCCCAGCACTTTGGGAGGCCAAGGTGGGAGGATTGCTTCATACCAGAAGTTCAAGACCAGTCTCGTCAACATAGTGAGAGCCTGTCTCCATAAAAAATAAAAAATAGTAGGTATGGTGACACAAGCCTGTAGTCCCAGCTACTCAGGAAGGTGAAGCAAGAGGATCACTTGAGCTCAGGAGTTCGAGGCTGCAGTGAGCTATGATCACCCCTGCACTCCAGTGTAGGCAACGGAGTGAGAGTCTTAAAAAAAAAAAGTATCTGAAGGCTTCATCAGTTTAGCTTTTCTATCAGTCAGGTTCAGCTGTAAGTGACAGAAAACAAAACAGCAATGTCTTCAACAATACAAAAATTTGTTTTGGCCTCACACAAATAAAATTTGGATGCAAATAATCAAGGGCTGAGATTGTGGTTCTGGGTTCATGAGAGATCTAGACTGATTATATTTTGTGGCTCTGCCACATTCAACATGGGGTTTAAACCTCATGTTCCAAATGGCTATTCAAACTCCAACCATCTCAGTTGCATTCTGTCAGCAGGACATTTCCCAGAAATTGCATATAACACTACTGCTTATATTCTTTTGGCCAGACTTAGTTAAATGACCATACCTAACTGCAAAGCAGATTGGGGAATGCTATTTTAAAATTATGTTTTTCATGCACCCAATTAAAAATCAGGATTTCTATTGCTGGGAAAGAAACGTGTATAAAATGTGAGAGGTTGGGGGTCAACTACTCTGTCATCTTTGTGCTATCAGGTTAACACATGTTTGTGCAGATCTTGGAATAAAGCTTCTCTTTTATTCTCTGCTAAAATGCAATATGCTGTGTTGCAAGGTGAGCTATTTGTAAACAGTGGCCATTTACAACTGCATACCTATAAGTTGGTATTTTCTCAGTATCATCTGATAAAATAATTGTTGTGCAATAAATTGGCTGCTGAGGCTGATCCAAGCTATAATTGTCATCCAAACTCTGGTTTCAATTCAAGTTTTCGTGATCATTCTTCTTATTGACTGGTTTTAAAAAATATATAAAATCATATGTTTTTGGCCAGGCAGTGGCTCACACCTGTAATCTAAGGATTTTGGGATGCCAAGGTGGGAGGATCACTTGAGGCAAGGAGTTTGAAACCAGGCTGGCCAACATGGTGAAACCCCGTCTCTACTAAAATATACAAAAATTAGCCAGGTATGGTAGCGCACCCCTGTAATCCCAGCTATTCCAGAGGCTGAGGCAGGAGAATCACTTGAACCTGGGAGGCAGAGGTTGCAGTGAGCAGAGATCACACCACTGCACTCCAGTCTGGGTGACAGAGTGAGACTCTGCCTCAAAAACAAAAACAAAAAACTAGAAAAGCAAGAGCAAACCAAATCCAAAATTAGTAGAAGAGAAATAATAAAGATCAGAACATAAGTAAATAAAATTGAAATGAAGAAAACAATACAAACGATCAACAAAACAAAAAGCTGGCTTTTTGAAAAGATAAACAAAATTGATAAACCTTTAGCCAGACTAAGAAAAGAGAAGACTCAAATAAATAAAATCAAAGATGAAAAAGGCTACATTACAACTATTACTACAGAAATTCAAGGGATCCCTCCCCCTCCCCCTCCCTCTCCCCACGGTTTCCCTCTCCCTCTCTTTCCACGGTCTCCCTCTGATGCCGAGCCGAAGCTGGACTGTACTGCTGCCATCTCGGCTCACTGCAACCTCCCTGCCTGATTCTCCCGCCTCAGCCTGCCGAGTGCCTGCGATTGCAGGGGCGCGCCGCCACGACTGACTGGTTTTCGTATTTTTTTGGTGGAGACGGGGTTTCGCTGTGTTGGCCGGGCTGGTCTCCAGCTCCTAACCACGAGTGATCTGCCAGCCTCGGCCTCCCGAGGTGCCGGGATTGCAGACGGTGTCTCGTTCACTCAGTGCTCAATGTTGTCCAGGCTGGAGTGCAGTGGAGTGATCTTCGCTAGCTACAACCTCCACCTCCCAGCCGCCTGCCTTGGCCTCCTAAAGTGTGGAGATTGCAGCCTCTGCCCCGCCGCCACCCCGTCTGGGAAGTGAGGAGCGTCTCTGCCTGGCCGCCCATCATCTGGGATGTGAGGAGCCCCTCTGCCCGGCTGCCCAGTCTGGGAAGTGAGGAGTGCCTCTTCCCGGCCGCCATCCTGTCTGGGAAGTAAGGAGCGTCTCTGCCCGGCCGCCCATCGTCTGAGATGTGGGGAGCGCCTCTGCCCCGCCGCCCCGTCTGGGGTGTGAGGAGCACCTCTGCCCGGCCGCGACCCCGTCTGGGAGGTGAGGAGCGTCTCTGCCCAGCCGCCCCGTCTGAGAAGTGAGGAGCCCCTCCACCCGGCAGCCGCCCCGTCTGAGAAGTGAGGAGCCCCTCCGCCCGGCAGCCACCCCGTCTGGGAAGTGAGGAGCGTCTCCGCCCCGCAGCCGCCCCGTCCGGGAGGGAGGTGGGGGGCGCCTCCGCCCGGCCGCCGCCCCGTCCGGGATGTGGGGGGCACCTCTGCCCAGCCGCCCCGTCTGGGAAGTGAGGAGCCCCTCTGCCCGGCTGCCACCCCATCTGGGAGGTGTACCCAACAGCTCATTGAGAACGGGCCATGATGACGATGGCGGTTTTGTCGAATAGAAAAGGGGGAAATGTGGGGAAAAGATAGAGAAATCAGATTGTTGCTGCGTCTGTGTATTAAGAAGTAGACATAGGAGACTCCATTTTGTTATGTACTAAGGAAGATTCTTCTGCCTTGGGATGCTGTTGATCTATGACCTTGCCCCCAACCCTGTGCTCTCTGAAACATGTGCTGTGTCCACTCAGGGTTAAATGGATTAAGGGCGGTGCAAGATGTGCTTTGTTAAACAGATGCTTGAAGGCAGCATGCTCGTTAAGAGTCATCACCACTCCCTAATCTCAAGTACCCAGGGACACAAACACTGCAGAAGGCCGCAGGGTCCTCTGCCTAGGAAAACCAGAGACCTTTGTTCACTTGTTTATCTGCTGACCTTCCCTCCACTATTGTCCTATGACCCTGCCAAATCCCCCTCTGCGAGAAACACCCAAGAATGATCAATTAAAAAAAAAAAAAAAGAAAGAAAGAAATTCAAGGGATCATTAGTGGTTACTATTAGCAACAATTCACCAATAAATTGGAAAATCTAGAAGAAATGGATAAATTCATAGACACATACAACTTACCAAGATTGAACCATGAAGAAATCCAAAACCTGAATAGACCAATAACAAGTAACGAGATCAATGCCATAATAAAATGTCTCCCGACAAAGAAAAGCCCAAGATCTGAAGACTTCACTGCTGAATTCTACCAACCATTTAATGAACTAATAACAATCCTACTCAAACTATTCCAAAAAACAGGGGAAGAGGGAATACTTCCAAACTCATTCTGAGGCCAGTATGATCCTGATAGCAAAACCAGACAAAGACATAGCAAAAAAGAAAAGTAGGGCCCAATATTCCTGATGAATATTAATGCAAACATCCTCAACAAAATACTAGCAAACTAAATTCAGCAACACATTTAAAAGATCATTCATTATGACCCCGTGAGATTTATCCCGGGGATGCAAAGATGGTTCAGTATATGCAAATCAATCAATGTGATACATTATGTCAAGAAAATGAAGGACAAAAGCAATGTAATCATTTTATAAATTTCAACATTTCTTCGTGATAAACACCCTCAAAAAATTGGGTATAGAAGGAACAAACCTCAAAATAACAAAAGCCACATATGACAGACCCACAACTAATATACTGAATGGGGAAAAACTGAAAGCTTTTTCCGTAAGATTTGGAACACGACAAGGATGTCCACTGTCACTACTGTTATTCAACATAGTATTGGAAAGTCCTAGCTAGAGCAATCAGACAAAAGAAATAAAGGGTATCCAAATTGGAAAGGAAGAAGTCAAATTATCCTTGTTTGCAGATGATATGATCTTGTATTTGGAAAAACATAAAAACTCCACAAAAAAACTATTAAAGCTGATAAATTCAATAAAGATGCAGGACACAAAATCAACATACAAAAGTCAGCAACATTTCTATATGCCAGCAGTGAACGATCTGAAAAGAAATCAATAAAGTAATGACATTTACAGTAGCTACAAATAAAATAAAATACCTAGGAATTAACCAATAAAGTGAAAAATCTCTACAATGAAAACTATAACACACTGATCCAAGAAATTGAAGAGGACACCAAAAAAATTAAAAGATATTCCATGTTCATGGATTAGGAGAATCAATATTGTTAAGATGTCCATACTATGCAAAGCAATCTAGAGATTTAATGCAATTCCTACCAAAATACCAATGACATTCTTCACAGAAATAGAAAAAAAAGTCCTAAAATTTATATGCAACTACAAAAGACCCAGAATAGCCAAAGCTATCCTAAGAAAAAGAACAAAACTGGAGCTCTACAGTACAATTATAGTAAAACTATAACTCTATAGTATACTTCAAACTGACTTTAAATTATACTATAGAGCTATAGTTACCAAAATGGCACAGTAACAGCATCAAAACAGACATATAGACCAATGGAATAAAACAAAGAATCCAAAAATAAATCCATACATCTACAGCAAATTCATTTTCAATGAAGGTACCAAAAACATACATTGCGGAAAGGACAGTCTCTTCAATAAATGGTGCTGGGAAAACTGGATATCCACATACAGAAAAATGAAACTAGACCCCTATCTCCCACATTATACAAAAGTCAAATCTAAATAGATTAAACACTTAAATTTAAGACCTCAAACTATGAAACTACTACAAGAAAATATTGAGAGGCCAAGGCGGGCGGATCATGAGGTCAGGAGTTTGAGACCAGCCTGACCAACATGGTGAAACCCCATCTCTACTAAAAATACAAAAAAATTAGTCAGGTGTGGTGACAGGTGCCTGTAATCACAGCTACTCGGGAGGCTGAGGCAGGAGAATCGCTTCAACATGGGAGGTGGAGGTTGTGGTGAGCCGAGATCGCTCCACTGCACTCCAGCCTGGGCGACAGAGTGAGACTCCGTCTCAGAAAAACAAAAAATAAAAAATAAAAAAATAAAAGATCTGAATAGACATTTCTCAAAAGATGACATACAAATGGCAAACAAGTACATGAAAAGGTGCTCAGCATCACTGCACATCAGAGAAATGCAAATCAAAACCACAATGAGATATCATCTCACCCCAGTTAAAATGACTTTCATCCAAAAGACAGACGATAATAAATGCTGGTGAGGATATGGAGAAAAGGGAACCCTCATATAGTGTTGAAGGAAATGGAAATTAATATAACCACTACGGAGAACAGTTTGGAGGCTCCTCAAAAAATTAAAACTAGAACTACCATAAGATTCAGCAATCCTACTCCTAGGTATATACCCAAAAGAAAGGACATTAGTATATGGAGGAGATATCTGCACTCCCATGTTTACTGCAACACTATTCACAATAGCCAAGATTTGGAAGCAACCTAAGTGCCCATCAACAGACATGGGGATATTTAAAAGTGTGGTACATACACACAATGGAGTACTATTCATCTATAACAAAGAATGAGATCCTGTCATTTGCAGCAACACAGATGGAACTGAAGGTCATTATGTTATGTGAAATAAGCAAAGCACAGAAAGACAAACTTTGCATGTTGTTACTTATTTGTGGGAGCTAAAAATTAAAACAACTGAACTCACTGAGATAGAGAAGGATGGTTACCAGAAGCTGGGAAGGGTAGTGAGGGAATTAGGGGGAAGTGGAGATGGTTAACGGGTTTAAAAAAAAAAAAGTCAGAATGAATGAATAAGGCATATCTGCTAGCACAACAGGGTGACTAGTAAAAAATAATGTAATCGTACATTTGAAAATGGCTAAAAGAGTATAATTGGATTGTTGTAACACAAAGGATGAATGTTTAAGGTGACGGATACCCCAGGTACACTGATGTGATTATTATGTATTGTGTACCTGTATCAAAATATTTCATGTAACCCATAAATATATTCACCTACTATGTACCCACAAAAATTAACAATTAAAAAAACCTCTCCTTTCTACTATTTTGTGTCCTGGTGGTCTTTTGGATGGCAATATAAACATATATACACTTACATACATTTTAAGTAAATTTTAAAACACATAAAATAATATTTTAGAAAGCATATAAACATAACAAAATAAATTTAAGTTGATAAAATATGACTACTTTTAAAAATGGGATTCTGTGTATAATTTCATTTGGAATTGGGAAACTATTATTAAAGAGTTTGATAGCTGTGATCTTCTTCAGGTCCCAGACTAATAGATGTGTTTTGTTTGGATATCACTTTATTGTTAAACATTCTGAATTTGAATGTCTGTAGACAGGGCTGCTACTCTTCAGTTTACCACAGGCTCTACCTTACCCTTTTTGTTCTTTCCCTTTTATTGATACATAATAATTTCCATATTTGTGAGGTACACGTGAGTGTTTCTTACATGCAAAGAATGTGTAATGATCAACTCAGGGTAATTGGGGTCTCATCACCTTGTGTGTTTATCATTTTTATGTGTTGGTATTATTTCAAGTTCTTTCTTCTAGTTCCTTTGAAATATACATAATATTGTTGCCAAGTATAGAAGTATAGTCACCCTAGTCTGCTGTCAAACATTATAACTTGTCTCTTCCATCTAACTCTGTTTGCACCCAGAACCAACTTCCATTTATCCCCCACCCCCCGCCACCCCCACTCTTCCCAGTCTCTGGTGTCTATCTTCCCCACCTTCTTGTGTGAAACTGGGTTACATTACCAAATCTTAATGAAGTGGCATCGTTTGTCTTGGGTAAACACCTGAGGTTCATCATCTCACGCCAAGGAAATTGAGTACATGGACACACAAGAAGTAGGTTTAGGAGCTGAGATGTAATAGGCAAAAGTAAGAGAAAGGAGAATAGCTCTCTATCCTGTGAAGGAGAGAGGTGCCCCAGTGGGACTTCAGCTGCGAGGAGTGCACCAGATTTTATAGACTGGCTTGAGGAGGCAGTCCCTGATTTACATATTGCCCACAGATTGGTTGGATTCGGTATGACGTTTACATAGCGCTAGGAAGCTGTCCACCCGACCCTAATCTTGCTTATTACGCAAATGAGCTTGCCACTTGGTGGGCGCCATGTTGTCTGCTCCTTACCGCACACGTGGTTGGCAAGGAAAAGGAAAGATGGAGCTGTCATTTTGAACATGCCTAGTCCCCAGGTAGCCCTTTCTTGCTGGCACAACTGCTGGCATTCACTCGTGCAAGCTTCTAGCTTGCCTTTGAATGTCTGCAGCTCGATTTTATAGGCTGCTCTTTGTTAGAAAAGAAAATGATTTGTGGGCTGCTTTTCATTAAAAGGATGAGGAGGACTTCCATATCCTCGCTATCTACTTAAAATAATTTATTCTTAACTCCTATATCATTAACATCTGCCTTATCCCTGGAGACACCTGAAATTTCTATCAAATTATACAGAGAGGAAAAAAACTTGTCTAAAGCCCAACAAGTATTTGTTAACTTGAAAAAAACCAAGGTGGCTAAGTGCTCTTATAGGGAATAATCTCTAAAGTGAGAATCGAGTACAGGCTGATCATGGCGGGAGTTGAGGTCAGATGTTAGAGGGTCTTGGAGGTGAGCTGAGAATTCTGGCTTTGACCCCATGGGGAATGGGAAACCACTGAATGTTGAATTGTAAAGGATTTAGAATGGTTAGGGAGGTTCTAGGAAGTGCCTCTTTAAAACCAAAGGTAAAATAATTTGTTCTAGATGAGATTAGGAGAACTAGGACAGGTTAAAGCAAGGCAGGTAAGTATGCCCTGTGGTTAGTATTAATGGAGAGAAGCACTGGGTGTGTCTGCCAAGGGAATTTGGGAAAGTCTTCAAGAAAAACTATGGGTTAGATCCATTCTAGCATGTTAGCTGTGTTTTTTGTTGTTGTTGTTTGTTTTTTTAGTGGTTATTAGTATTCCAAAGAACATTCATAAACAAGAATTTAACTGGTTTCTTGGGAGCCCCAAGCAAGCCCCAAGCATGGGCCATTCAACCCAGAGAATGACTCATAGGCCATAAGCTAAATGACCAGGGCCAAGGTTGGGTTTGCTGGGTTCTATGGGGAGGATAAAAACAGGAGCCACAGAGAATCAACAGGAAGGTCACACTCCAGGATGCCTGGGCAAGCCAGGAAGTTGCTTAATTGGGTTGAGTGGACAAGAGGTAATAAAATCACTGGTATTTATTGAGGCTTTTTTATGTGCCAGGCATTGTGCTAAACCTTTTATAGGAATTTCTCTTCCTGAATCTTCTCACTACTGTATAAGTATAGGCACCATTGTGCCCATTCTAAGAAGGAGAAAACTGGGATAGAGAAGTTAAAACCATTTGTTCTTTGAACTGATTCCTGTTGATGGGATAAATTGAAAAGTATAATTGGATTTTTAATGCTTCTCTCCTCAGAGGAAATGAGAAAGTTTGGTATCTTTATTCTAGTACACACTTGCAGTGAAATAGTGAGATAAGAAAGGTAGTGGGCTGGTGCCTTTTGTCCCTTGGCATCCATTGATCCTTCCTCCAGTAACAGCACCTGGGTTTCCCTCTGCAGGACCACTCCTCCCATGCTCAGGGCCTGTGTTTGTCTCAAATGACTCTACCCCCAGCTTCAGGGATAAGAATGTCCTGCAGCCTGGACAGTTCGTGCATTGCATTCTCTGTCCCAGGGAGGCAACAGCTGTTCCTCCCAGCTGTTCTAAAACACAGATGGCCTGTGGAGGAAGAGTCAGGACAATTAAATAGGCACGAGATCTGGGAGAAAACAGCTCCATATTTTTTCCAAACTGTGCTACTAGGCCAGTATCTATTTTTCTGAATAGCTAACATTCTCTTAGAAATGGTACATTTATTGTAATCTCCCAGCACTTTGGGAAGCTGAGGTGGGTGGATCACTTGAGGTCAGGAGTTCAAGACCATCCTGGCCAACATGGTGAAACCCTGTCTCTACTAAAAATACAAAAATTAGCTGGGTGTGGTGGTGCATGCCTGTAGTCCCAGCTACTTGGGAGGCTGAGGCAGGAGAATTGCTTGAACCTGGGGGGCGAAGGTTGCAGTGAGCCGAGATCATGCCACTGCACTCCAGCCTGGCAACAGAGTGAGACTCCATCTCAGAAAAAAAAAAAAAAAATGAAATGGTACATTTATAGCTAGACCATAAGCTCTATGTAGGCAGGGAGGTTGCCCAGCTGCATCCCAGCACCCAGTACAGTAAATGGTAGGTGTTTCATAAATGATTGTTGGATAATTGAATGAGTCAGACACTTATTCATTATTTACTGAATCACAGCTTCAGAGAGGGAGACCTAGAGGTCTTTTAGTCTAACTTCTCCCACTTTACAGAAGAAGGAACCAGGGCAAGGTGACTCCTAGTGAGATCATAACTGAGTGAGAATTAAATTCCATGTCTCCCCTCCCCAATCCCTGGGTTTACAATACCAGGCTTCCCAAGGTAGAATGCTTAGCATATTTTTGTTGGGTAGATTATTTCAGCATTATATAACACTGAATCCACATAGTGACCAAATTGTTTCCTTTTAAAGTCTTTTTATTTTTCTTTTCTTTTTTTTTTTTTTGAGACGGAGTCTCACTCTTTCGCCCAGGCTGGAGTGCAGTGGCACGATCTTGGCTCACTGCAACCTCCACCTCCCAGGTTCAAGCAGTTCTCTGCTACAGCCTCCCAAGTAGCTGGGATTACAGGTGCCCACCACCACGCCCAGCTAATTTTTGTATTTTCAGTAGAGACAGGGTTTTACCATGTTGGCCGGACTGGTCTTGAACTCCTGACCTTGTGATCCACGTCTCTCGGCCTCCCAAAGTGTTAGGATTACAGGCGTGAGCCACTGTGCCTGGCCAAGTCTTTTTTTTTTTAGACAAGGTCTTGCTCTGTCACCCAGGCTGGAGTGCAGTGAATGGCTCATTGCAGCCTCCTACTCCTGAACTTAAGGGATTCTCCTACCAGATCCTCCACAGTAGCTGGGACTACAGGTGGGCACCACCAGACTTAGCTAATTTTCTTATTTTTTTGCAGAGACAGGGTCTCACTGTGTTGCCCAGGCTGGTCTTGAACTCCTGAGATCAAGCAATCCTCCTGCCTTGGCCTCCCAAAGTGCTAGGATTAGAGGGGTGAGCCACCATGCCTGGCCTGCACTTGCACTTGACTAGTCTTAAAAAAAAAAAAAAAAAAGAATAAAGAATAGCCTTTTCCAAGGCTTCTGATCATAAAGAGGAGAAAGTCTTAGTTTGGAGCTAATAAGTTGCTAACACCTTTCTAACACTTGCTAATCTTTCCTAGAGCCCTCACAACTAACAGCATTAATTAATTAATTTTATTTTATTTTATTTTATTTTTAGATGGAATCTCGTTCTTTTGCCCAGGCTGGAGTGCAGTGGGTGTGATCTCAGCTCACTGCAACCTCCACCTCCCAGGTTCCAGGGATTGTCCTGTCTCAGCCTCCTGAGTAGCTGGGATTACAGTCGCCCGTCACCACGCCCAGCTAATTTTTTGTATTTTTAGTAGAGATGGGGTTTTGCTATGTTGGCCAGGCTAGTCTCAAACTCCTGACCTCAAGTGATCCGCCCGCCTCAGCCTACCAAAGTGCTAGAATTACAGGCATAAGCCACCATGACTGGCCCTAATAGCATTAATTTAATTTGATATTGTTATATTGTTTTATAAATATTTTCAAGCACACCCCAAAGAGAATAATATAATTAAGCTTCCATGGACCATCACCTAGCTTGAATTACTATCAACCTTCTATCAGTTTATTTTACATACCCACCCCCATCACATACCTTTTCCCAGGAGTAATTCAAAATAAATCCCATATATTATATCATGATACCCATAAATATTTCAGTATCTATAGCTAATAGATAAGGTCTTTCTTTTCAACATAGCCACATCGCCCTCATCTCATCTAACAAAATTAAAGTAGTTCCTTAATTAGCCATCTGTGGTGCTGCACGCCTGTAGTCCTAGCTATGGAAGGCTGAGACGGGAGGATTGCTTGAGCCCAAGAGTTTGAGGTCAGCCTGGGCGACATTGCAAGGCAAGGCCTCTAAAAAAACAGGAGAAAAAAGTAATCCCCTAATATCATTCGATACTCAGTCTGTGTTCAAATTTTCTGTTTTCTGAAAAATGCCTATTTAAATTTAGTTGCCTTGAATCAGGCTACAAAGAAGCTCGTGCTTTACACTGTATTCTTTTTTTTTTTTTTGAGACAGAGTTTCACTCTTGTTGCCCAGGCTGGAGTGCAATGGCGCGATCTTGGCTCACTGCAACCTCTGCCTCCCGGGTTCAAGGGATTCTCCTGCCTCAGCCTCCCAAGTAGCTGGGATTACAGGTGCCAGCCACCACACACAGCTAATTTTTGTATTTGTTAGTAGAGACGGGGTTTCACCATGTTGGTCAGGCTGGTCTTGAACTCCTGACCTCAGGTGATCCACCTGAAGTGCTCCCAAAGTGCTGGGATTACAGGCTTGAGCCACCACCGCGCCCGGCCTACACTTTATTCTTATGGTTCATTTAATCTATTAGAGATCCTCCCTTCACTCCCCACCTTTTGTCATGCCATTCATTTATTGAAGAAATCATGTTATTTGTCTTGCAAAATTCACCATATTCTGGTTTGGCTGATTTAATTCTTGTGTTTTTAGACACATTTCTCTATTCCTTTGTATTTCCCATAAACTGGTAGTTACACTCAGGTTAATTTCTTTTGCCATAAGTACTTCCTATGTCATGGTGTGCACATTTTATTACATCACACCATGAAGAACAAGATGTCTCTTTGTCCCACACTTAGTGATGTTAAGATTATTGAATTCGGATGTGAGGACGATCTGGCTACGATATGTGTCACCTCATTGACCGCCAGGGTTGATTTGGCTGCTCTGGCTGGCTAGGCAGGTGTCCCTGTCCTTCCTCACCACTCCATGCACGTCCCCCTGAAGCTGAGTGCTAGGTCTGAGAGGATGACCATCCCAGACAGAGCTGGACTGGTCTTCAGTCAAGGGTGTACAAACAGCTGCACTCCCCTGCTAGAACCTCCAAACAAACTATCAAGATTATTGAACTGGTTCAAGTACTGTTGTCCTGGCCCATCCATTACATGGTTCCTCATCGACCTCTCATTCCTTAATCGTTACTTTGACCCATTACTCTTAGGGGCTGCAAAATGTTGATCTTCAATTTCTAACAATGCTTCCTCAATGTTTTAAGGAAGAACTTCCCCTTGAGAAAGAAAAGTAGCTCAGAGCTGTCCAAAGAATGTGGAGTGTGCAAAATTTATCAGGCTGTGAGAGACCATGAGTATGAGACAGTCTTGACACCCACCCCCTTCCACTCCCATTTTCCAGGGACAATTGTTTAAAGGCATTTTTTTCTTTCTTTCCTTCACCAAAGCTTCCAGACTAGTTGATAAATAACCTAAACTGTTACCATAAGTTGCACTATGTGACCTTTACCCATTATCTTTATGTTCCTGGAATTTGTGGTGCAAAAGAACGTTGTATAGCCAATCAATAGCTTATGTTATTTTAATGTAAATTTAATTATACAAAACACTTAATAGTTCCAAAGTTAAAACTATATAACAAAGTAATCAGAGAACACTAGCTTTTTATCAACAACATTTTCTCTCTCCCTAAGGTAACCATCTCTATTAATTTTTAGTTTTACCTTTCAGTTGCTTCTTTTTGGGTATGTGAGCAAATGCACATGTGCATGTTTTTATTTTTCTCTCTCTTGCAGTCTAAACATTGCTCTGCACTTTGTTTTTAATGGTTTGTTCACTTTTTACTAATATTCCCTGAAGCTCATTCTATAGCATTATATAAAAATTATTCATCCCTTTTTACATTTGGTTAGAACGTAATAGCATAATTGTATTATCACTGTCAATTACTTTCTCTTTATGACAAGTGTATCAGCCAGGTTCCTGGCAGAAAACAGATGGCACTTTCAAAATGGGTAATCTGAGAATTTCATCAAGGGACTATTTATAAAGATGTGGGCCCTGTGTATGTAAATCACAAGGACAGTGCAGTCCTCTAGGGACAGCTGCAGCAAGGTGCCTGAGGGGTAAGGGAGAGTGGGTACTAGAACCAGAGAGAGGGCCAAGGAACAGGAGCTCAGCCCTTGGGTTGAAGAACACAGCCAGTCTGCTGTGATCCTCTAGGGAAGGGGATGGGGAAAGAAAGATTCTAACTTCACTCTTGTTTCTCCCTCTTCCCAGTCGCCTACTGATGCTCCCCACTGGCCAATCCCAGATGGAAACAGAGGCCATGGGAGCTCATGGGTGTGGGCCATAAGGTCAGCCCCTCTGGCCTAGAGAGCAGTTGGGGAGGGGCAGAGAGTGGATCTGAGGGGATATGTGGACACACTTGGCAAATTATACTCTTTTTTCAGTGTTATGATATAAGGTTTTCTTTAAGTTAAATTTATTTAGATTAAAAAAAAGTTGAAATTAAGTAATTCTGTAGGTGTTATGAGGATATGGCAACAAAGGTAAAGATGGTACCAGATGACTGAAGTCTCAGAAGTCCTGCTCTGGACCACTACTCCTTCTATTTTAGATATTGGCCTCCCCTCCCTCCTGCCCCTTCCCTGGCTGCCTTTCCCGTGGCCCTTTGAGAGCCTCTGAGAAACATTACGGAATGATATTTTTAATTGGAAAGCACAGGAGAGGCCCAGAAGAGTCCTTGGGTGAAGGGGTTGGCGAGCCTCTGAAATGGATCTATATACTCCCGGGCATCCCACGGCACCGGGCCCCACCCAGACCCACTCCCGTGGCTGCCCTCCCATGAGCACAAGGTGGCTTTCTTATTTTTTGGCCAGCTGAGCGGCTGAGGGAAGCTGGATGCCGCCTGCCTTTGGGGCCAAAACTCTGGGCTGGAAACTGAAAATGACCTTAAGGTGTAAATATCCCAGGCCTGGATTCAGTCCAAGCTGCACTTGGCCCTCACAAGCCAGTCATATAGCCTGAGGGGCTAAGAATGATCTCAGAGAGCCAAGTGCAGTGGCTCACGCCTGTAATCCCAGCACTTTGGGAGGCTCAGGCAGGCAGATCACGAGGTAAGGAGTTCGAGACCAGCCTGGCCAACATGGTGAAACCCCGTCTCTACTAAAAATACAAAAAAAAATTAACTGAGCATGGTGGCACTCACCTGTAGTCCTGGCTACTCGGGAGGCTGAGGCAGGAGAATCGCTTGAACCCGGGAGGTGGAGGTTGCAGTGAGCCAAGATCATGCCACTGGACTCCAGCCTGGGCAACAGAGCGAGACTCCATCTGAGAAAAAAAAAATTGTCTTGTGTGTTTATTTATGGGCCTGTTCTCTATTGCCTTCTCCCCAGAATGTAAGTGCCATGAAAGCAGGGACCTCGTCTGTCTTTGTCTCCACTGTAGCTCTTGTGCCTCACACAATACCTACATTTGTTTCACAGTGATGATGTTTCCATTATCAATAACTCACCATAGGAATTTTATATTTGTTTTACCATAATTTTAAAAATCAGCCTTAATAGTTACAAAAATTAGAAAGTTTAAGAAATAATGTTACAGTTAATTTTCAAGAATTTTACTGACTCCCACAGCGCTTGGATTACAGGTGCCAGCCAGTGTACCTGTCCTTGCTTTCTTGATGTTTTCTCTCTCTAGTGGTTTTGCTTCTTTCACAGTCTCTCTTTGCCTTTCCCTCTATGACTATTTTAAAAATGTAAAATGGGCTGGGCATGGTGGCTCACACCTGTAATCCCAGCACTTTGGGGGACGGAGATAGGAGGATTGCTTGAGCCCAGGAGTTCAAGAGCAGCCTACGCAACATAGTGAGACCCCCTCCCCCGCATCTCTATAATAGTAAAAAAATAGCTGGGCCTAGTGGTGTGCATCTGTAGTCCCAGCTACTCTGGAGGCTGAGGAAGGAGGATCACTTGAGCCTGAGAAGTCAAGGCTGCAGTGAGCCATGATCGCACCACTGCTCTCTAGCCTGGGCGACAGAGTGACACTCTGTCTCAAAAAGATAAAAATTAAAATAAAAAATAAAAGTATAAAATAACACATGATTATATTCTCATAAGAAATTGAAGTGCCTGCACAGTGGCTCACGCCTATAATCCCAGCAATTTGGGAGGTCGCAGCAAGAGCATCACTTGAGCCCAGGAGTTCAAGACCAACCTGGGCAACATAGAGAGACTCTGTCTCTAAATGAAAAAGAAAAGAAAAGAAAGAAATTCAAGATAGAAGTATAAATAAATAAATATAAAAGTCCCTCCCCTTCACCTCCATTTTCACTCCAATGTATCCCTTCCCCAGAGGCTAACATTACTTCTGGTGTTTTGTGCATGCATGGCTGATCTTGATCTCTGCTGCTAGCCTTTCTGTCTCTCTCTCTCTCTCTGACTCTGTGCATGGGTTCACTGGGTCTCAGTCCCTCTAACCTTTGTTTCTTCTGTTTCTCTGTGTGTCTCTTTCTCTGGCCTCTCTCAGTGTCCCTATGTCTCTTTCCCTTTCTATCTCTGCCTCTGCCTCTCACTCTGTCTCTTTCTTCATCTCTGTCTCATTCTATTTCTGCCTCTCTTATCAGAATACAGTTTTTAACAGTTAAAAACATGACTCATAAAAAATGAATAAAAATGAATAAAAAATGAGCACATGTTAATGATTTTTTTAACCCATTAATGAGGGAATAAGCAGCATGGTAAAGTTGGTTCAAAGAGAATTCAAAAAGAGATTATACAGCTACTGCATTGAAAGAATGCTGGAAAAAGGCTGCTGGGTAATATACAAAACCGGTTAACGCCCTGCAAGGCATTTGCACTGTCACCTCTGGGGTTCTTTTTTTTTGTTTTGTTTCTAATGGACAGAAACCTGCAAGTTAACATGTAACTTCAAAGTCAGAGCCCTCATCAATAGTAGGTAGCACAACCCCTAGAGAAGATGATCCCTGGATGGACTTGTCAGACCATGTTCCAGTCTAACACTGAGAGGACATGCAGTCACCCTTTTGCTTTGTTGCTAAGTTTCAGGTAAGTTTTCTTTGCATTTGTTTCTGTGTCTGTCTCATCTCTCTGTCTCTCTGTCTCCCACCTCTGTCTCTCTCTCTTTTTTTTTTTTTTTTTTTTGAGACGGAGTCTTACTCTGTCGCCAGACTGGAGTGCAGTGGCGGGATCTCCACTCACTGCGACCTCCACCTCCTGGGTTCAAGTGATTCTCCTGCCTCAGCCTCCCGAGTAGCTGGGGCTACAGGCATGCGCCACCACGCCCAGCTAGATTTTTTTTTTTTTGTATTTTTAGTAGAGATGGGATTTCACCATGTTGGCCAGGATAGTCTCGGTCTCTTGACCTCGTGATCTGCCCACCTCGGCCTCCCAAAGTGCGTGAGCCACTGTGCCCGGCCATTCTTTTCTTTTCTTTCTTTTTTTTTTTTTTTGAGATGGAGTCTCTCTCTTTCACCCAGGCTGGAGTACAGTGGCATGGTCTGGGATCACTGAAACCTCCGGCCCTCAGGTTAAAGCGATTCTCATGCCTTAGCCTCCCGAGTAGCTGGGATTACAGGCGCGTGCCACCACATCCAGCTAAGTTTTATATTTTTAGTAGAGATGGGGTTTCGACATGTTGGCGTGGCTTGTCTCAAACTCCTGACCTCAGATGATCCACCCGCCTTGGCCTCCCCATGTGCTAGGATTACAGGCATGAGCCACCATGCCTGGCCTCTGTCTCTCTCTTAATCATGGCAGACTCTCAGTGTCTGTCTCTCCCTTCCACTGTCTGACTCTGTCTGTCTTCCTTTGTCTCCTTTCTCTGTCTTGATTTAACAAACTTATTTTAATCACTTTCCCTTAGGGGTTGATCATGAGCCAGGACCTGCACCAGGAGCTACAGGGAGAGGACAGAGCTGAATCCAACATGCCCTTGACACTCTTTGTTTCTTTGCAGAATTGAAAGGAAATCAAATGGAAGTTCTGAGTGCTGGGAGAAGAGGAGCTGAGGGTGTGGGGACGTGGCAGGGAAAGGGAGGGCCAGCAAGCTGCAGTGGGCTGGAGTGAGCTCCCAGCTTCGGCTGGCTGGGCGGAGATGATTTCACACCACAAAAATGTCTGAATCAGGAGAATAACCTAACTTGGGATGGGGCTGGGAAGCGAGCCGTTCAGTGGGAGACGGGGGAGCTGGAGAGCTCAGCATTGGGCCAGATGGGGTGGCTGGCTATGATTTGTCCTGACCCTTGGGTCTCCCTAATGATCTTAGGAAAGAAACAATTCTTCTCCCATGCTGCAAGTGAAAGGGCAGAGTCCAGCCTCTAGAGAGATAGCAAGATAGACTTAGGGCTGCAACCCTGAAGAATCATGAAGTCTCTGCCAGCAAACTCAGGGATTTGAGTAAGGAATTCAGGGGAGGGAGAGAAGCAGGAGACAGAAAGAGGAGGAAAACACTGAATTTAATGGTCAAAAGGCCTTTAAGTTACATGGCCTCGTGAGTTTCAAGCATTTTATTAGCTGCAGAATCCTCGTTTACAATTAACATAGCAAAACAACAGCTGCCTCTAAGGGGTTCTCAGGAGGATCTGAACCCCATCATCTTGGTTCTCATCACCCACTGCCTGGAAACTATAACTTAACCCAATAGCCTCATTTTACAAATGAGCAAAATGGCTGGGCACAGTGGCTCACGTCTGTAATCCCAGCACTTTGGGAGGCTGGGGCAGGTGGATCACTTGAAGTCAGGAGTTCGAGACCAGTCTGGCCAACATGGTGAAACCCTGTCTCTACTAAAAATACAAAAATTAACTGGGCGTGGTGGCGGGTGCCTTTAATCCCAGCTACCCGGGAAGCTGAGACAGGAGAATTGCTTGAATCCAGGAGGCAGAGGTTGCAGTGAGCCGAGATCACACCATTGCACTCCAGCCTGGGCAACCAAGTGAGACTCCATCTCAAAAAAAAAAAAAAAAAAAAAAAATGAGCAAAGTAAGGCCCAGAACGAGAAAAGGATTTGCCCATATCATTTAATGATTGGGTGAGGAGCCCAGGTCTCTCGAATCCTTGTCCGGTGCTCATTTTGTTTATCTATCTATCTATCTATCTATCTATCTATCTATTTATTTTTGAGACAGGGTCTCGCTCTGTTGCCCAGGCTGCAGTACAGTGGCATGATCTCAGCTCACTGCAACCTCCACCTCCTGGATTCAAGTGATTCTCATGCCTCAGCCTCTTGAGTAGCTGGGATTAGAGGCATGCACCACCACATCTGGCTAATTTTATATTTTTAGTAGAGAAGGGGTTTCACCATGTTGGCCAGGCTGGTCTTGAACTCCTGACCTTAGGTGATCCCTCTGCCTTGGCCTCCCAAAGTACTGGGATTACAGGCATGAGCCACCGCACCTGGCAGTTTTTTTTTTCTTTCAAATAGGGTTTCACTTTGTTGCCCAGGCTAGAGTGCAGTGGCAGGATCACACCTCACTGCAGCCTTGACCTCCTTGGGCTCAAGTGATCCTGCCACCTCACCCTCCTGACTAGCTGGGATCTCAGGCCCATGCCACACCAGGCTAATTTTTGTATTTTTTGTAGAGCCAGGCCTCCCTGTGTTGCCCAGGCTGGTCTTGAACTCCTGGGCTCAAGTGATCTGCCTGCCTTGGCCTCGCAAAGTGCTCGGATTACAGGCGTGAGCCACAGCACCTGGCCTCTGGTTTTTCCTTTCGGGGAGATGCTGGGCTAATAGATGGAGTCTCTTCCTCCAGCTTCGGGGTGGACATAGGGACTGCCAGCTGCCTGCCTGCCCAGAGTGACCAAACTGAAAGCTTCCAGCAAGCAGGCTCGAGTCTTCCGTGGCTTCTGCTTGGATCTTGGAACTCTCCCCCTTCCCACAGAGCCCTGGAGAGCTTGCGATGCTCTGGGTCTTTGGATAGATCACCCCCTCTCTCCAGGGTTCATTTTTCTTCACCTGGAGAGCCAGTGGGCTGAAAATAAATGAGTGCATTCCAAACTTTTTTTTTTTAATTAACGAAACCGCCTTTGGAAATGAAATCTTACAAGACTATACTTTCAGGGATTATTTGTATAGTTCGTTACTAGAGAAGTTTCTCTGAAACGTAAATTAAAATTTTATTAAAAATTAAAAAATAAAAACAAAGTACAAATAAAAATAAAAAAGAAATGAAATTTTAGACAAAAGCCCAATATTTCAAACAGACAAAGGCAGTTCTGTCGTGGTTGAAGCAAGGACGGACGAGGGGTCTGAAGATCCGCCTCCTTGGCCTTCTTTCTGTCCTCTTAAGACTGCTGCATGAAACTCCCAGAGCTCCACAGAATGCAGTTGGAAACTGACATGGGAAATCTCGAAGAATCATGACAAGAAGCTCCTGTCTGAGGAAAGGTACAGGAGCCAGGAGTGGGAGAGATGACATGAAGCCGCAGTGCTGGATCAGCCTCAGATGACAGTGAGGGCTGCCTTGTCTCAGGCAGTGGAGAAGAAGAGACGGGTGGGGGAAGGGGATGGGGCTGAGCTGCTTAGTCCAGATCGCCCTTCCTCGTCAGCCATCTGCCCCAGCCCAGAGACCCCAGAGGACGGAGCGTTCAGGCTACCTCTCAGGCTGACTGAGTCATGCAGCATAGGCTGCCACGTCTCTGGGCTGGCGGGGCCGTCATTATTCCTGGCCTCACTGCAGCTAAATTGAAGAAACGTTTGGTTTGTGGGCCACGTCAAGGAATGTGTAAGAGCTGCCACGTTGTCGGGTCTGGGTTATTGGGCTTTTCCCCTCCTTCAGAGAAGATTTCCAGGCGTGTGGGTGGGGTTTCAGAAGAAAATTGATGCCTGCGTGTGAGTGTTCCCTGGACCTGGACCAGCAGCGGCAATATTACAGACCCGGGGGTTGGGGCAGACTGAGCCAATCTGGTGCCGAGCTCCTCCGACCCTCCCCAGAGCAGCAGGGAGCCCTGCACCGTCAAAGTTATGGATACAGAGCCCTGGAAAAAGGCTGAAGGGCTGTGAAACCAATAGTACAAATCTTTAACCTTTGGAGAGTGATTGGCCACATCAAGAGCCGAAGGTGTTTTCTCAGTGTGGTTTAATAAAAAGAGCAGTAGGTCGAAGAGTTAGTTAGCTTGAGTCAAGCCCCAGCTCTGCTATTTATTGGCCGGGAGACCCAGGCCAGCTCACTTTACCTTTCTGAACCTCAGTTTCTTCTTCAAACGAGGGTGTTGGAGCAAATAAACATTCCCCCAAGGAGTTTGTTAGGAAACGAAGTTCTGTGGAATGCATTAAAAATTCATGAAAAAGAGGACTCTGTGATAGCTTTAACAGAGTTCAACAGGTTTCTTTTCAGCAGACATTTTCAGAGCTTTTAAGGTTTCAAGGTGCCTCAGGAATATCCACGAGGAAGGTAGTGAGTGCTGCATTTCACAAACGTGCTTGAACCCAGGGTCCCCCTATCTTTCTGGAATATGTTATAGGACTAATATTTTGTGAAACACACTTTGGAAAATGTTGAATTAGATAATCTACTTATAAGATAGCTGACATTTATGAAGTGCTTCATTCATGTAGCAGTGGGCCAAATGCGTTACATATATGATCTCATTTAATCCTCACAAGCACCTCACAAGAACTTTACACTTGAGGAAGCTGAGGCTGGAGGTTGATAACATGCCTCAAGTCTTCTAGAGTTAAATAACTTTGACCCAGGACCCAAGCCCAGAGTTCTGACTCAAAAACTAGGCCTCCTAAACATCCTCTTATATTTGCTGACTCCCTAAAATCTATGTTCACTTGAATCTTACACTGACTTTGTACCCAGGAGAGTGAAATATTTTAATCATGCTCATTTTACAGATAAGAACACTCAGGTTTGGAAAGGAAAAGTGAGCTGCTTAAGGTCAGAGTATAAGCAGGGCCTCAGGGCACAGGTCCTACTAAGGGAAGAACCCAAATCAGAACTCAAATGAGTGCTTCTTTCTCCTCGGGTGATGCTATGGTTGGAACATGTACCCCTAAAAGCATGTGTTGAAAACTTAATCCTCAATGCAGCAGTGTTGGGAGGTGGGGCCTATCGGGAGATGCTTAGGTCATGAGGGCTCTGCCCTTACGAGTTGATTAACATCAATTAGGGTTTGAGGTTGCAAGTTCTATCTCTTGCTCTCTTTCTCTCCCTCTCTTTGCCCTTCTACCATGGCATGATACAGCATGAAGACCTTTGCCAGATGCTAGTCCTCAATCTTGGACTTCCCAGCTCCAGAATCATGAGCCATTAAATTTCTGTTTATTATAAATCACCCAGTTCCAGGTATTCTGTTATAACAACACAAAAACAGACTAAGACCAGTGGGTTTGTGTCAACATGTCAACATGAAAAGGTGCAGCCAACGCATTATTAACATTTGTCACCTCAGTGGAGAGGGAGCCTCTGTGAGAAGGCGGTGCCTTGGTAAACTCTTACTGGGACCCTGGGTGGAGGCAGTGGGTGCAGTGGAAAGAGTCTTGACTGTTAAGAGTTTGGGAGCTTTCATTTCAGCCCCACCATGGGCCAACTGTGTGACTTTGGGCAAGTCTGTCTGTCTGCCCGCCCAAGCCCAAAATGGGCTTAGTGAATCCTGACCTTTCTACTTTGTAGACTAAATGTGCCACTCAATAAGATTAGGGTGATAAAAGTCCTTTGTGGGCCAGACACGGTAGCTCACGCCTGTAATCCCAGTACTTTGGGAGGCTGAGGTGGGCAGATCACTAGGTTAGGAGTTCAAGACTAGCCTGGCCAACTTGGTGAAACCCTGCCTCTACTAAAAAATACAAAAAATTAGCCAGGCCTGGTGGCACACGCCTGTAATCCTAGCTACTCAGGAGGCTGAGGCAGGAGAATTGCTTGAACCCAGGAGGTGGAGGATGCAGTGAGCCAAGATTGTGCGACTATGCTCCAGCCTGGGTGACAGAACGAGACTCCGTCTCAGAAAAAAAAAAAAAAAAAGTCCTTTGTGAGCTACAAAGAGCTAAAGGAGAAACCTTCAACTGCTCAGTGGGTGTGTTGCAAGTGGGGAGGGTGCTGAGGTTAAATTTCATCTTCCTCTGTTTGGCCTTGGCCTGGTTGGTGGATGCTCTGCTTCGGGGACCCAGGGCCAGATGACAATGGGTTCTTTGTGCCCTTCAGACAATGGGAAGGGCTGCCTGGGGAAAGATACAGTAACAAGGCAACAGGCTGAGTCAGCCTCCAATGTGCTTGAACCTTCTTAGCTTGGCAGCCTTGACATTCAGCCAGCCACACAAAGGGTATATTTGAGAGTTCTGATACATAATCCCCATCCCAAAGAGGTCAGCCTGCCCAGTCCCTCCCTCCGGAGATTTGGAACAGGCCAGAGCTGGCTTCAGCCTGGGAGAGAGAGGCCCCAGGCCTAGCTGTCCACACTGTAACCTTGGGCTCTTTAAACCTCAATTTTCCCAGCCACACATGGAAAATCTGGGATTGAATAGGGCTAAAGGGCCCTGTCAGTTCTAAGCTTTGAAAAAATAGAAGCGATCCAATCTGAGCTTGAAGGATGAATGGGTTTGGGTTTGGGGCCAGTGGGGGCAGGGAGGCAGCCATGGCCAGAAGGGCAGAATGGGCAGTTGAGTACCTGGGGAAGTCATGGAGAGAGGGCTCTGGAGTGGAGCTACCTGTGTGTGTTCCTGGCTTCTCCACTGTGGGACCTTGACCAAGTGATTTAGTTCTCAGAACTTTTCTTTACTCATCTTTAAAATGAGAATGGTAATTGTACCCATCTATGGTAGACAAAGTAATGGCCCCTCCAAAGATGGACGTGCCCTAATCCTCAGAACCTATAAACAGGCTATCTTACATGGCAGAGGGGGCTTTGCAGATTAATTTAAGGATTTAAAGGTGGGAAGATTATTTTAGGTTATTTAGGTGGGCCCAATGTAATGACAAGGGTTCTTAAAAGTTGAAGGCCAGAGGGTCAAAGTCAGGAAAAGATGTCAAGGCAGAAGCAGAGTTGGAGTGATGTGCTTAGAAGACAGAGTGAGGGTTCACAAGCCAAGGAATGAGGGTGGCCTCTAGAAACTGAAAAAGGTAAGAAAATAGGCAGGGCACAGTGGCTTATGCCTGTAATCCCAGCACTTTGGGAGGCCCAGGCAGGCAGATCACCTGAGGTCAGGAGTTTGAGACCAGCCTGACCAAAATGGAGAAACCCTGTCTCTACTAAAAATACAAAATTAGCCAGATGTGGTGGCACATGCCTGTAATCCCAGCTACTCTCGAGGCTGAGGCAGGAGAATTGCTTGAACCCGGGAGGTGGAGGTGGCGGTGCGGCAAGATTGCACCATTGCACTCTAGCATGGGCATCAAGAGTGAAACTCTGTCTCAAAAAACAAAACAACAACAACAAAAAGGTAAGGAAACAGATTCTTTCCTCAACAGATTCATCCTTCCTCCGGAAGGAACCCAACGACACCTTGATTTTAGGACTTCTGACCTCCAAAACTATAAGATAATAAATTTGTGTTGTTTTTAAGTCACCAAATTTGTGGTAATTTACTATAGTAATGATAGAAAAACAAATATTCTGCATAAGTGTTGTTGAGTTAAATGAGATAATGGACATAAAGTGTTTTGCCCACCATCTGCTTTGTAATATTGAATATGATTGTCTGCCTTCTCAGTTTAGTGACAATTGCTCCAATGAAACCTGGTCCCTCATGGGCCCTCAAGTTCTCCTATGTAAGTTTTGTTGAGTTTTTTTAACCCGAAAGGCTCACTCAGGAGTTATGACCTGGAGATCTGAACTGCTGAGATCCCGATGCTGTTTTTAATGCATGGCCTTAGGGGATGTTTCTTTGTCCGGCTTTTATTTGTTTAACTTTATGCTTGGTTGCTTTCCTCCTTGCCAGAAGCCAAATCCACAGAGCCTTCCTGCTCTATTTCCAGAGTTCAGACCTCTTGCTCCCTGTGCAAGTATTCCTGTCCCTGTGTAGGAATAGTTTACCTGGCCCCAGTCCAGCTCCCAGAGATGGTTCATCAGGTGGTCCATAGGCTGGTCTCAGAGCTAGTGACAGAGTCTCTGGAGTCAGTGAGCAGAAAGACAAGCAGGTTCTTGGTGTGGTTAAGAATCTGGTTTTTAGCCAGGAGTCAGGAGACCTGGTTTTGAGCCCCAGCTTCCCTGAGTGATAGAGGCCTCAGTTTCTCCATATCTACACTATAGGTTCTAATCCCTACCCTAACTCTTTCACAGGACTGCTGTGGCATTCACTGAGATAGTGGACAAGAAAGTATGTTGAAGTGGCTAAAAGGGTGTAAAAAGGGTAGGAATGAACAACAGGAAAATGGAGGAGAAAAGGACGAGGAAGAACGGGAGGAGATGGGAAATCTCCCCCAGTAGGTAATTCTAGCCACACTTTCAGTTACTTGAAAAAGCCAAGCTCTCCTCACATCAGGGTTTTGGTGCTTGTTCTCCCCTCTCCTTGAGTACTCTTCTCTCAGCCCTTCTCATTGACTCATGCTTCAACATCTTCCTCATCTTGCCTCCTCCAAGATGCCTATGCTAATGACCCTATCTGAAGTCATCCTCCATTGCTTTTTCATTTCATCTTCCTTGTTTCTTCCATAGAACTGATCACAACCTGAAATGAGCTCACGGCCTGCCTTCACCTATTGGAATGTAAAGTGCAAGAGGGCAGAGCCTTGTCTGTCCTATTTATTGCTATATCCCCAGTGCCTGATGCAAAGCACAATAAAGACTGAATGAACGAACGAGGTAGCTGATGTACTGGGGGTGTACGGAGCCTGGATGGCAGGCACATGTGGACATTTCCCAGGCAGTCCCTTGAGTTCTAAGGCTGTGGCTGGGGTGCTAGGTCAGGAGGGCAGGATCAGGGTAAAGTGAGAAGTGCCTAGAAGAGCATAGCTGGAGAGTGGTTGGAGAGGGCAGTGGGCAGGCAGCAGGGACCCCAATATACTGATGGATTGCTTTACAAGATGAAAAGCTGATTCAGCCTAATGTTGGATCAGCAACATTCTTGACTCGGGAGAGGGGTGTATGGTCTGAAGTCCACGTATGTCAGAGCTGGAGAGGAGTTGAGGGGGAAGTAGCGTGCAGTAGTCAAGCACTTGGGCTCTGGTGTCCCTTAAACCTGGATTTGAATCTCTGATTTACCATATACTTGGTGCATAAGCTTGAGCAAATTATTGATATGAACTTCATTTTCCACATTTATAAAATGGGAATAATAACAGTTCCAGATTTATAAGAGTTAAGTCAGACAATATATGCAAAGAGCTTAGCAGGTGCTTGGCACATAGTAGGTGTTTAATAAATGCTGGCTCTTATTACTACTATTCTGCTGTCCAACCTATTTTATAAATGAAAAGGTGTAGGGTCAGGTACAATGGCTCATGCTTGTAATACTAGCACATTGGGAGGCCAAGGCAGGAGGATTGCTTGAGGCCAGGAGTTCAAGACCAGCCTGGGCAACCTAGCAAGACCTTGCCTCTATTAACACAATTAAAAAGAAAGAAAGAAAAGGTGTAGTTCAGAGGGGCAGGGATGGGCCCAAAGTCACTCAGTGACTCAATAGCAGAGTGGGACTCACACCCAGGTCTATCACACCTGGCTGCGTTGTGCTTCTCTCCCTTCCTATAAAGCCCTTGGCAGGTGGCAGGAAGACCAGCCTTAGTCCTAGTGGTCTTCCTTTCTAGGTCAGAGTCATCCTTGCTTCAGAGGCTCCTGTTGCCCCAGGATGCTTTTTTTTTTTTTTTTTTTTTTTTTTGCCTTTTGAGGTGGAGTTTCACTCTTGTTGCCCAGGCTGGAGTGCAATGGTGCTATCTCAGCTCACTGCAACCTCCGCCTCCTGAGTTCAAGCAGTTCTGCCTCAGCTTCCCAAGTAGCTGGGATTACAGGCGTGAGCCACCAAGCCTGGCTAATTTTGTATTTTTAGTAGAGACGGGGTTTCACTATGTTGGTCAGCCTGGTCACCGAACTCCTGACCTCAGGTGATCCACCCACCTCTGCCTCCCAAAGTGTTGGGATTACAGGTGTGAGCCACTGCACCCAGCCATGTGCTCTTATCCTTAGATATAAAACCTACCAAGTTTTCTTTCTGGGAGTGATTCTGGCTCAGGGTGTCCCCACAGAGACCTGGAAGTGGCCCTCAGGAGGGATCTCTCTTCCAGAGCTTCAGCCCAGCCCCAACCAGACTTCCACTTCCTGAACTGAAAGCCACATGGGAACACCAGCCAAAAACTGGGAAGAGTTCCACTGGTTCATCCTCATCAGAATCATCATTTTAGTTTATGAATAAAAATACAAAGCTTCTGCTAATTTTAGTCCCATAATGCCTGGGAGCTATAGCAACCAATCCTATAAAAATATACATCTGTCCGGATGGCAAAACAGATATGTGGAGAGTCCACCAGCACCCTGTATTCAGCAGCCAAAAGCACTTGGCTTTTGAACCAGGGTGAGAGGCCTTGGGGGGTCTTTATTTATTTATTTAGAGACGGAGTCTTGCTCTGTCTCCAAGGCTAGAGTGCAATGGTGCCATCTCGGCTCACTGCAACCTCCGCCTCTTGGGTTCAAGCGATTCTCCTGCCTCAGCCTCCCATGTAGCTGGGATTACAGGCACGTGCCATGATGCCCAACTAATTTCTTTTGTATTTCTAGTAGAGACAGGGTTTTGCCATGTTGGCCAGCCTGGTGTCGAACTCCTGACCGCAGGTGATCTACCTGCCTCAGCCTCCCAAAGGGCTGGAATTACAGGAGTGAGCCACCATGCCTGGCCTTATTATTATTATTATTATTTTATTATTATTACAGACAGCATCTTGCTCTGTCACCGAGGCTAGTCTCAGGCTTCTGGCCTTAAGCAATCCTCCTGCTTCAGCCTCAGAGTAGCTGGGACTCCAGGAACATACTACTGCACCCGGCCCTTGGGGGTCATTTGGAGAAGACTCCTTCTTGGGTGTTTGTGGATTTTTCTGCAGAGAAAGTTCATTGCTTCCTTTAGGTTCTCAAAAGGACCAAACACCCTAACTTTTATATTCCACTTTAGTGGTTTGAGGGTCTCTTGGGTGTGGGGCAGTGTTCCAGGCTGGAACCCTAGTAAAAGACAACCCTCTCTTTTTTCAGATGGGCAAGTCGGAAGTTCATATATTTATTGAATAAAATATTGCAAGCCAGCTTTGTGTGGGGCACTGGTCAACATGCTGGGAACAAAGCAGTAAACAGACATGTGAAGTCCCTGCTCTCACCAAGCTTCTGTCTAGTTGGGGAAACAAATGGTTTCTGAGAATGACAGGTGATGGGGAGGAAATAAAACAGTGTAAGGCGATGAACTGTGCCTGTGAGAGAGGCAAGTAGATTGAGTGGCCCTAAGGAGGTGACATTAGAATAGGCACAGGAAAATCAGGTGGAAGAGTGTCTCTGGCAGAGGTAAGAGCAAATGCAAAGATACTGGGCATGGTGGCTCAGACTTGTAATCCCAACACTTAGAGAGGCCAAGGCGGGCGGATCACTTGTGGTCAGGAGTTCGAGACCAGTCTGGCCAACATGGTGAAACCCTGTCTCTACTAAAAATACAAAAATTAGCCTGGTGTGGTGGTGCATGCCTGTAATCCCAGCTTCTTGAGAGGCTGAGGCAGCAGAATCACTTGAACCCAGGAGGTGGAGGTTGCAGTGAGTTGAGATTGCGCCACAGCCCTCCAGCCTGGGCAACAAAGTGAGAGTCTGTCTCAAAAAAAAAAAAAAAATCCTGGGGTGGGAGAAGCTTTGGGGTAGTTGAAGGACTGGAAGGAAGTTGGCATGGCTGGAGCAGCGTGGGCACAGAGGACAGTGGTAGGAGGAGAGAATGGCAAGAGAGACAGGGGCCACAGCGGATGGAAGTGTATCATGAGGGTGTTCTCTGCCTTCTTCCTTTCCATGGTATTCAAACCCAACCCATGCTTCCAGGTCCACCTCTTTCAGGAATCCACCAATCTGAAGCCCTGGGATAAGCCTTAGAGTCTGTACCACTCATGTAAGTGGGTGTATGTGTAAGGCACAACCTTTCAGCAAGATCCAAAGCTCCTTGAATAGTGAGTTATCTCGATTGATTGTTCACAGTCACAGATTGAATTCCTTGTACTTTTTTTCCCTTCTCAGTTCTGCACTTAACTCGTCTAAAAAAATTAAAAAAGAATTTAAGAAACCACAAAGCTAAGCTGGGTGCGGTGGCTCACGCCTGTAATCCTAGCACTTTGGGAAGCCAAGGCATTCGGATTGCCCAAGCTCAGGAGTTCGAGACCAGCCTGGGCAACATGTTGAAACCCCATTTCTACTAAAAATACAATAAATTAGCTGGGTGTTGTGGCATGTGCGCCTGTAATCCCAGCTACTCTGGAGGCTGAGGCGCGATAATTGCTTGAACCCGGGAGGCAGAGGTTGCAGTGAGCCGAAATCATACCACTGCACTCCAGCCTGGGCGACAGAGTGAGTGAGACTCTGTCTCAAAACAAAACAAAACAAACAAACAAAAAAACCGGAAACCACAAAACTTTTTGAGGACAAGGACCAGGTATTTATTAATTCTCATACCTCCCAGAGTGTTAGGCACAAAATAAACATTCAACCAAGACCTGTTGCACTGAGCAGTTCATATATAACAGGAGTGACCCAAGTTGAAACGTAGAATCAGCCCTCTCATACCACTTTTTGCCAGGTGATCATAGGCAAGTTACTTAGCATCTATGTTTCCTTATTATTAAAATGGTCATAATTACAATGCCTAAGATAAGGGGTTGCTGTGAAGATTATTAAATCCTCAGTAAACTTTGGCTATTGTTACTCCTATGATTATCATCAATATCATCAATTACCTTATCTGTTCAATACTGGTGGCACAGGTCCACCAGCTAGATGTCTAATCCCTTATGTGTCTATTAGTGGTACAAGTGGAGTTTGAGTGGGATTTTTTTTTTTAAGACCAGTTCCAAATCATCAAGGATGATACCACTAGTAGCAGCTTGTCTTGTCTGTACAGTGGTAAGTCCTGGCCTTGCCTTTGTGGCAAATACAACCCCCTTGAATTGCTTGGCCCTTCTCAGCATTGCCTAATATTAGGGAGGACTCCTGTAAAGCTCACTGGTTAGAAGATCAAGACACTTGGGCCTGGTTCTGCCCCTGGGGGCCATTGGGTAATTCCTTGCAGTCTCCAGGCCTCACTTGCCCTCTGAACAAGAAAGAGGCTGTTCTGGGTCATCCCTCCAGGCCTGTCCAGCCCTGGCACTCTGTGAGTCGGTTTAGGCAGCAGCCCCGGAACAGATGAGGCAGGCAGGGTTGGGACGTTTGGTCAGGACAGCCCACCGCAAAAAGAGGAGGAAAGAAATGAAAGACAGAGACAGCTTTGGCTATGGGAGAAGGAGGAGGCCGGGGGAAGGAGGAGACAGGAGGAGGAGGGACCACGGGGTGGAGGGGAGATAGACCCAGCCCAGAGCTCTGAGTGGTTTCCTGTTGCCTGTCTCTAAACCCCTCCACATTCCCGCGGTCCTTCAGACTGCCCGGAGAGCGCGCTCTGCCTGCCGCCTGCCTGCCTGCCACTGAGGTATGTGTGACCCCCGCCCAGCCTTTCCCTTCTATAGTTGCACCAACCCCGACACCCCCGTTCACGCCGTCAGCTCGTGTGCAAGGGAGGGAAGCTCTGCTGAGGATGCGCCTCTCCTCCCGGCTCCATCACGGCTCCCCTTAAGAGCATGGCCCTCGGTCCTGTCTGCCTGTTGCTTTTCAGAAGGTGGACTCACTGTGTAACTTTGTCTTCCCTTACAGGTTTACAGAAAATAATCTCACTATGTCTTCGGGGGAGCATTTTCTCACTCTCTGTTTTTCTCTGTGTCTGTCTCTGGTTTCAGAGGCTGCCTGCCTGTCCTCTTTGCTCCCTTTGCAAATGTGGCAGCCTCCTCCTTTCCTGGGAATCTGATCCCATCACAGCTGCCACAGGGACCTGGCCAGCAACCGGAGTCTGTCCTCCAGATCTCGGTCAGGGGTTCTGTTTTCCAAAAGGGACTTTGCACGAACAATCAGTTGATCTCTGAAAGGCAAAGGGGGAGGCTTCACCATTAATCCACACCTCTGGGAAGCCTTCTGTTTTCCTCTAATTCTCCTCACTCCCAAACACCACCTTCCGTCCCCCCAATACACAAATTTCAGCACCATTCTGCCTGAAATGGCACCATCACAACCTCAGTCTTGGGTTAGGTGTTGTTCCTGTCCTGAGTTCCTTGGGATGGTAAACACAGGCAGTAGCCCTTAGTTTATCTAGATCTGAAAACCCAGACATCAGATATCGTCAACCAAGACATGGGTGTAATGGGAGGTGGAGTGTGCTGGGGGAGATATTCTCAGAAGGGGGAAAGGGGGAAGGGAAGAGGGAGAGAATTCCAGGGTCCCCTTCCGTAATCCACCCAAGACTAGTGTCCAGCCTGTCAGGGTGTCAGTTCTTCTTCAGACAAATCCACTACCTTTCTTCGCCGCCACTGGCTCCGTGAACTGGCTGTCAAGTGGACTTCCTTAGGGAAAGGGACTCCAAGGACTCCAAGGGAAGGGGGGCACTGGGATGAGTTATGTCTTCCAGGATTCCCAGTCTGCCCAAAAGGGAACAGAGAGGCATGCATTTTCCTCAGGAAAGGACAGCATTTTTTTCATTAGAGAAAATGTTTTCTCTAGTAATGCTTTAGAGTTAAATTTCTATACGCCCCAAGTGCTGGTGGTTTAGTGAGAAGCAAAGCAGAAGTAGGACACAGGCTTCGGGCATGCATTTTATGTGTGATCTTAGGTAAGTGTCTCCCCTGGATTTAGTGCCCCATCTGTAATGAAAGAAGGCTGAAACTGAAGGCTCTTTGGGGTGCTTTGTGTCCTCTAAAATATTCAAAGGAAGATTTCTTAACCAGGGTCTATGGAGTGGTCTTTGAATGGGCCTCAAGCCATCTCTAAGCCCCTAAAAATTGTATGCACTGTGTGTGTGTGTGTGTGTGTGTGTGTGTGTGTGTGAGAGAGAGAGGGAGAGAGAGAGAGAGAGAGGATGAATATGGGTGGTCACAGCTTTCAGCTTTAAGATATTCTCAAATGGATTAGAGGGCATGACGTGGGGATGGAGTGAGGACTGGTAACAAATGTGTGTATTTGCTGGAGGATGAAGCCTTCTGAAAAGGGAGTGGTTGAGGAAAGAGAGAGTTAACTCTCAGCTATCAGCTGCCACATCGACATAGCCTAGAGCAAAGAGGGGGAGGGAGGAGAAGAAGGGGGTTGCCTGGAGAAGGAATCAACTTTTGAAACTTTCTCCAAGTCCCACCCACCAGAAGGCTCTTCTCTGCCTGACTCACTCTCCGAGGAATGCGAGTTGCCACGGTAACCTTTTTTTCAGGGTCTCTGCCTGCTGGCTGGAGGGGACCCTTGAAACCCTCTAAGAACATCAGTCTGAACGTACCCCACCCCCAAATTCAAGGCCTGCAGCAAATTCTAGGCCCTGCCCTTGTGATCTCTCAGGATTCCGGGGAAGCCTTGGGCCATGATAATCTCCTTGCAAGGGTGTTTGAAGACCTGGGTTTTAGCTCTGGCTGTGCCCTGAAGGTACCATTTGACCTTGAACTAATACTTCTTTCTGGGCCCCATTCCCTCTACAGTTAAAGAACAGTAACAGCAGCCACCTCTAGGGGGTAGATAGTGTGTAGAAGAAATGGGATAATGCACAGGGAAGCACTTTGCGAATTGTGGCATTCCCTCATAATGCAAAGGGTTTTAGAACTGATGGATTAAAGGCATCCAAAGACCTAGTGAAATCATTCTCAGCTTTTTTTTTTTTTTTTTTTCCTGGCAGCTCCATCATCTTGGGGTTTGTATAGAACTTTCCTTTACTAGAAGTACTGACAGGAAAAATTTTAAAATCATAATATTGTTTATCTTCATTTTGATTTGGGGAACTTCTTGTGTATTTCCCAAGACTGTTGTGCCCTCTATGTAGGAAAAGCATTGGCCAAGGGTGAAAAAAAAAAAAAAAAGTGTGTTCTAACTCCCAGTGCCTGACATTGGGAAAGACACTTCCTCTCTTGAGGCTGCAGTTTCCCAAACTGTTAAATAGAGTTTCTAAGCTAGATGATTTCCCAGGCACCCTTCTAACTCTGAAGTCCTATAAACCTAAATCCCAGATACCGCTTTTATTCAAAGGAATAGCTTGCCTGCATTTTTAACACCGCCTTACTGCACCCCCAGTTGAAAAGAAAACAAGAAAAGATGGGCTAGGGGATCTTGAGTTGCATAACCATCATGCTGTAATCCTTATCCATCTGTAGAGATTTGTCAATCAACAGTGTGGCTGGGGTTTGCTATTCATGAGAGCAGCTTTCCTTGCTGAAAACAAGCTATAAATAAGAAAGAATGGTGAAGGAAAGGAAAGAGCTGAGGATGTGAGGTAAACAGTAGAATATTTGGCTTTTGAAGTTGTTTATGTAGGTAGATAAATATGCAGAGATAAACAGGGACAGGTACAAACCCATAGGGATGAAGAGTATAAACATCGATTTCATCAACAGGCACCCACTGGCTCAGCTAAAAATAAGTGCCTCATTACAGGAGCAGACACAGAAAGTCATTCACTCACACACCTCTTCCTGGATGACAATGATTTACAGACAAGTTCCAGGAATATATCTCAATGAATGTGAAAATTCTGACCCTCGCCTATTACAGGCTGAAACAGACAGATGCTAAGTCAGGCTGTATGTAACTTACACAGACATGCCATCAGGTATACAAACACACACCGCCACTTGCAGCCACACATGGATGGATGTGCACAGTCAAACATATGCACAGTCAAACATAATATGGATCATGACAATGAGACAGACGTGTAACCTACATTTATCACCAACCACCTCTATGTCTCAGAGAGAGAGAAACTGAGGCTCAGGAAGAGAAAATAACTCACTGGAGGTCACATAGCAAGCTGGCGTCTGAGCCAAACTTCCACGTGTTTGGAGCCATTTTGATATTCACCTTGCCTTCCCCCCCAATCCCCATTTGTTCAGTTTGGAAACACACTTATGCACACAAGCCCCATGGATACTAAGTGGTGAGCAGCACTTTGTCTCTCCCGTTGGCTGGCCTGCAATGCCTATTCCAGCCCACGTGGCTTTGTCATTAGGCCCAAAGGCCCTGCATGATGTGCCTGTAGGCGGCTGCTCCCTTGCTTCTAGCTGGCTCCCTCCCAAACGTCAGTTTCAAAGGAGAGAAGGGAAAACCAGCCTTGAGCTTTCAGCAACCCTGAGGACCTTGTTTCTACAGCACAGACCCTGATGCCTCCCTCCCTCCCTCCCTCCCTCCCAACCTCAATCCTGAACCCAGG
The DNA here is from genome assembly GCF_000001405.40 of Homo sapiens. Lineage (NCBI taxonomy): Eukaryota > Metazoa > Chordata > Mammalia > Primates > Hominidae > Homo > Homo sapiens. The sequence continues at coordinate 151,683,069 of NC_000005.10, read as the reverse complement.
GACAGCTGGGCTGTGCAGGGCCAGGGCCAGCAAGTAGTGACTTGACGGAATTATTTAGAGAAACAGCCTCTCCTCAACTGGCAGCTTAGACAGGAAATCATCTCTGCTCTCACCCATCAAGCTATAGAACTTTATGTCTGCAAGGAAAACATGAACATAGACAACAATTGTTGTCAGAGCTGGTTTCTTTCAGAAACTTGGTATTAACTTCTCTCATCTGGGGATCACTCTGGGTCATCTTGATGTTAGTCATGGCATTAGGATTTCAGACCTATCAGATAAAAAAAGCAAAGCAAACATCTGGATGTTTTTGAACATCTGGAAATTTGGCTTAGACACCAGCTTGCCGTGTGACCTCCAGTGAGGTATTTTCCTTCTCTAAGCCTCAATTTCTCTACCTCTACAATAAGAGGCAGCACACAGAGGTTTCATGTGGCCTGACAACATCACTAATTCATCGGTAGTGGCTGTCAGAAGAACTGTGTTCAGGATTCTGATGACTCTCTAAGCTTTAGGAGAAGAGGTCAAGCGATTGATTAGTAATGTCTGCCACATGTGCAGGAGGGGTAGGTGGAGGCCACGTGTTTGTCACATATGCCACATATTTGCTATCTTTGGGATCTCGGAGGCTTTTCCAGATGCAATAGCCTGGACACTTTGATGTTATTTCTCATCCTTTCATTTGTGGTCACCACAATGCAGCAGCGGTGCCCTAGAGGGAGCCAAGGATGAAGCCTGAAGCTCCACCCCAGCCTCTGCTAGCCACAGTGAAATGTGGCATCTCAGATGTCTTTATGGAATCTCGGGCTGATTCCAGCCCCAAACTCTGGAGCCACCTCTGAGTTGCCCCAGAAGCTCTCCAGTCCTAAGTTTTAGCTACCACACCTTAAAAGTTTCCTTTAGCGTCTTTCCTTCCAGCAGGAAATAGAAGTGGAAGCAGGGAGTCAAGGGGCAAGTGGAGAGAGGTAAGGCTCTAAAAAGCTTCTGCCCAAGTTGATCCGGAAAATCAGAGCTGAAAAGAACCTAAAGGACCACCTTGCCTAAGGGTTCCATATTGTGTTCCTAGGAGAAAGTACAGATGTTCCAAGGTATCTTAGGGAATGTCCCTGTGTGTAGGACTCCCACTCCTCAGCTCCACTCCACTTTTATCTGCTTTTCTTTTTTGTGGATTTTTTTGAGAGGGAGTTTCACTCTTGTTGCCCAGGCGAGAGTGCAATGGCACAATCTTGGCTCACTGCAACCTCTGCCTCCCAGGTTCAAGTGACTCTCCTGCCTCAGCCTCCCGAGTTGCTGGGATTTTAGGCGCCCGCCACCATGCCCGGCTAATTTTTTGTATTTTTAGTAGAGACGGGGTTTCATCATGTTGGCCAGGCTGGTCTCGAACTGCTGACCTCAGGTGATCTACCCTCCTTGGCCTCCCAAAGTGCTGGGATTACAGGCGTGAGCCATTGCGCCCAGCCTGCTCTTGTTTTTTAATTTCACACTTATTGATTAACTAGATAATACTCATTCACATGGTTCAGTACATGCTAAAAGATTTCAGCTGTTTGAAATATCGGACTCTGCAGAAGACTTCATTGAAATAAAGGATTTTCTGGCTTACATAATTTTGAGCACTGACCTTATACAGACAAGCTGGGGGTGTTAGTTCTGGAGAGCAGAGGAGACTCCCCTGAATTCGCACAGTGAGCTGGGAGACATGCTGACTTGCTCTCAGCTCTCCTGACTTCCACGTCATGAGGCCACCTCTGAGCTGCTGTGTCTGCTCCCAGGGGTGTGAGCAGGAGTGCCATTGTAGCTGCATGTGGCCACCTCTCTGGCCTGCCTGGCTCGGTCCCCATGTCAGCAGACCCCAGGCTCCTTCCGAGTCCCAACTCCCTGGAGGGCCTGGCTCTTGGCTTCCTTTATTAGCCTCTAGGCTTGTTTTCCTCTCTTTGGGCTTGTTTACCAGCAACATGTGTTTTTGGAGCCCTTGTTTCCAAGCCAAATAGTGAGAGTGAGATGCTTGGCTGGTATCAGCTGCCCAAGTAAGAGGCCAGCCCTGGGCCTGGTCTTCGTCACTGTATCCTCTGGAGGCTGGACTTACCCAGACCAACAGGGGCAATATGTCCTTTGTTCCACCCAAACACCCCTTTCTCCCTGGGCTTATAAAGCACTGGAATTTTGCACTGAATTCTTTCGGGGGATGGAGATTCTGGGAACCTCGGACTTTATAAGATGCTCTTCCCAACGACAACATTGCTTACCTCTTTATTTGGATTCTCTTGTGTAAATCACCCATGAGCCTTTAAAGATTGGTATGTTATTGTTTCCATTTTACACATTGGGGAACAAATTGAGGCCCCAAGAGGTAAAGTTGATTTCTAAAGGTCATACAATTACTAAGTGGTGAGCCAGGATTTGAACCTGTATATTCTGGCTCCAGAGCCTATGAGCTTACCTTTATGCTATACTGCCTCATAGTTTATTATCACTCTGTCTACCATGGTAGCCACTAGCCACATGTGGCTATTTAGATTTAAGTTGATTAAAATAGATGGGCATGGTGGCTCACGCCTATAATCCCACCTCTTTGGGAGGCTGAGGCGGGCGGATGGCTTGAGGTCAGGAGTTCGAGACCAGCCTGGGCAACATAATGAAGCCCCATCTCTACAAAAAAGAAAAGAAAAGAAAAATTCGCTGGGTGTAGTCACAAGTGCCTGTGATCTCAGCTACTCGGGAGGCTGAGATGGGAGAATCACTTGAGCCCAGGAGGCAGAGGTTGCAGTGAGCTGAGATTGCGCCAACCACACTCCAGTCTGGGTGACAGAGGGAGACCGTGTCTCAAAAAAAAAAAAAAAAAAAAAAAAAAAAGATGTTTTCCACTATTCTCTATTGCAGTATTTCAACAAGGTATGGGTTAAGTAAGATATTTTGGATTGGCCTCAGTCCTTTTGCATAAAATTTTTAAATAAAAAAATTGGTTAAAATGAAATACAATTTAAAACTCAGTTCTTCATTTGCACTGGCAACATTTCAAGCATTCAGTAACCACTTGTAACCAGTAGCTATCATAGTGGACCACGTAGATATAGAATGTGTTCATCATCTTGGGAAGTCCTGTTGGGTTGCATTACTCCATAAGTTCTTTCCACCCAAATAAGATTTAATGATGGCAACTCAGTTTCTTTGCTTCACATCCTAAGTCTATCATTCTGAGACCCACAGTCCATGATTCTATGATTCTGAGGTATCCCCCCTGTTCTAACGTTCAGTGGCTTTTTAACGTCCAAGGAGAGCCCAAAGGAGGCCCTTTATGTTTTGAGGGACAAACCTGGGGGCTGGCTGTACTTTTCCATCCTCAGAGTCTTTCCAGAGAGAGAAGTGACCTCAGCTTCAGGTCCTGCTGGCAGCCAAGGACGGGTTTTCAGCAGTCTCCAGAGCAAATAAAGGCAAAAGGAAGGGACTCGATGTACGGAACAGGAGGCAGTGGCGGCTGGGAGGGGGCTAAAACTGTCTGCATTTGATGGCCACCATGCCAAGGGAAATATGCCTTCTCTTCCTCCCCTGGCCCTGGGCATTTTCCTTCCCAGGAACTCAGGCCAGTTCAAGGCCCAACTGAGCCCCATTCAGGTGACCACCTGGGAGCGGGTAGCTGCCAAGGGAAATAGTGTGCAGAGGTAGAGACATACCAGTGGTGGGGTAGGGTTGCACGGGTTCTCACCCTAGCCCTGCCACCCAGTCACTCACTCACTGCTGTTAGCCGTTGGCAGTTTTCTCCTTTCCTCTAGGCCTTGGTCTTCTCATCTGTACTATTGGGCAGAAATATGTGACTTGAGCCCCCAGTGGGGTGCTGGATTATGAAAACACCCTGAAAATGATAAATGTATGCATCATCACAGACTAAAGAAATACAAAGGAGGGAGTTTTTGTTTAATATTGGTCATTTATATGAAGGGAATTTAAATTTTCGCCAGGCACGCTACACCTAGGTTTGATTGGCAAAGGATCACAGCTGTGAGTTCTGAATGCTGGGGTTTGATACTGTGTTCTGACCTTGCTGGGGTGACTGTTATACTCCATTAGCTTTGCAGGATGGACACAGGGCTCTTTGGTCAGTGGTAGTTTAGAGAGCCTCAGAGAGGTATCTCGTGGGGAGGCAGGGAGATGGCTGTGCATCTGGAATAGTTCAGCCGCTTCCCTTCCCTCCCATCTCATCATCTGGGGGAAAAGTGCTCTTGGACTGGTGGTGTAGCACCGGGTGCTGGGCAGGACCCAGATTTTGTGTTTGTGTTTACAGTTTTCTTCCAAAACTTTTAAGGTGTATTCCAAGATTTTGCGTTCTGTTCTTAACAGTCTCTCTGCATTTCTCCCCCACTCCCACTTGTCTGAGCGTAATTCCTATTAGGCTCACCCCAACTCCATGAGTGAGAACGCTTGCCTATTTGGAGAGGGCCTGAATTGTTGCATGACTTTGGACAAGTGCTTCCTCCCTCTCAACCTCAGATTCCCCATTAGGACAGTGGGACTAAGAACCCTTCCATGCCTGTCTGCCTACTTCCCAGCATTGTCAGAAGGCTCTAGGAGACAGTGTTATGTGACAGTGCTTTAGAAACTATGAAGCAGCACTATAAGACTTAGAGTTATTTTTCTCTTCTGGCTGCAACAGCAGGGATGGGGGTGGCAGGGAGGGTGAGTGTGCAGCTGGAAAAGGAATTCAGGAAGATGAGGAGGCAGGACAGACAGAAGAGCCGCCCAGCGAAACCTTCCCCTGGTCACAGAGGGGAGCGCGGTTACTCTGCTCATATGAAGGACGCAGACTCAGGGAAATGTCTGTCTTCCTGTCTTTCTAATCTGAAGCTTACTACATTTCCAGTCCTAGCTGGGCTATTTCTTCAATAACATGACTTCCCTGTCATTATAGCTCAGACAGGGTAACTTTTTGTTTTGTTTTGTTTTAGCTGCTATTTCACTTTGATCCTTCAACCTCAAACTATCTCAGACAAGTCCTTCCTTGATGTTTTCTTTTCTGTTCCATTTGTCCCAAGCCACATGCAGGAGTTATTTATCTTGCGTCTTCCAAAAGGGGAAGCAAGAAGGGAGATTTTTCCACTTAAGCCTGGGGAACAAGTGAACAACTGTGTGAGGGGAGGAACATTCCACAAGCTGCCTCAAAAGGGAAGACTAGACTCCTCTGGAAGTTGGGGTTATTGTGAAGCAATACCAAACCCCCAGGTCCTTTACATTTCTGTTAGTTTTACTTCATTCACTCTGTGCAATAGGGGGTGAGGTTTTGTGTCTCTTTAAGCCCAAGAAAGGACCATTATGAAGTGGGCTCTTCCTCTGCCTGTTTCTGCTTCCCAAATGCTATAGTACAAGTGAAGACATATGATCCCAGAGGAGACCATATGTGTCAAGACCAGAATGTGCTTGGGGTGTCTTAAGAGCATTTTAAGGACCGAGGCTGCCACTTCAAAGTTCACCTAGTCTACCCATTTCAATTGATAGATGGGGGAACCAAGGTCTAGAGAGACCAAAAGACTTGATACTACTGTGGTAGAACAAGACCCCCTGGCATTTAATTTCAAGCTGAGTATTTTTCTCCATGATGCCGGGTTACCTCCCACCACCATTTGGTCAGTTGAGAAGTCTTGGAAGAAATAAGGGATGATGAGCCTGACAGGGAGGTTTTGGGAGAAGAAAGAGGGAAGACATGGCCACTGTTGCTCCTGATGGAAGGTTATTTGTGGGTAGAGAGAGCAGGTTTGTTCTTTGTGGCTGCAGGGGAGATGGGGTAGACAGATCAGAAAGTTTGAGGGAGGCACATTTAGATCAGTAAAAGAAAGAACTTTCTAAAGTCACTTGAGAATGAAAAGCCATTTAGTTAGTGCAAGAAATGAAATGTCTCCACCACAGAGCCTCTGTTAGGAATAGCATTTTAGTTTTGAATCCTCAGAGGAGATACTGCTCCAAAATCCCTTATAGTCATGAGAGTATTAGAGTCTAGAGCTTGGCATTTAGAGAATGAGGCCTTAACAGTTACCAGAACAGAGGTATTTTCTAGATCTCAGCTAACATCCCCTCTGCAACACATGGAAGCATCTGGATGGTTTCCGTACAGGACCTAAAGAAGTGCTGTCTCTTCTGGGTAGAATGGAGAAAAATGTGGCCACCCTCAAGTTTCCATGGGTTACATTCCAAGACTATTGTTCTTTGTTTTAGAATGTGGATCTCATTGTCCCAAACTGGCAAGAAGTTCCTGCCTATTAACTTCTCCCATTGCAGAGGGAGTAGGAAGGAGGGGGAGGAGGCGACAGAGGAGGAAGAGGAGAGATTGGGTTTAGGGAAAAAAATAATTTTAGAATATCAGGGATTGAAGGGACCTTGAAGATGATCTGGTTTGGCATTGCCCAAACTTAACTAGTTAGCCCATCACCTTAGTTGAATCACTTTGCAAAAACTTTAATAAATGTATTACAAAAGCAGATTTTATATCACTACCATAAATGGAAAAAACTCTGTGTACCTTTGTCATAAATAGAAGGAAACTGTAAAAACAAACACATAAAAAAAACAAAACAACTTGATTCAGTTCCAGCTGGATATAACTTCCTGTGGAAGCTCTGAGCTGGAGGCTTATTCTCTTTTTGTTAAAAAAGGAGATAGATGAGTATAAAGGAGGTGTTTAAGACATCTTGGCACCAAACTGAGACTTTCTTCTCATATAAGCAGAATTGAAAGAATATTAAATGGAACCAACCTCCTCATGTTTTTCACTATCATTTAACTTGTACCATCTAACATTATCTTGCACATATCAGGAATTCAGAAGGAAATCTCCATAAGGAAGTCTCACCCTCACTGAACTCTCAATCTCTCCTCCCCATAGGGTTCCCAGCACCATGAGGGCCTGGATCTTCTTTCTCCTTTGCCTGGCCGGGAGGGCCTTGGCAGCCCCTGTAAGTACCTAAATATCATGTCTTCTTGTTTTCATTCCTACCGCTAGCACCAGGGGTTCTGAGCCTGCCAGCCCTGGATGCTGAAAGGGAACAGGGACTTCCCCATTTCAAGTTAGTGGTCTTTTTTTTTTCTTAAGTTAGGAAGCTCGGGATAAAAACTGGGATGAGGACCATTGGGTGGAGGTATCAGAGAAGAGAGAGTTCCATGTAATGTTAGATAAACTTCTTAGTAGTCAGAGCCTCCCAGCAATGAACTAGGATTGCTTTAGAAGGAAATGACCTCTTTGTCATATGAGGAATTCAAGCAGGCAGGAGACAGGATGTGGGGGATTTCTGGTAGGGGTGGTATTAGAAGAGATTCAAGCTATAGAGAGAGGAATGTGTTGGCTTCTGAAACAGTGAGGGTTGTTTGGTTGTAAGCAACAGTTCAATCTGACTAAATTGGGGAAGGAGGGGAAGATACAGAGGTAGATTATAATATTAAAGGCCTTGGGGAGGACTGGAAAAGGGCAGCTCTAGGCTTTGGGAGTTAAGAACTAATGGACAGTCTCTGAGATATTGCTGTCTGAATGAATCAACTCCAGCAATTTTCACATCTTGAGAGAATGTGCCAAGAAGGTTTTTATAAATTCAAAAAATGAGAGCCAATCTGGCTGAGCTTGGGTCCTGAGCCAGCTTCTTGGCCAGGTGAGAGTGGGGCCCCTTGATTGACAGACAGTTCCTCGAAGCATTGCATGCAGGGACAGGAGTAGTTATCCACAGCTCATCTGGAAGCCTTCACAAGGAGAGGAGGAAGAAACAGGGCAGGCAAAAAGTGCAATTTCTTTCAACCTGTGATCCCCTCATCCTCTGTTTACTAAGAAGTGGGAGTGATGGCAGACCCTGGCAATCTTGATCAGGCTGGTAGATGGAGGCAAAAGTTTCTCAAAGTTGGCATTAAGTTTTGAAGCAGCTCCAGCCAGCTAAGGGCCTCAAAGTTGTGTGTTTTCTTGCTTCCTCCTACTCCAAGTTGAAATGGCAAGAAAAATTGCCTAATAATACTACTAATAATATCACACTGTGAGGAAGATGATGACATCTGTTAAAATTCACAGTGTCATCCCCTCTGGATGTCAATTTTCCTATCTGTAAAGTGAAAGAATTGGTCTGGATCAGTGATTTTCAGACTTTATAAGAATTCAAAGCAGCAGAAATACTTTTCCAAGCTAAATCTTAGGTAGACACCTAGGATATAAAATATATAAAATGGGAGCTGCTTGAGTGTTCCACGGTGCTCACATGACTGGCTTCTTCTTTGTTCTGTCCCTCACCATGGCAGTCCATGAGGCACAACTTTGGGGATCTCCAGTAAGCTGCTCTCCAAGCTCCCCTAGCCTGTATCCGAGGCCACAGGCACTTTGGAGGTGAAGCTGGCCTTATTCCTGACCCCTCTGAACGCTACTTTCTCTTTCCAACAGCAGCAAGAAGCCCTGCCTGATGAGACAGAGGTGGTGGAAGAAACTGTGGCAGAGGTGACTGAGGTATGTGGGCAGTGACCGCAGCCCCTTAGCCCCTCTCTACCTGTATCTGTGCCCTGAGAAATTAGGGCGGATGCTGTGGGTCTCAATGCTAGAGTGGGGCATTCGTCTCCCTGTACACACATAGCATAGATGCAAACCCTGAGTATATCCCACATCCTGACACACTCCTGAATGCTTCCCAAACCTTCAACGGAACCCTACGTTTGGGGACCAGGACCTTAAAATTTTTGTTTTTTAAGCTATGCAACAGTTGTTCTTCCATGATTACCCACAGTTTTTGCAAACGTAAAACAGAGGAGGCCGGGTGCGGTGGCTCATGCCTGTAATCCCTGTAATCCTTTGGGAGGCCGAGGCAGGCAATTCACGAGGTCAGGAGTTCAAGACCAGTGTGGCCAACATGGTGAAACCCTGTCTCTACTAAAAATACAAAAAATTAGCTGGGCGTGGTGGCGGGTGCCTGTAATCCCAGCTACTCGGGAGGCTGAGGTAGGAGAATCGCTTGAACCCGGGAGGTGGAGGTTGCAGTTAGCCAAGATCTCGCCACTGTACTCTACCCTGGGCGACAGCATGAGACTCCATCTCAAAAACAAACAAACAAACAAGCACACACACACACACACACACACACACACACACACACACACAGAGGAAAGGGGAGATGCTTGGGTGTGGCTGGCAGGGGTGGAGGCTTGACACCCTCTTGTGAACATAGATCTCAGTCAATTTAGAAAGTTTACTTTGCCAAGGTTAAGAATGTGCCTGTGACACAGCCTCAGGAAGTTCTGAGACATGTGTCCAAGGTGGTCGGGAGTACAGTTTGCTTTCATACATTTTAGGGAGACACGAGACTTCAATCAACATGTCTAAATTGTGCATTGGTTGAGTTCGCTAAGGCAAGACAACTTGAGAAGTGAGGGCTTCCAGGTTAGAAGTAGATAAGAGACAAATGGTTGCATTCCTTTGAGTCCTTGATCAGCCTTCCCCTGAATACACAATTTAATCTGGCTCAGTGAATCTGCATTTTTACATAAACAATAGGGGAGAGGAAGCAATCAGATAAGCGTTTGTCTCAGGTGAGCCTCAGAGGGATGACTGCATAGAATAGGAGGCAGGTTTGTCCTATGCAGTTCTCAGCTTGACTTTTCCCCTTAGCTTAGTGATTTTGGGGTCCAAGGTATATTTTCCTTTCACACTCTCTTTCCCTAACACCCCTGGTGACCTCTAAGGCAGCTCAACAGAATCCCAGGCATACTGCAAAACACAGCAGGCCTATAGATTAAATCTGGATTCCCAACCCTGCGTTTGTGCTTTCTGTGACCTGGAACCCTTCAGCTACCCTTATGGGTCTGGGATGGGAGTGGGGCCATTTCACCCATTCTTCTCCCTCAATTCCAGGTATCTGTGGGAGCTAATCCTGTCCAGGTGGAAGTAGGAGAATTTGATGATGGTGCAGAGGAAACCGAAGAGGAGGTGGTGGCGGAAAGTATGTCCCTTCCCTGTAACTTGGCACATCCAAGCTGCCCTTGGCTGCCTGGGCCTGGGGCACGAGGACAGCCTACATGAGGCTCCTTCCAGCAGAAATGCAGGGTGGGGTCCTCAGTGGGCTATGAAGGAAACACGGCTTTGACTTAACAAGTGGGAAACTGTGGCACTCAGTCCCCTGGGATCTGGGCAAGATCGGTTTCCAGGCCATCCATGTGTGTGGTAGGAAGGAGAGTTCTCCAGCTGGAAATGGGCTTCTCCCCTCATAGCTCTTTGCCCTGAGTCCAAAGCTGAGTTTCCCAGTCCCACGGAGGTCGCTGATCACATCTGGTCACCGAAATCTCCCATTGCTTCTGTATCAGCCCGTGCCCCACAGAGAAGTAGAACTGAGAGAAGAGATCAGGAACTTGCACACTCATAAGCTCATTCTATTTCACACAGTCCAAGGAAACGAGGTCCTGAGGAAATGCAACCTGACATAATCCGTACCATGCTATCCATGCGTTAGTGCCCTGGGAGAGAAATGACCTAGGGGCTCTGGCTCCAGCCCTAGGTGCAAAGCATTTGTACTCAAGGGGTTAAGAGCAAGGACTTTGGAAGCGGTCCAACCAAGCTTTGAACCTAGGCTTCTCCACGCCAGCTTGCTTAGCATCTCGGAGCCTCAGTTTCTCATCTCTCATATGGGGCTGATGAAGATGGCAGACCCTTGTCCCAGGGCTGCCGGGAAGTTTTCAGACAAGCTGAGTAGGCATCCGCTAAAGGATTATTAAAACACCCAAAATAAAGCATTGCGAGGAAAAGGCCACATTAAGCTCTCATCCTGAGGGGATAGCTAATGGTATTTGATCTAGCTGGGCACAGGGTTTCTGTTGAACAGAGGGACATCTACTGAGTCATGTTCCTTCCCGCCTCCACGCCCACCTCATCCGGTGTTTACCAGGCTCTATTGTCCAGCATGGACTTTGAGGCTCTTCTCCCTTTTCCTTTACTGCCACTTAAGTCTGTTTTGTTGGGCCTCAGCTCCCTGGCTCAGTGTCAACAGCTGACTTTCTAAGCCATTCTAGAAAGCTTATTCTGGAATCCAGAAATGCCCCACTGTGATTGTTCAATGGAGACCCAGGAACACAATGGTTGCTTCAATCTTCAGGAAAGCCATATGGTATCTAGTGTTTCTGGGTCCCAGACTGAGCCTCCAGCCCCCCAGAAGTGCCTGACCTCTATCTCAAGCTAAACCTCTAATCCCCAGGCTGAACCAGCTGCTGCCCTAAATGTTGACTGTGAGGCTCAGTGCAAGAGCAGGCAGGACTCAGGGCTGTCCAAAGCCCAGAGTGGGGGCCACAGTCAAGGACTGTCAGCCCTGAGATCTGTCCAGGTAGGATGGGGGTGGATGTGCTAGTCCAGGTGATGCTAACTCCCTTGTCTTTCTGCCCTACAGATCCCTGCCAGAACCACCACTGCAAACACGGCAAGGTGTGCGAGCTGGATGAGAACAACACCCCCATGTGCGTGTGCCAGGACCCCACCAGCTGCCCAGCCCCCATTGGCGAGTTTGAGAAGGTGAGGGCTGAGAGACAGGGGCAGGGGGAAGGGATTGGGCACTTCGGAATACAGGATGTCTGCTCAGGAAACTGTTGGCTTGGTGGTTCTATGGGGCAGTGCCAGTCTCAGAAGTCCCCTTGCTAGACCTAGTCCCAGCAGGAAAGAGGGGATGAGTCAGAGTGCTCTGCCTGGCACTGGATCTTTTCAGCAACCAGCAAGACTTTAAACAGCACCATCAGGTTCCAAGCCCTGTGCCAGACTCTTAGAGCTAAGAGTATAACAGCATCAGCAAAGAATCAGGTCCAAAAATACGGGTTCTGGGGCCAAACTGAAGGTTGACTTCAAACCTCATCTCCATCACTTATTAGGTGTGAGATTTAAGCTAAGTTGCCGAACCTTTTCAGGTCTCAGTTTTCTCACATCCAAAGAGAGGATAAAAATAGTCCTTAACTCATAGATCTGTTGTGGAGATGTGTCAGAAATGTTTGGTACATAACAAGTATCCAATAAATGCTACTTAATTTTAAATTATCTCTCAAATATGTCCCTTCTCTCCAATAGGATCCATCCATCCGTCCAAGTAAATATTTTTTGAGTGCCTGCTCCTGCCTACCATCATGCTAGTGGCAGTCTAGCTCATGGCAGCAAATCTAGGGCCAGCACTATTCCTACAGCCTCCCATCTGGCTTCTCCATCTTCAGTTTCTCCAGAGACTACATAGCCTCTGGGCTCCACATTTTAATATCATTGTTAACATTTTCCTCCTCCTCACCCCTCCCCACTCCCAGTGCCCAGTCACCAGTGCCCATCAGTTCTCCCTCTGCAGTGACATATAAGCTATACTAAATAAGTACGGACAGGATGTTCAACACAGGCTCCCCTCCTCCTAACACAGCTACTTACGGCCACTGCATGTCCAGCCCTCAACATCTCTGCTTGGCCACCCCTATGTTCAGAGATCGACTAGGACTCCATTGGCTCAGCATACAGTTGTACTCACACCTAAGGTTTAGTACAGCGACATATTCAGGATATACAGCTGGATCGTAAGGGAAAAAGACACTAGCAGAGTCTGGAGGAATCTGGGTGGAGACTGACTGACTCCCAAGAGGGGTCATCAGAGTGCATTCTTACCCCAGCTACAAAGAGGCAGCCACATGTGAGTGATGTTTCTTTCCAGGGAAGTTCATTAGAGACTCAGCACCCAAAGTTTTAATTGGAGGCTGGTCACATAGGTACCCTTTGCCTAGCATGCACCAGAATTTCACACTTCCAGAAGGAAAGCAGATGTTCAGCATAAACCAGATTGTTTGTACAAACAGTCCAGGCATAGCGAGCCACTCTTATCAGTTAGGGAAAGATTTACAACAGTGCAGAGAACTGTTTCCCAGCTAAGTTCCCAGACACCAGCCACAGGCTGACCTTACAAGCAGGCCTTTTCTAAGGATAACAATTCCAGGCCTGCTATGTTAACTCTTCTTTGAACACTCTTGTTTCTCTCCCATTCCTGTCTTTAACTTTCTCTTCAAATATCTTCCAGGATTTTTTTCCCTATATCTCAGAACTGACTCAGTCATGCCTCTGCTCAGAGACCATCGATGGCTCTCAGCCTGGGCTGAGCATTGACCTGGGAACCCAAAAAGTGGATTTGTGGCCCAGCCCTATCACTAACTCACTATATGACCTCAGGCTAATGACATTCCTTGCTTAACCCTCAGTGTCCCCATCTCTGAAATGGACAAGGATATTGGTATCAGCGAAGGGCTTTGGGAATGAAGGAGGGGGTACTCTGTGCTTTGCCAACAGGTGTGCAGCAATGACAACAAGACCTTCGACTCTTCCTGCCACTTCTTTGCCACAAAGTGCACCCTGGAGGGCACCAAGAAGGGCCACAAGCTCCACCTGGACTACATCGGGCCTTGCAAATGTGAGTGTCCTTGGGCCCTTCCAGACTCCTGTCTTGGGGAGAGAGCTCTGAGCTGGCACTGATGCTGTCTCTGCCACCCCCATGCTGGGTGATCTTGGGCAAATCTCTCTCCCTTTCTGAGTCTCGGCATCCCCATTTATAAAATGAGGTAATTGTCTATGAGTTGGCTCCTCTCAACTCTGAGTTCAGGGCACTTTCTGGGGAAGGACTGAGCGATTATGGAAGGTCAACATCAGGGAAGATTTCTGGAGTCTCTCACTAGCATCTGAGACAACTGCATTTCATTTCTCTAATGAGGAAGAATTTCTTCTCTCAGGCTAAGTTGAATCTTTCTTGCTTCAACACTGTAAAGCAAAAATGATGTTTGACCTGGGCCTACAAAATATTTTGAAAATATCTGATTTTGAATGCTTTAAAATAAGGGCATGCCTGTCGGTTTGCTTTGGGCCCTGTTACTTGGTACTGTCATATCTTCACCCTTTTACTCCATTACATTCCTATCTGCCCTCCGAAGAGAGAGGATAAGCACCCTCTTCTGGAAACCTGGGAGTCAGTTGTCTGGGGAGGGATGCCAGGGTGTGGTCTGATCTTTGGTTAGTGACCCCAGCTGCAAACTCAGTGGGGCCAAGTGCCTTGTTCAGTATCCTCCCTATCATGGGAGACCCCCAAGACCACACCTGCTCCCCCTCCAAGGCAACATCCACACTGTGGGTCTTGTGTATTCTGGCACCCGATGGCAATGAGGAGAGCCACTCACCTACCTCAGGTGTACAGGGTGCAGAAAAGTATGTAGGGGGTGGGAAACAAAGTTCTCCTCGTGGGACCCCAGGTATGAAATTGAGAAGGTACAGAGTAGAAAAGGAGGGTTGGGGGAAGAAGCATGGGTAGGAAGTCCCTGGGCAGCAAGACTAGAGAGCCTGTCTTAAGGAGTCTTTATGAAGTGGCTTTGCTTTCCCTGAGGCATGTTGCCCACTCACTTCAACTCCTAAGGTTTTTATCACCAGATATTCTCTCCCAGACCCCAGCTGATGATGAAGGTAGCCTCACAGAGGGGACTTTCCCTGGTTCAATGATGAGGGAAGAACAGACCCCTAAGCCCCCAGGTGACCACACTGCCCTGGATGCTGGATGAGGCTCTGACATTGTGGCCTTGAGCAAGTCCCTTCTCTCCATGCTGACCTCTAATAAGTCCAGTACAAAGTGTGAACCTGGGTCAGGCGCGGTGGCTCACGCCTGTAATCCCAGCACTTTGGGAGGCCGAGTAGGGAGGATCACTTGAGCTCAGGAGTTCGAGACCAGTCTGGGCAACGTGGCAAAACCTTGTCTCTGGAAAATATACAAAAATTAGCTGGGTATGGTGGCATGTGCCTGTAGTCCCAGCTACTCAGGAGGCTGAGGAGGGAGGATTGGTTGAGTCCAGGAGGCTGAGGCTGCAGTGAGCCGTGATTGTGCCACTGCACTCCAGCCTGGGCAACAGAGTGAGACCCTGTCTAAAAAAAAAAAAAAGAAGAAAAAAAGAAAAAAGAAAAGAAAAGGAAAAGAAAAGTGTGGACTTGGATGAAATCTTCAGGTCCAACATTTGGGATTCTAAGTTCCAAAGACCAGGTTGGAATCATTTCTAAGAAGGTTCTGGTGGTTACACATTCCTGAGTCCTCTACTCCCCACTCCCTGCCAAGCTGGGCCTGTGGATAGATGTGATCCCTCAGCCTCCCAGCTTCAAACACCTGCCAGTGGTTGACGTGAACAACATGGGCTCAGTCTCAGCTAGGATCACACCCAAAGCCCAGCACCCAGTAAGGTGCAGGAGCCATCCATTTCCCTGAGCAGAGCAGATTAGGCTGAGGAAAGCAGCAGCCATGCCTTTGCACAATGCATTTCTAGGGCATTCTTCCCACACATAATCTCCTCTGCTCATTGTCCTGTGAAGAAACTGTGGCCTGGAGAGGTTGAGCCACTGTGCCAAGGCCACCAATGCAGGTGGTATGTGGGTGGGTGGGGGCCTGGGGTGGGGAGCACGGCCCAGGCAGGGTCTGTGCTGACCGCCCTTGTGTTTGGAACCTAGACATCCCCCCTTGCCTGGACTCTGAGCTGACCGAATTCCCCCTGCGCATGCGGGACTGGCTCAAGAACGTCCTGGTCACCCTGTATGAGAGGGATGAGGACAACAACCTTCTGACTGAGAAGCAGAAGCTGCGGGTAAGTGGTCTCTCTGGCCTTGCTGGCCCCGTGCTGGTGAAGATCCAGTCCCATTCCTAGAACTGGGCCCCCAGCTGCAGGGCGGCATCCTGCTCCGGAGCGTGCATTTACCCCTGAGCACCAGGACACGTACTTCTCTTCCTGCCTTTGGAGGCTGTGGTGCACATTAACATCTTAGAGGCTCTGAGAAGTCCTGCAGCAGAGACCTGCTCCCTTTGCTTAACCTAACGTTAAACAAAAGAGACACAAACAGCCCTATTCCTTTTTCCTTTGGAGTCTGTGGATCTTAAGCTTTAATGAGCATATTAACTACCCCAAGAAGCTGATAAAATGCAGATTCCTTGGCCCCATCTCAGGCCACTGAAACAGTGTCTCTAGAAAGCAAGGCCCAGGAAGCTGCATTCTAAATACTCCCCAGGTGATTTATGTTTATTTTATTTTTTTGAGGCAAAGTCTCACTCTGTTGCCAGGCTGGAGTGCAGTGGTGCGATCTCGGTTCACTGCAACCTCCACCTCCTGGGTTCAAGTGATTCCCCTGCCTCAGCCTCCTGAGTAGCTGGGACTGCAGGCATGCTACCACACCTGGCTAATTTTTGTATTTTTAGTAGAGATGGAGTTTCACTGTGTTGGCCAGGCTGGTCTCAAAACTCCTGGCCTCAGGTGATCTGCCTGCCTCAGCCTCCCAAAGCGCTGGGATTACAGGTGTGAGTGTGTGCCCGGCCTTCGCCAGGTGATTTTGATGTGGGTAGCTATATGGAGAATTCTTTGAGGTCATCCCAGGCTTCTATTTTTGTGAATGAGATGCTAGTACCCATCTATGACACCTCCCTCCCCTCGCTGTGAGCTTTGGTCTGGCTAGTCTCTGCCTGCTCTGGCCTTCTGGGAGGGGTGGGAGGGCCCGACTGGTCCAGACAATCTCCATGGACCTCTTGTCACACACAGTCTCTACTCCCTCAGGTGAAGAAGATCCATGAGAATGAGAAGCGCCTGGAGGCAGGAGACCACCCCGTGGAGCTGCTGGCCCGGGACTTCGAGAAGAACTATAACATGTACATCTTCCCTGTACACTGGCAGTTCGGCCAGCTGGACCAGCACCCCATTGACGGGTAAGACCCCAGACCCTAGAGTGAACAGAGCTCAAGGCTGGCAGGTGCACTAGCTATGGCCAGAAAGCCTCTCAGCAGCCTATACTGCTCCAAGCCCTGGCATCCACAGTTTGCCTGGGGATTGGAGCAGAAGGATGAGGCATCTGGAGAAAAGATGTGGACCTGGGACAAAGAAACCGATAAGACACTCTCATGCTGAGGTGAAAGTCAGTAGGAGCTCAAAATAGCTCCATAATCCTGCAAGTACTAGGCGTGGATATCTGGATAATGAAGGAGTGTGAATTAAGAAGGAGTACCAGGCTCCAAGGGGTGGCAGGGGACAAGGTTGGGTCAGCCACACGCCCCCTGTCCTTCAGCAGAACATCCAGGGGCAGAGCAGCCACCTGGCACTGTCTAAGCCCCCTCCTAAGGCTCAGCCCCAATAGGGCCCAACTGACCCTGGAAGTTATCCAAAAAAGCCTGTCTATTTTGCAAGCCCCCAGTTTGAGGGCTCTTGTCCCTTGTCCAAACGAGTTATGAGGCCCTGTGCAACTGCACTGCCGAACAGGCAGGCAGCTGGCCAGTTAGCAAATGCTTATGGAGTGTGCATTTTGTGCCCTGCACTATTCTAGGCAGGGGATTGAACAGCAGTCAGAGCTGGCATGGTCCTTGCCCTCATGGACTTATACTCTGTTCATAACCTGTCACTACCTTCTGAACTTCTCTTGTGGTGATGAAGTGAGAGCCCCTGCTCAGCCTCAGATGGAGCAAGCTACACCTGCACCTTCCCAGAGTGGTTTTTTCTTCGTCCTTGGGTTGTGGAAGCAGAGCATCACACAGAGGGGAAAGGAAGGGCTGCCCTACTCACATACTCAGGGAACTTCCTCTCTAGGATGTTCACCCCTCGCTCTTTGTCCAGCCTGTGTGCCTGGAGTCTGCCAACCCTGCCAGTGATCCTGAGGGCTGGGGTCTCCTGGGCTCTGGGAATCTCCCGGCCACTTCTCTCCCAGGCTTTTGCCATGGCTGGGATCCAACTGAGTCACTCATTATGGCAGGGAGGGGAAAAGTCAAAGGGGAACATCTGGAGCTCAGGCAAAGCAATTTGATCCCACTGCAACAGAGGGCCTGGAGGGAGGCTTTCAGATGGGGTGCAAGAACAGCACATCTGGGAAAGGGGTCCAGCTTGGGCAAGGGGACCCGCTTCCTCCTCCTCCCATCCCAGGGCTGTAGGTGACCTTGCCTGCATCCCTGCCCCTCCCTGGGCCTCAGTTTTCCACCAGTACAATGAAGGGGAGGAGAATGTTCCTATCAGTTCAAACATTGTGTGATTTCTTTGGTGAGCTGGGTGGGGCTGCGAGGTCTAGAGGTTAAGAAGACAACTGGAGTCACATTGTTCCCTGGAGATCCTTTGTGGATCTTTAGGGACAAGTAGTTGGGGGCTCTGGGAAACAAAGAAAAAAATTATACACATGCTCTGGAGTCTAAGGCCAGCAGGGAGAATAGGGAGGGAGGACAGTGGGAGAGACATCCAAAGGGCCTCCCTCTCAGACATTACAGGATACACAAGCAAAGCTCTATGAAGATGGTTAGAGCTCCCGTTGACCCTCACTGCCAATCCCAGTCCCTTTCCACATTCCTCCCCAGAAGGCAGCACTGTCACCAGATTGGTGTGTCATTTTTAGACCCTTTACTAGGCATTTATAGATGTATAAATGTGTGTCCATAGACAATATACAGTGCTGTGTCATGCTAGATTTTGATCTACCCATAGCAGAAGTGCTGAATTTTGATTTTAAGTTTCTGTGTCCCCAGTTCTCAGCCAATTAGGAAACAATCAAATACACCAAACAGACCTTTGTTTTTGAGACCCTGAAACCTTAGAGCTGGAAGGGCCGTTAGTAATTATGGCCATCTCCTCCTCTTTGCTGGAAGGAGAAACTGAGGTTCCGAATGGTGCACTGCTGTTCTCTGAGTCTCAGAGCAGTCAGTGGCAGAGCTAGGGGTAGACCTGGGATTCTGGCTTTTTGTCCTGCTTTAAATATCCTTTCCTCCATGCTCTGGGGCAGGCTAACTCCCCGGTTGCCTCCCAAGGCTGGGTGTGGAGCTTTTCCATGCCTCAGGCCCTCCCCTGCCTCCTTCCCTGCAGGTACCTCTCCCACACCGAGCTGGCTCCACTGCGTGCTCCCCTCATCCCCATGGAGCATTGCACCACCCGCTTTTTCGAGACCTGTGACCTGGACAATGACAAGTACATCGCCCTGGATGAGTGGGCCGGCTGCTTCGGCATCAAGCAGAGTGAGTGTCTGAACAAAGAAGCAAGGGGCATGGGCAGAAACACTGCTCCCAGGGTGCTGGGTTGTCATCCCCCCACTCTCCGCTCTCTTGGTCTGTCTGTTGTCTGTCCTCTCTGCCTGTCTCTGCTCTCTCTGCCTATTTGACTCCTGTCTCTTGGGCGTCTTCCTGATCCTTCTCTGTCCATCCAACTGTCCCTCTCTCTTTCCCTTCCTCAAGCGTTAGCACTCACCCGTGCTAAACACTATTTTGGGAACTGGCAGGCACACAGAGAGGAAACAGGAAGTGTAACTTGGCAGCGTGTGTAAGAGACAGGGACAGGCCAGAGACAGAGAGAGCGAGATTCCTCCGTCACTGACTTCCTGGGTGACCTTGCATGGCCACCTAGACCCCTGCCCCTGGGGATGGGTGGGAGTCCACTGACTCCTTGGGAAGTGCGTTATCATCGACACAGCCTTATTTTTAACCGTGCTCTTTTCTTGCTTTGCAGAGGATATCGACAAGGATCTTGTGATCTAAATCCACTCCTTCCACAGTACCGGATTCTCTCTTTAACCCTCCCCTTCGTGTTTCCCCCAATGTTTAAAATGTTTGGATGGTTTGTTGTTCTGCCTGGAGACAAGGTGCTAACATAGATTTAAGTGAATACATTAACGGTGCTAAAAATGAAAATTCTAACCCAAGACATGACATTCTTAGCTGTAACTTAACTATTAAGGCCTTTTCCACACGCATTAATAGTCCCATTTTTCTCTTGCCATTTGTAGCTTTGCCCATTGTCTTATTGGCACATGGGTGGACACGGATCTGCTGGGCTCTGCCTTAAACACACATTGCAGCTTCAACTTTTCTCTTTAGTGTTCTGTTTGAAACTAATACTTACCGAGTCAGACTTTGTGTTCATTTCATTTCAGGGTCTTGGCTGCCTGTGGGCTTCCCCAGGTGGCCTGGAGGTGGGCAAAGGGAAGTAACAGACACACGATGTTGTCAAGGATGGTTTTGGGACTAGAGGCTCAGTGGTGGGAGAGATCCCTGCAGAACCCACCAACCAGAACGTGGTTTGCCTGAGGCTGTAACTGAGAGAAAGATTCTGGGGCTGTGTTATGAAAATATAGACATTCTCACATAAGCCCAGTTCATCACCATTTCCTCCTTTACCTTTCAGTGCAGTTTCTTTTCACATTAGGCTGTTGGTTCAAACTTTTGGGAGCACGGACTGTCAGTTCTCTGGGAAGTGGTCAGCGCATCCTGCAGGGCTTCTCCTCCTCTGTCTTTTGGAGAACCAGGGCTCTTCTCAGGGGCTCTAGGGACTGCCAGGCTGTTTCAGCCAGGAAGGCCAAAATCAAGAGTGAGATGTAGAAAGTTGTAAAATAGAAAAAGTGGAGTTGGTGAATCGGTTGTTCTTTCCTCACATTTGGATGATTGTCATAAGGTTTTTAGCATGTTCCTCCTTTTCTTCACCCTCCCCTTTTTTCTTCTATTAATCAAGAGAAACTTCAAAGTTAATGGGATGGTCGGATCTCACAGGCTGAGAACTCGTTCACCTCCAAGCATTTCATGAAAAAGCTGCTTCTTATTAATCATACAAACTCTCACCATGATGTGAAGAGTTTCACAAATCCTTCAAAATAAAAAGTAATGACTTAGAAACTGCCTTCCTGGGTGATTTGCATGTGTCTTAGTCTTAGTCACCTTATTATCCTGACACAAAAACACATGAGCATACATGTCTACACATGACTACACAAATGCAAACCTTTGCAAACACATTATGCTTTTGCACACACACACCTGTACACACACACCGGCATGTTTATACACAGGGAGTGTATGGTTCCTGTAAGCACTAAGTTAGCTGTTTTCATTTAATGACCTGTGGTTTAACCCTTTTGATCACTACCACCATTATCAGCACCAGACTGAGCAGCTATATCCTTTTATTAATCATGGTCATTCATTCATTCATTCATTCACAAAATATTTATGATGTATTTACTCTGCACCAGGTCCCATGCCAAGCACTGGGGACACAGTTATGGCAAAGTAGACAAAGCATTTGTTCATTTGGAGCTTAGAGTCCAGGAGGAATACATTAGATAATGACACAATCAAATATAAATTGCAAGATGTCACAGGTGTGATGAAGGGAGAGTAGGAGAGACCATGAGTATGTGTAACAGGAGGACACAGCATTATTCTAGTGCTGTACTGTTCCGTACGGCAGCCACTACCCACATGTAACTTTTTAAGATTTAAATTTAAATTAGTTAACATTCAAAACGCAGCTCCCCAATCACACTAGCAACATTTCAAGTGCTTGAGAGCCATGCATGATTAGTGGTTACCCTATTGAATAGGTCAGAAGTAGAATCTTTTCATCATCACAGAAAGTTCTATTGGACAGTGCTCTTCTAGATCATCATAAGACTACAGAGCACTTTTCAAAGCTCATGCATGTTCATCATGTTAGTGTCGTATTTTGAGCTGGGGTTTTGAGACTCCCCTTAGAGATAGAGAAACAGACCCAAGAAATGTGCTCAATTGCAATGGGCCACATACCTAGATCTCCAGATGTCATTTCCCCTCTCTTATTTTAAGTTATGTTAAGATTACTAAAACAATAAAAGCTCCTAAAAAATCAAACTGTATTCTGGTGTTCTCTTCTACACAGTGGGAGGGCGAGCAGTAGGAGAGATTGGCCCATTTGGTGCTGGCCATTTGAGGAATGCAAGCCCAGCACTAGTCTCATAATCTCTAGGAATCTGTAGAGAGAGGAATTGAAGTAAATTTCAGCATTGGCTCATTCAGTCATTCGGCGACATTCATCAGGTACCTGCAATGTGTTAGGGGATCTTATGAGTAGGCAGCGTGCGTGATCCTTGCTCCCCTGGAGCTTTCTAACATTCTAGCAGGCAGACCACACATAAATTTGCAATACTGTTTCTGATAAAAACGTGCTGTAAAGGAAATAAAGCAGAGAACTATCATGGAAAATGACTTGGACCGGGTGCTCCTTCAGGTAGGTGGGAGATGTAACATTTGCCCTGTGGACTGAATGATGCAGTCTGTCCCTTGGTCAGCCCAGGGCAGATCATACATGGAATACATGTTACTATCACGGTAGCTCTGCCACCAACTTACTGACGTTCAGGGAGCTTGGGTGACTTGGTCATGTGATGAGGCACCGATAAAGGGGGAGAACTGGAACCTGGAGCTTCCTCCCTCATATCTGGATGTTTCACTATAGGGAGCTCCAAAGTTTAAAAAAAAAAATCAGCATCAAAGAGCCATGATGTATGAATCAGCTCAGGGCCCCGGGCGGGAGGACAGGGTAGGGCTGCATGCCCTGCTGGCTTCAGCAAAATTCATCAGCTGAGTTAACAGGGTCCCTCAGAATCCAGAACCCTTAAGGGTAGAGCTTCTATATCCTCCTTCTATCTGTCCTTCTCCCCACTTCAAATCAATTTTTTTAAAAAAAAAAAAACAAAAATTTTAACATTTAAAATAAATTGTATCATTACCTTAGATGAAAAATTAGTATCATTTACCATAGAGATAAACCTTAAAGGTAAATATGGTAAAAATGCACATACAATGAAAAAACAATGTTATGCAGTTATAAATGTGCCTTATGCTTCTTTTTTTTTAGACGGTGTCTCACTCTGTCACCAGGCTGGAGTGCAGTGGCGTGATCTTGGCTCACTGCAACCTCCGCCTCCTGGGTTCAAGCGATTCTCCTGCCTCAGGTGTGTGCCACCAGGCCCAGCTAAGATTTGTATTTTTAGTAGAGACGGGGTTTCACCATGTTGGCCAGGATGGTCTCGATCTCTTGACCTCATGATCTGCCCGCCTCGGCCTCTCAAAGTGCTGGGATTACAGGCATGAGCCACCCTGCCTGGCCTTGCCTCATGCTTCTTAAAGAATGCTGTTTCTTGTTTCAAGAAGAAATCTTAGAGATGTTCTCCTTGATAGAAAGACCAAAGGATAATTGAACTGTAATTAATTCAATCTTAATGCCAAATTCGTAACTCTCCTAAAATCATCTCCTAAACTGAAGTGGTGAGCATCCCTTCCTTTAGGCACTGACTCTTCATGGGAAGGTGTGGGTCCTTTGGAGATAATCCTGGCCCCCTGTACCTTTCATTGAGGAGGAGTTGGCCAGGCTCTTGATGAAATTGGAGGCACCCAGGTCAAAGGGGCCAGAGAATGGAAGCAGCCCTCCCTCCCACTCCTGCTGCAGAACTGGATGGAATCTCATTAGTCCAATGACCCAACACTCTGAACTTGTTTCCTCATCAGTAAAAATCCTGACGATAATGATCCTTGTCTCATAGGTTGTTGTGTCCCAGCATAGAGAAAGCCAATAAATAATCATTATAGTCACCATAATAATTATCATCATCATCATCAACTACCACTCCCAACTTAAATGTGAGGGGTCTGCTCTTTCCTCACTGCCTAGACGGGTACTTTATCCATGAGTCATAATGTTTCCTTCTTCCAGACCACACTCCCTCTGTGAAGGGACGCGGGGCTGTCTCACTCCTGTTAGGCTCTACTGGGCTGGTTGGGGTCTGCATTGGTTTTGGCTACAGGACTGCAATGGTTAAACACTTCCAGCTGGAAACAGAAAAACATAGGTACTCTAAAGATGCAAAGGAGTCCTGGACAGGGTGATAGGAATCTAATTTTCAGGACAGATGTGTGAACCTGGAAAAGTGCCTACCCCTCTAGGGGTTCAGTCTTCTCTTCTAAATCTTGGCAGATGGGGCGCTGGCTGAGATGGTCCTATCTTCAGAGACTTTGATCTCCCTTTCTCTCCTTCTGAATAGGCTGTCCTAGGGATGAGCAAACCTGGACTCTCCCAGGTCTTACAACCTGGTTTCCAGACGGCCCCCCAGAGCCAGCGGGACCCGGCTGCCTCCTGGCTGAGCCATTAGCTGGTGAAGCGGCTGAGGCGGGTTAGGGCTCCCCCTGCTGGGGCTGAGAAGAAAATCTCCTAGACCTGCGCAATGCATCTTAACCTCTAAGCTGTCATGACCCACAGAGGCCATCTAGTCCAGCCCTCTCATTTCCCAGATGGGGAAACAGGTTCAGAGGTTCAGAGACGCGGAAGATACTCCCTCAAGTAGGATTTCCAGATAAAAGACTCCTAGTTAAATTTGAATTTCAAATAAACAGCAAATCATTTTGTAGTACACATACGTCGCATGCAACATTTAGGACATACTTCTACTAAAAAATTATTTGTTGGAAATCTGAAATTTGAACTTAAGCAGTCATCCTATTTCTTTGCTAGATCTGCCAACCGTACCTCCAAGTCCACCCACTGAGTTAATGTCTGAGCTCAAACTGCATCCCGGACATAGGTCAGGGCTTCTCCATCATGCCTGACCAATATCTTTCGGTTGCAGCCCTGCCCAGTACTCCGCAGGGGCATAGGAAAGGCTTGTTGACATCCTTCTGGGAGACAGCAAGTGGAAGGACATCTGAATCCTCACTTTGATGATCACCAGGAGTGTTTCAGACAGGAGGTGGGTCCTCCTCTGCCCCAACCTCTGCTACCGTTAAAAACCCACCAGCAAGGTTTTAATGGCAGAGATTCCTAACATCCCTGCCCAGTCTGGTTTACTAGATTAGGGAGGGGCCTGGACATCTGTATTTTAAAAAAATTCCCCAGGGGATTCTCATGCATAGCAAAGACCCCCTGGATTAGCTATAAGGAAGAACTACTTGGATGAGAAGATTGAAAATGGCACTATCAGTAATTGTCAATATTCACTGTGTATAAAAACCACTGGCCAGGTGCAGTGGCTCATGCCTGTAATCCCTGAACTCTGGGAGGCTGAGGCAAGTGGATCACCTGAGGTCAGGAGTTTGAGACCAACCTGGCCAACATGGTGTAACCTCATCTCTACTAAAAATACAAAACATTAGCTGAGTGTGGTGGCACGTGCCTGTAATCCCAGCTACTCAGGAGGCTGAGGCAGGAGAATCTTTTGAACCCAGGAGGTGGAGGTTGTAGTGAGCCGAGATCACGCCACTGAACTCCAGCCTGGGCAACAAGAACAAAACTCTGTCTCAAAAAACAAAAACAAAAACAAAAACAAAAAACAAAAAAAAACTTTGTGGGTAAGGGAAGGGGAGTGAGGAAGGAATGTAAAATCTGCAAAAACGCATATTCCTAGCTTTACTTCCAGGAATTCTGAGTGAGTAGGTCCAGATTGGGACCTTTTGATAAGCACATGTATGTATTTGTAATGTGTTTTGTTTCTTAAAAAATGAAAATAAAACAGAAGCAAATATGGACAAATGGTAATGGTCTTAGAAGCAGATATTAAGTACATGAATGATCAGTATTCTATTCACCATAATTCAAATATTTCACTAAAAATACTTTTAAAACCTAGGTAGATTTTAGGGGATTGTAATTCAGATGGTCAGAAAGCCATACCTTAAGAAATACTGGCTTGGAGGTAAGAGAGTGAAGAGAGTCACCCACTGCCAAACACATATTAGGTGCCCCCCATACCCAAGAGCTGGGAGAGTTGAGGAAGTTTCTGGGAGGAGATGGGCAGGACCTGGTCTATAGGAGTGGGTAAGATTCAGAGAAGTAGAGGAAATTATGACCACCAGGAAGCAAGCAATCTGTGCAAACAGGAAAATAAGTGCCAGGAGACTCAGGTTGTATCTTGGTCACAGCTGGTGCCCTCCCTGTAAATGACCTCTGGAGTCTGCTATCACTATGCCCTCAGTCAGTACACTGCAGGCATAGTGGCCTCCTTTCTGTTCCTGAAACAGGCCAAAGTCTGTCCTGCCTCCAGGCCTTTGCACTCGCTGTCCCCTCTGGAACTGCACTGTTTCCCCAGCTTTAGTCCTGCCTTTTCTGCACCCTCTGCTTCTCAGTTCAGATGTCTCCTTCTCAGAAAGGCTTTGCTGCCTGCCCCTCTCACTCCCATCTCTCCTTCATACCAATGACCACAAGCTGTAATTATTATCTTGTTTATTTGCTTTTGTTCCCGAACAACTTTCACCCCCTCCCAGTCTGCCCCACCAAACTACAAAATGTAAGTTCCATGAGGACAGAGACCTGGTGTCTTCTGCTCATTGCTGTGTCTCCAGGTCTGAGCACTTGATACATACTAAATGCTGAGCAAGTTGTGTTAAGAAAATGAATTAACTAATGAGAGGTTGGCAAGTCCAGAGTAGAAAAAGCCTGGAACCTAGGGATAGGACAGATGGATACTGGAGTCTGAGAAACCAAAAAGCTTTCAGAAGAACCCTGATGGGGCACAAGAATGGGCATCAGTTTTCTGAATCCGAGAGCACATGGATTTCTGTTCTCATTAGATTGGAGGTCCCAGAGTTATTAGACTCCATACCTCCTTTTAATAATAAATGGAGACATAGATAATGCAGTAGACCTCAAGTCGTAGAGCCATTCGTTGTGATCCTTGATTCATGACTCACTGTCATTGGTTGGTCTTTGCATGACTCTCTTTTGCTTTTATCTATCAGTCGATCAATCAATCTATCTGCTACCTATTTATCTATCAATCATCTATTTACCTATCAATCATCTATATCTGTCATCTATCAATTGTCTATTTATTATCTATATATCTATCTATTTATCATCTAGCCATTATCCATCAACCTGTCTATCTATCTATCTATCTATCATCTATCATCTTTCAAATAATATATTGAACACCCATGAGCCTGCCTCCCCACATGAGAACTGGAACAGTGGCGACACCTATGTTCATTCTCTATCCTGTCCGCTCTGTGACCACTTTCCTGAATTTTGTGTTTATCTTTCCCTTATGGTTTTTTTTTTTTTTTTTTTTTTTACGGAGTTTCACTCTTGTTGCCCAGGCTGGAGTGCAATGACACAATCTCGGCTCTCCGTAACCTCCGCCTCCTGGATTCTCTTGCCTCAGCCTCCCAAGTAGCTGGGATTACAGGCACGTGCCACCATGCCTAGCTAATTTTGTATTTTTAGTAGAGACGGGGTTTCTCCATGTTGGTCAGGCTGGTCTCGAACTCCTGACCTCAGGTGATCCACCTGCCTTGGCCTCCCAAAGTGCTGGGATTACAGGCATGAGCCACTGCGCCTGACCTATCCTTCCCTTATGTTTAACAATTAATATAATTCCCACATTTTCTAGTGATTAGGAAAAAATAATAATAAATATCACAGCAACATAAGCAAAAACACACCCACACATGCACCTGTATATATCTAAGCAATATGTTGTATCATTTTAGGTAATTTTAAAATTTATAACAAATGCTGTGTTTTTACATTGATAAAACACTTATAAATAATGTCCTGAGCCCTGCCCTTTTCACTCAACATTGCATTATGAGTTCAGGCTTATCCATATTGCTGTGTATAGCATATTACATTCATCTGCACTGCTGTATAAGATTTTGTTCGTGTTTGTACCACAATTTATTTATTTTCCTATTTATGAGTGGTTGGGTTTTCTTCTGTCATGAATAACTGCTACACATGCATTTATGAGTTTCTCTGGGGCCTATCTGCTAGGTAAATATACATCTAGGAGCGGAAGGAATTGTGGGGTTGTAGGAGTATCAGTCAGGGTCTAATCAGAAAAAACAGAAACCACTCTATGGATTTTCAGATACTTTTAATTTTGAAATAGTAACAGATTCACGAGAAGTTGCAAAAATAGTACAGAAAAGTACATGTACCTTTCCCCCATTTTCTCCTGATAATAATGTCTTAGATAGCTATAATACAGTATCAAAACCAGGTCACTGGTATTGGCACAATCCACAGACCTTATTCAGATTTCACCAGGGTTACATGCATTTGTTTGAGTATGTACATAGTTCTATGCACACATAAAACTTTATTACACGTAGATTTGTATAACCACCACCACAATCAAGATACAGAACTGTCCCGTCACCACAAAGATCCCTCTGGCTGCTTCTTTTTAGGTACACTGATTTCTTTCTCCAACCCCAACCCTGTCTTTAACCCTTGGCAACCACTAATCTGTTCTTCACCTCAATAATTTTGTCATTTCTAGAAGGTTATGTAAGTGGAATCATATAGTATGTAACAATGTGAGACTGGCTTTTTTAGTTGGTAAAATTCTCTTGTGGTCCGACAAAGTTGTTGCATGTATCAATAGTTTTTTCCTTTTTATTGCTGAGTAGTATGGTAATCAATAGCTGAGAAGCCTCACAGGAGGCAATGAGGCAATCCATAAATTAATAATAGCAGGAAGCTGTTACTACCCCTCCCCAGGACTAGAGAAACAAAAGGTTAGTGTCACCAGAGCCCAGGGCCAGGGTCACCTGGTAGAAGTTAGAATCATGGCTGGCTTTCCTGTGGGAACTGGACCCATCGGAGAGCTGTGGCCACCACAGGGGATGTTACCTGAGAGGAGAAGGGGAGGGTGCTGGTGAGAAACACCTTGGCTTCTCCCTTCTTTCCACCTTCCATTCTCTCTCTTTTATTAACTGAGCCCAACTGGAAGCAAGATGACATGGCTGCCGAGATCCTGCTGGAAAACTGAGGACATAAGGGCATAGCAAAGAGTGGATCTGAGGGCAAACAGACTCAGGACCTGCACAGCAGCCTATGTGAGTGTTTGATTTTGCAAGATAATGCCACACTTTTTCTAAGTGAGTGTCCTATGTCCTAATGCGTACCCTTATAAGCGATATGTAAGAGATCCCATGGATCTGTATGTTCTCCAATACTTGGATTGTCTAGCTATTAACATTTTGCCATTTTAGTGGACATAAAAGCTTATCTTATTGGGTCTTGATTTACATTTCACATGAGTTTGAACATCTCCATATGTTTGCTGGCCATGAGCATTTCTTCTTTTATAAAATGCTTTTTCTTTTGTCCATTTCTTTCTGTTGTTTTTCTTCTTTCTTGTTGATTTATAAGACTTCTTTATATATTCTTGGTAATAAACCTTTGCCAGTTGTAAATGTTGCAAATATCTCCTCCAGGTGTGCAGATTGTCTTTCCACTTTAAGTGAATACAAATATTTCATACTACTCTGCAATAAAATTCATAGACAAGATAAATTAAATTTAACAAATCAATATGATACCTTAACTGTAAAATGAAAGGAGAAATGCAAGTAGTTATCATAAAACATAACTTCGGCCGGGGGTGGTGGCTCACACTTGTGATCCCAGCACTTTGGGAGGCTGAAGCAGGCGGATCACCCGAGGTCAGGGGTTTGAGACAATCCTGGCCAAC
The DNA here is from genome assembly GCF_000001405.40 of Homo sapiens. Classification (NCBI taxonomy): domain Eukaryota; kingdom Metazoa; phylum Chordata; class Mammalia; order Primates; family Hominidae; genus Homo; species Homo sapiens. Next base: position 151,653,827 of record NC_000005.10, on the reverse strand, counting down.
ATGGTGAAACCCCATCTCTACTAAAAATACAAAAAATTAGCCGGGTGTGATGGCAGGGGCCTGTAATCCCAGCTACTCGGGACGCCAAGGCAGGAGAATTGCTTGAAACCAGGAGGCAGAGGTTGCAGTGAGCCAAGATTGTGCCACTGCACTTCAGCCTGGGTGACAGAGCAAGACTCCATCTAAAAATAAAAATAAAAATAAAACAAAACTTTTCAGTATGTAAATGCTGAGGCATGACTTCTTTAGAAGATATAATGAAATTGTCAGATGTGTATGCCTACTTAGAAGAATAAAGTTTAGATTTAAGAGAATAGATGGAGCAGAAGTCATACCCATCTAGGAAGTACAGACAAAAAAAGATCAGAGGTATGGATTAAGGTAAAGAACAGACCCGACTTATTCATGTATACTAACAGAGGAAGGGTAATAAGGTTAACTGAGAAGGGAATGGCATACCAAAAGAAATTACAAAGTGTGGAAGAAGGGAAGATGAGGAGAGGTGTGAGCATTGCAAATGAGTTGGGCCTTGTGTATAAGCATAGGGTCAAAATCTTGAGCTTTAGTGACACTTGAGGACTTGGAGCCACTCATACTGTCGTGGAGGCCCATAGCAACTCCCCACATGTCCAAGATACACTTGGCCTCTGATTCTTCAAAACACTTGGAGACCATATCCTTTAGGAGGTGATGGGGACCACAAGATGATTGAGGGAAAAAAGAAAAAGAAAAATTACACTATAAGGGGCATAGAGAATTTATGTGGTAGATATCTGGGGACAGTATCAGTCAGGCTGAAAAAAAACAGGCAACCAAAAGATACATAAATAAGAACATAATTTTTCACAATATAGCTTTCTTATTGTGCTACCAAAAATTTAAAAACATAAAACATGGCAATAATATATATTTTAAACAGCCTTCATAAATGAAATAAAGTGTCTGTATTTCATATATCTTTGTGCTAATTTAGTAATATTTAGTTCTCCATCTGTTAAACAGAAGTCTCAGAGCTCCTTGGTTACATACTCGCAAAGAGTTATGGCTACAAATGCAGATGGACACAAGTGGGTTGAAAAGGTGATTCCCACACAAGTGGCACTGGTGACATGATTTTGTGAGATGGTGAACAACTCTTGCTCTGGACCAAGCTAAGTTCAAGCATCCCTTGATTTACAGGGTCTTTGCAATTCAATATATCTTAAATGCAAAACAACAACAAAAACAAGCCAGGTGTGGTGGCACCAGCCTGTAGTCCCAGGTGCATGGGAGGCTGAGGTGGGTGGATCTCTTGGGCCTGGGAGTTGGAGGCTGCTGTGAGGTATTATCATGCCACTGCACTCCAGCCTGGGCAACAGAGACCATCTCTAAACACAGCAAAACAACACAAAACAGCACAAACCCAAACCACTTTGTTGATGTTTGTAAAGGGGAGTTCGTTCCAAGCTCAGATCATCTGTTTATTGGAAAGCCATGCAGGAGGTGAGACAATTCTTCACTGTGCACAACTGTCTCACCCACTGCAGGATGTCGAGCTTCTCCAGCTCCTGCCCCACCAACGGCCAGTTAGAACACTTTACTGGAAGCTTACCGAGCGCTACTGGCAGAGACCAGCAGGGGGAAGCCTGGCTCAAGGAATGAAAACTCCTGAGCCCCATGCTCCCAAGCCTGGAGGAGCAGCAGCATCAGCTAAAAGGTTCTCAGGACATTGAAGGAGTGAGCTTCACTTCACCACCCACACCCACGCTACCACTATGCAGGTGGGGAAACTGAGTCTCAGAAAAGAGAAGGAATTTGTCATTTGCTTATTATCTACTTTTAGTGGTGCAGCCAGAAAAGGAATCCAATAGGCAGAAGCCCAAAAACCTAGAATGTCATCATCCCTGAGCACTGACAGTTTCATACCCCCAGTTCTCAGCCATTGGACAGATGGAAAGGAGGCAGAGCCCTCTCTGCCCTAAGTCTGGTTGTTGAGCTTAGAAGAGAAGGCAGTGCGCAAAAGTCAAAAGAGACAAGTCAGGAGACCTGGTCTGGTTCCAGTCCCAAAAGTAACTGGATGACTACATGATCCCAGCTGAGCAAATTCCATCTCAATTTTCTTTTTGCAATGAAAGTAATACACATGTGATAAAAATCTACCAAACAAAAACTTCAAACTGTGCATAAGGGTGTAAAATGAAGTAAATTAACTATGAATATTTCTTGCATATCTTTCTGGAAATATACATATTAAACTATAAAAATAAAATAATACATAAGCATATACACATTTTTTTGTTGGATCAGTGGGATAACACAATATATTTGATGTGCTTTTATTTATTTGTTTGTTTTTTTTTTTTTTGAGACATGGTTTCACTCTGTCACCCAGGCTGGAGTGCAGTAGTGCAAACACGGGCTCACTGAATCCTCGACCTCCTGGGCTCAAGTGATCCTCCTGGCTCAGCCTCCTGAGTAGCTGAGACTACAGGTTGTGTGCCACCACACCCAACTAATTTTTTTTTTGTAGAGATGGGATCTCACTATGTTGCCCACTCTGGTCTTGAACTCCTAGGGGCAAGGAATCCACCCGCCTTGGCCCCACAAAATGCTGTGATTACAGGAGTGAGCTACCTTTCCCAGCCATGCTTTGTTTTTAATTTTAAATATCACTCATAGGCTGGGCACGGTAGCTCACGCATGTAATCCCAGCATGTTGGGAGGCCAAGGTGGGCGGATCACTTGAGGTCAGGAGTTGAAGACTGGCCTGGCCAATATGGTGAAACCCCTATCTCCACTAAAAATACAAAAATTAGTCTGGGCATGGTAGCTCACACCTGTAATCCTGGCACTTTGGGAGGCCAAGTGGGGGTGGATCACCTGAGTTCAGGAGTTGGAGACCAGCCTGGCCAACATGGTGAAACCCTGTCTCTACTAAAAATACAAAAAATTAGCTGAGCGTGATGGCAGGTGCCTATAATCCCAGCTACTCAGGAGGCTGAGGCAGAAGAATCGCTTGAACCAGGGAGGGGGAGGTTGCAGTGAGCTGAGACTGTGCCATTGCACTCCAGCCTGGGCAACAAGAGCAAAACTCCATCTCAAAAAAAAAAAAATACAAAAATTAGCTGGGCATGGTGGCAGCCACCTGTAATCCCAACCACTTGGGAGGCTGAGGCAGGAGAATCGCTTGAACCTGGGAGGCGGAGGTTGCAGTGAGCCAAGATCATGCCACTGCACTCCAGCCTGGGCGATAGAGCGAGACTCCATCTCAATCAATCAATCAATCAATATCACTCATAATTTTTCCATAGTAATGAGATATATTTGCCTCCTTCCTTCTGGTGGCTGCATGGTATTTTGTAATACCAATGTAGCAGTTTAATGCTGCACTTACTGCTAAGCACACCCTTTACTGTCTCTTGAGGTGTCTTGCACTGACAAAGCACACTACAGAGGACAACTTGGTACATACATCTCTGTACACATGTACAAGGGTTTCTGTGGGATGAAGTTCCAGAAGTGGAATTGCTGGGCCAAAGAATGTATGTGTGTCTAAAACATTGACAAATGTTGCCAAAATTTCCTTCAAAATGCATCACTTTTAACTTCCTCTGGCACAGGAGAAGGCCATCTCATCTTCTGGTCAGCATTGGGAAGTACTCATCTTGGGGGCCTTGGTCTTTTCATCCATGAAATAAGAGGCTTCGCTGGGCACAGTGGCTCATGTCTGTTATTCCAGAACTTTGGGAGGCCGAGGTGGGAGGATTGCTTGAGCCCAGGAGTTTGAGACCAACCTGGGCAATATACTGAGATACTGTCTGTACAAAAAATTTAAAAAAAATTAACTGAGCATGGTGGCATGCACCTGAAGTCCCAGCTACGTGGGAGGCTGAGCTGGGAGGATTGCTTGCACCTCACAGGAGGAGGCTGCAGTGAGCCAAGATTGTGCCACTGCAGTCCAGCTTGGGCAACAGAGGGAGGCCCTGTCTCAAATAAATAAATAAATAAATAAAAAGAAATAAGAGGGTTAGATTGGATGATGCTGAAGCTTCCTTGCATCTGTAACTTTACATCTGCAACTCTTTCCACTAAGTTGTCCAGCTTGAGGAGTAGAATGGGGCCATGAACTTAAGCAGTTCATTTCTTCTCTTCTCCCCTTCCTTCCCTTCCACGTTCTTCTTTCTCCCTGTCTAGTCCTAGGAGAGTGGAAAAGGCATGAGGCCACCCTCCTCAGGCCAGGAAACCTAGTTCCAGAGGCGGCCCTGGATCCAAACCAGTGTGGGAACCTACCTAAGTCCTTCCCTCCCACCCTATCTGTTTTCCCACCTGGTTTAGCAACTGCCTTCCCTCCTAGGGCTCCAACTTCATAAGATGTTGAGATAACATCTTATGAAGTCTTTTGCCAAAAACATGCCTTTTTCTGCCCCTGGAAGGAATTAGTTTCACTTGTTCTGAAGAAGAGTCTCTGCAGGTACTTGTTACTCCTGCCAAGAGACCTGAGAGGCCCCAAATTCCTCAGCACCCGGATCCCAGATTCGCTTAATCTGACGCTGCTCGCTTCCAAGGGGCGCTGAGATGATGGAGTTACAAGCTGCTTAAAGGCTTACAGAGTGTCAGCTTGAAGGGAGGAGAGAGTGAGTGAGCGTCTGCCTCCACTTGGCTTGGCCTCTCGGATGAAAGAGCTTGGGAGAAGGGAGTGTTTACAGAGATCAATAAAGACACCCTGGAGGGGCCAGCACTCCCATTGGGCTTCTCCAAGAAGATTTAGGATTGACATCATTAAAGCCCCTAGGGAAGACTCTTCCCAACCCAAAGTCTCTTAACACTAGATTCTCAGATCCTGAAAGCACATAGGGCTTGGGAAGAACTATAGGGACTGCTCCACCTTGCACAGCTCTGGAGGTCTTCATTTACATTGATTACAAAGTGAATGGTGTGCCAAAGAGGCACAAAGTGGGCCAGGTCCAGGGGCTCACGCCTGTAATCTCGCACTTTGGGAGGCTGAGGTGGGCGGATCACCTGACGTCAGGAGTTTGAGACCAGCCAACATGGGGAAACCCTGTCTCTACTAAAAATACAAAAATTAGCTGGGTGTGGTGGCACACACTTGTAATCCCAGCTACTCGGGAGCCTGAGGGAGGAGAATTGCTTGAACCTGGGGGGCGGAGGTTGCAGTGAGCTGAGATCTCACCACTTCCCACCAGCCTGGGTGAAAGAGAAAAACTCCATCTCAAAAAAAAAAAAAGAGGTACAAAGTGGTGCTGGTGACAATATTACAGCAGCTAGCATGATCATTTAAAAAGGTACAATTAACAAAAACAAAACAAAAACCACCAATGACTTTTTGTTACACTCAAAACAAAATCCCTAAAGCTTTTCATGATTCAACCCTATTTTTCTCTTGAATCTCATATCCTGCAGTAGCTAAGTTCCAGACACATTGACCTTATTTCTGGTCTTCAAATGTACCCAGTGGCCTAGCTGGTTCCTGCCTCAGGGCCTTTGCGCAAGCTGCCTTTAGCTCTTCCCAAAGCTGGCTTCTTCTTGTTAGGAAGTGTTCTCCTAAAACACCACTTTCTCAGGGAGGGAGCCTCTAACCAGTCAGTCTAGAATGGTCAGTCGGTGTCTCCAAGGTTGCTCTGTAAAATGGGAGTGGTAATCCTCATCTTACCTTCCTCCCTGGGCTCTTTGTATTCATTCCCACCTTATAGCTTAAGTTCCATCTGCAAGGAACTTGTGCACCCCCCTTTTCTCTTTTTTTTTTTTTTTTTTGAGACGGAGTTTCATTCATGTTGTGGTCCAGGCTGGAGTGCAGTGGCACCATCTCGGCTCACTGCAACCACTGCCTCCCAGGTTTAAGTCATTCTCCTACCTCAGCTTTTCGAGTAGCTGGGATTACAGGCGCCCCCCGACCACCCCCAGCTAATTTTTGCATTTTTAGTAGAGATGGGATTTCAACATGTTGGCCAAGCTGATCTCAAACTCCTGACCTCAGGTGATCCGCCCACCTTGGCCTCCCAAAGTGCTGGGATTACAGGCCTGAGTCACTGCTCCAGGCCATTGTGCACCTTTTGAATACATTGTTCGTTTCCGTAGCACATTATTTCCAAACCACTTACTTCACTCATGCTTGTATCCACAGAACCTGCACCATGCCGAGCACTTCAGAGATACTCAAAAATATTTGTTGAACACTGAATCAAGTCAGGGCAGTCTGGACACCCTGCAAACTGTGAAGTGCCCTACCTCCATGATAGCCACCACAAATAGCAGAGAAACAGAGTGAGTCAGGAGGAACCTCATGTCTCCTAGCTTCATGGGTAGTTCTTAAAAAATAGAGAACTGCCTCATAAATTGTGAGCCCGGTGGCAATAACTCAATGAAACCCCATCACACAACAAAACTGAGGTTCTCCCAAAAGGGAAGATGACATGGCACATGAGTCATTGAGTTGATTAAGAAGTCAGTTCTCACCCCTGCTAGGCCAGTGCACCCCAGTGTCTGCTGAATAGAAAATGAATAGAGGGCCAGGCACTAAACGCCTATAATCCCAGCACTTTAGGAGTCCAGGGCGGGCAGATTGCTTGAGCCTAGGAGTTTGAGACCAGCCTGGGCAACCTAGTGAGAGCCCATCTCTTAAAAAAAAATATAGCCAAGCTTGGTGGCACACTCCTATTGTCCCAGCTACTCTGGAGGCAGAGGTGGGAGGATTGCTTGAGCCAGGGAGACAGAGGTTGCAGTGAGCTGTGATGGTACCACTGCACTCCAGCCTAAGCGACAGAGGGAAATCCTGACTCAAAAAAAAGAAGGAAGAAAAAAAAGAAAGAAAGAAAGAAAAAGAAAAGAAAATCTTACATACCTTAGGTGACAATGTATAGAAAAACTTAAGATTTACTGTAAGAGCAGAGGAGATAACCTACTTCCATCTGTCCCTCAGAAGCTGCCACATGCCTGTAATTTCCAGCCATTATCCTCTCATGAGTCCTGGGTGTGCTGTCCACAGAGGACCCCTATGAAAAAGAACTTTAGCAACATCTCATGCCTTAGAAGAGGTTGTTTCTCCAATAAGCCATCTGAAAAAGTAAAGAATGGGGTCCTGAAGGGGAAGGGAGTTCCAGGCGATGGTGGTGTTTGTTATATAGGGGGAAGTTTAGGGGTCTGGGCTCGTGGGTAAGAGAGTGGGAAGGAGGTGTGGTATCCATGCCAACCTCTGCCAATCTCATTTTGCCCCAGGCCACCCTCACACTTGAACCACAGAGAACTGTTCAAATGCCAACTAACAAACACAAGCAGCAACAGAGAGCTGTGTGTGCTGGGGATAACCAGTCCCACGGGTTTGGGTGTAGCGGTGGTTTGGGTGTAGCGGGAAGCAATGCTTGGGTTCTGGAACAGATGGCTTTTAGGAAGCTGAGGAGGAGAGAGAGGGCTACCCCCTACCTCCCTGTGCCACCCTGCCCACCACCCCTGCAACCAGGGCTTGTTAGCCACAGGAATACTTGGCATCAGAGGCACCTCCTGGGGGACTAGACTACACAATGTGAGCCACCGTCCTTTCATCTTGCCTGCCTGAAGGGTGGGGTGGGGTGGACCCAGGGGGCTGCCTCTAGTGCTTGGACAGCTGGGATGGGCAGAAAATGAGCAAGTTCAGCAAGGCTCTGATATTCTAGCTAACACACTCAGAGCTGTCCACACCCTGCTCCCTGCGGTCAACAACTGAAAATACCTACAAGAAACCCAATGCAACAAATAATGGCACCAGTAGAATGGGACCAGATAGTCCCTGGTTCTGTTGGAAAGGTTTGTTCCATTCATCCTCTGCTGCTTCAGGGATGGAAATGAAGCCCAAGAACGTTGCCGGAGCTTAGTTTGAAGGGTGCTGAATAGGCCTCCAAAGTGCATGTAATTTTGCCTTCCTCTCTCCTTAGTCAAAGCCTATCTGCTTGTAAAGGCTCAGCTAAAGTCCTTTCCGGTCCACAGCAAATTTCTGCCCTCTGAGCTCCGGTGGCTGTTTTCTTCACCTGCGTGTTACATAGGCCACCCTGTGTCACCATTGATTATGACATGTCTCCCCAACTCATCCTCAAGCTCCTTGAAGTCGGGGGGATCACGGTGCCTTCTTTTATACCCTGGCACAGTGCTGAGCACACAGTAGGAGGCCCTGATCCAAGTCTGGAGCTGGATGGAAACTAAGTCACTGTAATTGTTCACTCCATTCTTGTTATAGATGAAGAATCCAAGACCCAGAGAGCACCAGGGGCTTGCACAAGGGAGAGCTCACCAGGGCTGGAGGTATTTGTTGAACAAAGATTGAAGGATAATGGCATTCCAGCGTGGTATGTCCACACTGGCAGGAATGGACACAGGAATTTCAACTGATGAGCCTGATATGTCCTTAAACTTTCAGATAATTTGCTTTTTAAGAAATTAGCTGGCTAAGTGCGGTGGCTCATGCCTGTAATCCCAGCACTTTGGGGAGGTTGAGGCAGGTGGATCACCTGAGTTTGGGAGTTCGAGACCAGCCTGACCAACATGGAGAAACCCCTTCTCTACTAAAAATACAAAATTAGCCGGGCGTGGTGGTGCATGCCTGTAATCCCAGCTACTCGGAAGGCTGAGGCAGGAGAATCGCTTGAACCCAGGAGGCAGAGGTTGCAGTGAGCCAAATGGTGCCATTGCACTCCAGCCTGGGCAACAAGAGTGAAACTCCATCTCAAAAAAAGAAAAAAAAAAGAGAAAGGAATCAAATCCTGTTTTAGCTGTTGGGGGTATTGTGGTTAAAGTAATTATATAGCACATCTTTTCTTAAAAGTGAATGATCAGTCAGGATTCTCTGGTTGTGAGCATCAGAAATTGACTTCAAGTCATTTAGCAGAAAAAATAATTACTGAAAGGATGTGGGCTTGCTTGCAAAATGGAAGGAAGAATTGAGACACCAGGCTTGGAAATGGCTAGGAGCTGGGCAACTCTGGAGATCCAGGTAGAGGAACCCCTCAATAGAGTCAACAAAGACACAGGTGGGATCAACTTCAGTCATCTTCTCCCTTTGTACCTTTGTAAGGTTCAAAGTCCTTAGATAGAAAGGCCCAGCTTGGGTCATGGACCCACCTCTTGACCAGAACTGGCAACATACCTTGACTGACAATTCTACCAAGATCACAGGCACTGGGAAGATAGGCAGTTCATCAAAAGGAAATCAAGGTGCTATTACCAGAGTGGGGGGAAGGTGGGGAACAATACACACCTGCTGGTCCCACACTTTAGTTTATTGGTTTAGAACAGGGATTAAAAAATTGCAGCCTATTGCCTATTTTTACAAATTTTTGCAAAAGTTTTATTGGAATACTGCTACATCCATTTGGTTGCTTTCACACTACAATGGCAGAGTTGAGAAGCTACGACAGAGACTATGGTGGGCAAAGCCTTTAGGAACAGAGAGTAAATATCTAATATTTTAGGGAAAAGTTTGCTGACTCCTGGTTTAGAATGCTGTGCCACCTCCATTAGTCCCCCATGGCCTGATCTTGAATAAGTCTCTTTATTCATTTTTTAATTTTAATTTTATTCACATCCATGCATGCCTAGATGGGGTCTTTATTCAGAAGATTTTATTTACTCATTTGTAAAATGGTGAGTTTGAGCTGTGCATTCTTCCCAGCTTTCCAGCTAACTTAATTTAGCCCAATTGTTCTATAATTAAGCTAGTACAAGTAGTTTTTTATAAAATAGGCTTTATACCCATTAGGATAGCTATTATTGGGTGGCAGGAAAGAAAGTAACAAGTATTAACAAGGATGTGAAAACATTGGACCCTCTGTGCATTGTTAATAGGAATGTAAAATGATGCAGCCACTATGAAAAACAGCATGGCAGTTCCTCAAAAAATTTAACATGGAATTACCATATGATCCTGCAATTCCACTTCTGGGTGCATACACATCTGAAAGAGATATTCGTACACTCATGTTCATAGGATCACTATTTACAATAGCCAAAATGTGGAAGCAACCTGTCTCTATTGGCAGGTGAATGGATAAATGAAATGTGTTACACGTATACAGTGGAATATTATTCTGCTCTAAAAAGGAAGAAAATTCTGACACATGCTACCATGTGGATGGACCTTGAAGACATTAGGCTAAGTGAAAGAAGTCAGTCACAAAAAGACAAATACTGTATGACTCCGCTTCTATGAGGTGCCTAGAGAAGTTGAATTCACGGATATAGAAAGAAGAATGGTTGTTACCACGGGCTAGGAAGAGGGGGCAAGAGAGTTGCTTAATGGGTATAGAGTTTCAGTTCCGCAAAGCGACAAAGTTCTAGACATCTGTTTTACAACAACTATTCAACCGAAATAATTTTTAATTGTGGCAAAATATACAAAAACTGCTATGTATATTTTACCACAATTTAAAAAAAGTTTTAAGTCTCTTTTTTAAGAGATGAAGTCTTGCTATGTTGCCCAGGCTAGAGTCCAGTGGCTATTCACAGGCATGATCATAACATACTACATTCTTGAACTCCTGGGCTCAAGCAATCCTCCTGCCTCAGCCTCCCAAGTAGCTGGAACTACAGGCATGCACCCCTTTGTCTAGCTTGGAAAAGCCTTTAAAGCTATTATATAAATTATCAAATTACGGAAGCTCCATGAGGTCAGGGAGTTTTGTCTGTTTGTGCACTGCTGTATTTCCAGCCCCTAGACTGGTGCCTGGCAATGGAGTAGGTGCTCATTACATTTAAGTAGTAAGTGAATCCTGGCCACTTTGCAATGATGTTTCACAACTCTTGTAAGTGTGAGGGTGACATCGTACCCACTGTTTGAAGGTCAAGCCAAACCCCAGAGGGACCTTATGGGATTTGCCTGTTCCACTATTTCCTGCCACCGGCTGAAGTGCCCCAGCTCATGCCAGGGCAGAGGAGCCAACAATGCATAGGCTGTGACAACTGAGAACAAATCAACACCAGACCTCACTGGCATTCTTATAGATAACAAATAAATAGCCATGTCATAAAACACTCTTAGTTAATGATATAATTTGGCTGTGTGTCCCCACCCAAATCTCATGTCAAATTGTAATCCCCAGTGTTGAAAGAGGGGCCTGGTAGGAAATGATTGAATCGTGGGGCCAGCCTTTGCCCTTGCTGTTCTTGTGATAGAGATCTGGTTGTTTGAAAGTGTGCAGCACCTACCCCTTTGCCCTCTCTTTCTCCTGCTAGCCATGTGAATAGGTGTCTGCTTCTCCTCTGCCTTCTGTCATGATTGTAAGTTTCCTGAGGCCTCCCCAGAAGCAGAAGCCTGTACAACCCATAAAAATGTGAGCCAATTAAATCTTTTTTCTTTATAAATTACCCAGTCTCAGGTATGTCTTTATAGCAGTGTGAAAATGGACTAATACAGTTAATTTGCTCTGTCAGACACAAATACATCAAATGAGATCTGAAATTAAGACAAAAACTAACAAACAAACAAACAAACAAAAAACTATGTTCAAGAGAAACAATTCTTTTTTTTTTTTTTTTCTGAGACAGAGTCTCACTCTGTTGGCCAGGCTAGAGTGCAGTGGCCTGATCTCTGCTCACTGCAAACTCCGCCACCCAGGTTCAAGCAATTCTCCTGTCTCAGCCTCCTGAGTAGCTGGGATTACAGGCGTGTGCCACCACACCCGGCTAATTTTTTGCATTTTTAGTAGAGATGGGGTTTCACCGTGTTGGCCAGACTGGTCTGGAACTCCTGATCTCAAGTGATCTGCCCGCCCAAAGTGCTGGGATTACAGGCATAAGCCACTACACCCAGTCACAATACTTCTTGTTTCTGCTATAATAACTCTGTTTTGTCCATTTCCTTCTCTTTTACAAGACACTCAAATCTGGAGTGAGGGGAGCTGTGATTTTCCTTTGTCCTTTTTTCTGCATTCTTGCATAATAGTGGGAGCTCCTCAAATGACAGTATATTAGAGCTAGAAGAGCTCTTTTTTCAAACTTTCACTCTGGGAAGTTTCAAACATATGCAAAGGTAGACAAGATGGCATAAGGAATCCACATGCCCAGCTCCTAGCTTCAGCAGTGATCGATTCACATCAAATTTTGTTTCATCTTTGCTCATCCCCCTCCAATCCTTTTTATTCTTCTGATTCAGAAACACAAGTAGACCTCCTATCTTTTTTAAAAAAAATAGTTAATGTAAACTTTTTAATTGAAGAAAAATATGCATACAGAAAAATGCACAAATCATAAGTGTACAACTCAATGAATTTTCACAAACTGAGCACATCAGTGTAACACACACCCAGTTTAAGAAACACAACATAACCAGCTCTCCAGAACTCCTCTCAGGTCTCCTGGAAGGGCTCTTACTAATTAATTTCTGGTCCAATATTTTCATTTTGCAGTGGAGAAAACTAAGGCCCAATGGGGAAATAACTGTCCCACGAGGACAAAGTTCAAGGCCCTACTACTACTTTAGAAGCAGACCTGGAAGTGCAATGACTCCCCCACGGAACATATCCTTCTGAAAGGCACTTGAAGTCAAGGTACGAGCTAGCCCTGTCACTTGCTGGGATGGTTCCTCCAACCTGGCCATTCCCAAGGTTCTGTATGGACCTCGCCCTTGAGCACACACTCCTGAGAAGCCTCACATGATTGTGCTAGAAGGGCCCTTAGAGATCTGATCATCTTATGGTTTAAAAAAAAAAAAACAGAAAAAGAAAAAAACCCATAAAACATTATTCTTAAAATTCCCTAAATTAGTAGTTTGTTATTGCAAAAAAAATGCTAAAAATAGGGAAACATACTAAGTAAATGTAGAGTATTCCCTTGGCTGGATTTGACTTAATCAAGGATACAAGTGGCTACATGGTAGATGGGCTTTACCTGTGTGTATGTGTGTAGGAGTGTGTGTATTTTTTTTTTTTAAACAGCTGGAAGACAGAGCTGTTTCATTTCCTATTCTCATCCTTGGCTTTCTCTCATAGTCACTGTTTTGCTGCCAAAGGCTGCAGGAAAAGGAAACAGGAAAGGGGTAGGGTGATTGCCCCTGGTTATGTACCACAAGAGCCCAGCCTTCTTGTTAACTTTCGGTGTGGTGCCTTGGTATGTGATAGAAACACAGAGCAACAAGTGTATTCTCAGAAGGTTAGAGGGGGATGCAACCTTGGTGTTCAACCAAGCAATCCTTTGTGTGGATGAAGATGGGGAAAACCAAGGCAGCTATGGAATTTCCTGGATCTCTCCCACAAGAGCTCAGATTAAACCCAAGTGTCCTTTCCCCCAGTGCTGTGCTCTTTGTACCATCCTCCCCTAGACTACTTGAGTTCCAGGTTAATCCCAATTTTTCTACTTATATCTGTTGTTTCTTAAACATAGCTGTGTGTTTGTTTTGTTATAGGTGTCAATTTGGAGTTTTTGAAATGGGCTCATTGTGGCAATAACTTAGAGAACCTGCCCTTGAGGAGCTAAGTCTGGCTAAGACAATCATGACTAGTAAGCATGTGCAGTAGTCAGAATTTGTTGGGTTGCAAGTGACAGAAAGTGAAATCAAATTAACTTAAGCACAAAGGGAATTCATTGGCTCATGTAATCAACAACTTGCAACTCCCAGCATGGCTGGATCAAGGGTCCTATCATTTCCATCTCTTAGCTCTGTTCGCTCTACATGTTTGCCTGTCTCCTGCTGCTTCTGAGCTCCTCCACATGGATGAGTGTGATGAGCTGAATGATGGCCCCCAAAGATGTCCATGTCCTGATCCCCAACCTGTGAATATGTTACCTTATGAGGCAAAAGTGATTCTGCATATGTGACCAAGTTAAGTATGAAATGAGATGATAAAATTATCTATGGGTGGGCCCAAAGTAATCACCAGGGTCCTTATAAGAGGTGGGTAGAGGGTCAGAGTAGAAGGAGATGTGATGATAGAAGCAGATGTGAGGGCTGGGCGCAGTGGCTCACACTTGTAATCCCAGCACTTTGGGAGGCCGAGGCAGGCGGATCACCTGAGGTCAGGAGTTTGAGACCAGCCTGGCCAACATGGCAAAGCCCTTTCTCTACTAAAAATATGAGAAATTAGCCAGGGGTGGTGGCAGGTGCCTGAAATCCAGTTACTAGGGAGGCTGAGGCAGGAGAATCGCTTGAACCCAGGAAGCGGAGGTTGCAGTGAGCCAAGATTGTGCCACTGCACTCCAGCCTGGGCAACAAGAGCGAAATGCCGTCTCAAAAAAAAAAAAAAAGAAGCAGAGGTGAGAAAGAGAGAGGGAGAGAGATGGAGTGGAGACAGAAGCCATGAGCTGAAGATTGTAGGGAGCCCAGAAGCTGAAAAAAAAATCAAGAAAATAGATTCTCCCCTAGAGCTTCCAGAAGGAACATAACCCTGCCAACACCTCTTTTTTTTTTTTTTTTTTAGGACTTCTACCTCCAGAACTATAAGACGATATATTTATGTTGTTTAAATCCACTGAATTTGTGGTCACTCGATACTGCAGCAATAGGAAACTAATATAAGGGCCTTACCGCTCCAGGTTTACATCTTCTCATTTACTAATCTAGTAGTCCGTGGGGGTGGAGGATGTTTCTTTCTCTCTAAGTCCCCACAGGATTCCCAGAGAAAGATTCTCTTTGGCCACAGCTGGTCCAAGGAACTGTCTCTTGTGGTACAGATCACTGGTGCCAAAATGGGAGGAAGAGAGCCAGCCCAGCCCAGGTTACATACCTGCAGTGGTGGTTTGGGTGGAGACAATGCGATGATGGGCCCCTCAGAATCAGTTGGAATGAGGAGGAGAAGGCCTGCTGGACAAATGGAAACAGCCCATATGCCCCGCAGTGGCAATATTCCAAGAGCAATGTAAGGAGCTCAAACCAAGGGCTGCATTAGGAGGTGCTGATGGCAGGAGAGAGGTGTGCAAACCAGAGGAGAAGTTGGCAGAATCGCTTAAAAGTTCTAGGTCCTTCAGAACCATGTGAGAATTTCTATTGCGACATTGCAGAGTTGTCAGTGTGCATACTGCTGGAGAAGACTTGATGGGGTGTGCGTGTGTGTGCATGTGTGGGTGGGTGTGCACAGGAGGTAGCAGAGTGCAGTGGTGAAGCTCAGGAATTATATTTTTATTTTTAGAGACAGAGTCTTACTCTGTTGCCCAGGCTGGAACGCAGTGGCTTTTCACAGGTAGTCAAAGCTCACTATAGTCTTGAACTCCTGGGGTCAAGGGATCCTCTCTCCTTAGCATTCTGAGTAGCTGGGACTACAGGTGCGCACCATCATGCCTGGCTCATCAGTAGTTTAGAACATGAAAAATCTGGCTTCTGTATTTCAGTTCTGCCACTTACTAGCTGAGCAATCTTGGGTAAGGTTCTTCGTCTCACCTAAGACTCAGACTCCTCATCTGTAAAATGGGGCCAATTGAAAACACTATGTCATGGGACCGTTGTGAAAATTAAATGAGATCAGGCATGTAAAGTGTCTAGCATGGTGTCTAGAACACAGTAAAGACCTCATTAATGGTAGCTATCATTATGATTATTTTGATTAAGGAGAAAAATCTCATAAAAGATTTTTGAGGGTGTGATTTGCTTTGTGTGCTCCTGGAAGGCAGAGCCAAGGTCAAAGGGTGGAAGTCATAGTTCAACATAAAGAAAAAGCTTTCTCTAGAGCTATGTGAAGACAGAACAGGCTGCCTGGGGGAGTGGTGAGCATCCAACCCTGGAGGTTCTCAGTACAGGTGGAGGGCCACTTAGAGGGGAAGCCACGGAGAGAACAGACATTAAATTGGAGATTGGAGTGATTACCTTTGCAGTTTCCTTCTGGCTCTGAGAATCTGTGGTTTTCTTCCCTCGGTAGGAGACTTCCGCATATAAGTTGGGCAGCTGTGATTTCAGTCACTCTCCAGGCTCTATCAAGTCCATATGCATTTGGGTTCTGACATGCCCTGCCTGGGATATCTTCCAGGTTTTAAGCTTCCAGCCCCAGAGCATGACTCTGTCCCTAACTTGTTCTACCGGAGCTTAGAGAGCAGAGGAGGCATTGGTTCAGTAACCACCTCAGGCTCAGTAACCACCTCAGGAATCCCATCTCAGACAAAGGCTTGGGAAAACAGCCTCTCCAGGTCCTGGCATCCTGTTAGATTGCTGCAAACAACAGCAGTTAGCATTTCTTGACCACTTTCTAAATGTGCGGCACTGTGCGAAGCTCTGGTACCAGCTAGAATTCAGTTCAACTGCATGGCAGAAGAGCCAAATCACCTTAACTTACACAGAAGGTTTGCTTTTCTTGTGTATAAGAGAAGTTTGGATGTAAGTAGTTGTGATTTGCTGTGATGATTTCATGCAATTATCAGAGACCCAACTCCTTTTATGCAGTTCTCTTTAGAGCAGCAGTTCCCCAAAGGGTCTCTGGTCAGGTAAGCTTGAGACACATTACATACTATAACCCCCTTTTAGAGATTCACAAATTGGCGCCGATGTGCTCTGGACCCTACTTTGTTGCCCTGGAGTGATTTACTGAGATAGATATCTATATCTATATCTATATAGATATAGATATAGATATAGATATAGATATATCTATATATATCTATATAGATATATATATAGATATAGATATATCTATATATATCTATATAGATATATATATTTGCTTTTTCACCCAGTTTAACTTGCTAGAAAAAAATTTAAGTACAAAGAAGAAAAAAAGAATGAAAATATATTGTCTTTATCTTTTCACCCAACATAACTTTCATTAGGATTTTGGTGTGTTCTTCCAGACTAGATACACAAAAACTATGAACATAAATATTTACAAAAATGAGATAATTCTCACATGCTCTTCTACAGCCTGTTTATTGCACTTGGAAAGATATCATTGACAGGTTTCCATGTTAAGAAATATAGTCACAGCATCAAATTAATTTATTTGATTATTCAACAGTATTTATTTGGTGTCTACCAAGTGGCAGGCAGGAACTACTTCAGACAGGTGGAAAAAACTAGAAGCTGTCCTGTCTCTTCCTCTGGAGCTCACAGCCTTTCTCCACTGCACCATGTTCCACCTTGGGATTGTTGACTACACACATGTATAGCTTTAATTGTTTACTGAGATATATATAGAGTGAAGGGAAGACGTTTTTCGAGCGCGGCTGGTTAAATGTTCGCATGTATATGCCTCCACGCAACCACCTCTCAGATACAGCATATTTCTAGCACTCCAGAAAGTACCTTCTTGCCCCTTCCCAGACATGGATCCCTCACAGTTGAAACATATCTGGGGGTGTGTGGATTTTTCATGGGAGTGGGTTTTGTCTCTGGAACTAGATAGAATGTAAGCTCCTTGACCTAGTCAGTGTCCTGCACCCCTCTTGATCCTAGAGGCCAGGGAAGGCTGGTGGGCATTACTGAGGGCTGGTGAGTGTGCCCTCTGTGCTTTTCATGCACCTATCCACCTGGCATAGTCTCAGGGGTCCTCCTGCACTCTCAGGTCAGGCTCGAGTGCTCCTCGCAGCGGCACCCCCCGTTCTGTCTTGTCTTGGTATGCTGGAGTGGGGAGGGCAGTGGACAGGAGCACTCAGAGGATGGGAGGGTAGAAGAAGAAGGATTAAAAGCCTTATTCATGTTTCCCCCAGAGGCAAGCAGGTTCCTGGGCACAGGAGTGATGAGTGCAAAAAATCGCCAGTTCTGAGGTGGGGTGGGAGATAGTCAATTACTGGGACAACGGAGGAAATTTGAATATGGACTGTGGATTAAACAGTGGATTGTATCAAAGTTAAATTTCCTGATTTTGATCGTTGTACTGTGATTGTGTAAGGGAATGTTCTTACTTTGGGAAACACACCCTGAAGCTTTGAGAGATGCTATCTTTTACTTACTTCCAAATAGTTCATGCCTGTGCATGTGTGCGTGTGTGTGTTTGTGTGTGTGTGTCTGTAGGAAAGAGAATGATAAATAAAATAAGGCAAAATATAAACAAATGGTGAATCTGGGTCAAGGATTTGTGGGAGTTTTCTGTA
The DNA here is from genome assembly GCF_000001405.40 of Homo sapiens. Classification (NCBI taxonomy): domain Eukaryota; kingdom Metazoa; phylum Chordata; class Mammalia; order Primates; family Hominidae; genus Homo; species Homo sapiens. The sequence goes on along the minus strand of NC_000005.10, from coordinate 151,635,863 downwards.
CTTTTTTATTTTTAAAAATAAATTTGAAGTTATGGTAAGATATAAAGTCACAGACTACAATGGCATGTGAGACCTTCCTGGGTTTTGGATGTGTCCACTCTATTTCTGGTGAGCTGCGTGATCTTAGGCACCTGCTTTTCTCTTTGGTCCTAATGTGTCTGGAGTTGGTTCCTTCTGGTGGGTTCGTGGTCTCGCTGACTTCAAGAATGAAGCCACGGACCTTTGGGGTGAGTGTTACAGCTCTTAAAGGTGGCATGGACCCAAAAAGTGAGCAGCAGCAAGATTTATTGTGAAGAGCAAAAGAACAAAGCTTCTACAGCATGGAAGGGGACCCCCAGCGGGTTGCCACTGCTGGCTGAGGGGGTGGCCAGCTTTTATTCCCTTATTTGTCCCTGCCCATGTCCTGCTGATTGCTCCATTTTACAAACCTCAAGCTAGCTACAGAGCACTGATTGGTGCATTTTACAAACCTCTAGCTAGCTGCAGAGCACCGATTGGTACGTTTTTACAGAGCACTGATTGGTGCATTTTATAAGACTCTTGTAAGACAGAAAAGTTCTCCAAGTCCCCACCGGACCCAGGAAGTCCAGCTGGCTTCACCTCTCACTAAGACTTTACTATGTAGGGGAGGCAACTGGACACCACATGATCTTTGTAAGGCTGATCAGCTCTGGCTTTCTAGAATTCTAAGGCTCTGGGCTTTTGGAATGACAGAATTACACAGGTGACCCATTGGGTGACTGAAGTGTAGGGTCCCTCTATGTTCCCATATTTATCAAATTACCTGGATTATGGGGTTTGCTTCCTGCTGGGCAGGAGGAGAGATGATTTTTCAGTGGCTGCCTTTCTAACAAATAAAAAAAATTCTTCTTTCTTCCCTCCTTCCTTCTCTTCCTTCTTTCCTTCATCACAATAAAAGTTGTGGCCAAATTACCATTACACTGTACTTTAAAAAGAACTAGGACATTTTTAAGAAGTGTGGAAAATAGAAAATAAAAAGTAAATGGCAAAGGCATCTATAATCTCACCACCCTAATGATGGCATCCATTTGACAGGTACAGTTTGTTAGAACAAGAAGGAATCCATACTTACTGTACAGCTGGGGAAACTGAGGCCCAGAGAGAGTGAGTAACTTGTTCAGCACCACATAGAAAGTTGCTGGCAGAGTCAGGACTAGAGATTATGTGTTTTGAGTTTCAGACTAACCTAATATTGGTTTTTATTTTATTTTATTTTATTTTGAGATGGAGTCTCACTCTGTTGCCCAGGCTGGAGTGCAGTGACACAGTTTTGGCTCACTGTAACCTCTGCCTCCCAGGTTCAAGCAATTCTCCTGCCTCAGCCTCCCGAGTAGCAGGGACGTGCCACCACACCTGGCTAATTTTTGTATTTTTAGTAGAGACGGGGTTTCACCATGTTGGCCAGGCTAGTCTTGAACTCCTGACCTTGTGATCTGCCCACCTTGGCCTCCCAAAGTGCTGGGATTACAGGCATGAGCCACCACGCCCAGCTGTTTTTTAATATATAATGTTATTTTTTCTAGTTATGTAAAAAACACATAAAATTTGAAAATACATACAACTCTGAGGAGCCATACCTAGTGGATTTTGCTTGCTGGTTTCCATACTCTAACAATCTCCAGAGTTCAGATGGGGCTCTCCCCTCTCTCTAGGGCACACACCTGGCCCTTCCTTCCATCCCAGCAGCCTGGGCAGGGCAGGGCGGGGCAGAGCTTAACTCCATTCCTCTGCAAGATGCTTCCTGGTGACAGCTGGAAACACCCAGGCCCTGAGTAGTCTTCCCTGCTGGCTTCTTCTCATCCTTCCATGGAAAGTTGGGCTGGGGCTAGTGCAGCAACCAGGTGCTGTATATGCCACCCACAGAGCCTGACTCCAGGGGCCAGGAAGATAAACCATATCCTACCTGAAATTTAATAATCACAGCTTCATTTCTATAACTGAAACTTTGGCCAGATTCCTCGGGTTGCCATGTCCACCTCTAGAAGAACGGGTTCATCGGAAGGTTGGGGTCATTCTGTTTGTGGGAAGAGAGGTGTCCTGCTCTCCGTTTTCGCACACCCCAGAACCCCTTTCGAGCTTTCAGCAAATAGCGAATTCTGCTCTGGGGCCATCCCTGGAGGGCTTTATTGTGATCTTGAGGTAGGTCAAGGTAAGAATGCCCAGAAGCAGATACATTTAAGTTGTTTTACAAAAGAAAACAAAAATCCTGGTGGATCTAAAGTTTCCTGAGCTGCAGTTTTGGTGTAGGCACCCTGCTAAGTGCCTGACATGCATAAGCTCTTTTAATGCTCACTATCGCCCTAGGAGGGGTATTTTTTCTTTTCCCTGGTTCATTCATGGAAAACCTGGCTAGAGGGGTGAGATTCTACATGGTTGCAAAACTGAGTAGGGATGGGTCAGAGACACAAATCCAGGTCTCACCCTGGGAGGAGGGAGTCACGGTTGCTTTGGGGGTTTGGCCATCCTCCAGCCCCTAGACCTTCTCTACCACTGTCTCTGGCACTGGACAAAGGCCCTGGCCCCCTACCTCCTACCAAAGCCCATCATTTTGCTCAGACTGCTATAAATTGAGACTTGGAGTGGCCTGCAGAGGTGATCCACACCAACCTTCGTCCTCCTTTCGGTACAGCCAAGGAAATTGCTATTAGAAGCAGGACCGCTGGGTTGCACAAGTCTGGGCACATTGTTTCATTGTCTCCCGTGTGAATGGGACTTCCTGAAGTTGTGAAACACAGGGGCTGCGAGAGAGGCACAGGGACTAGTCCAAACCCCAGGGTCCGTGGAAGAGCCGGGACTTTAACCCAGAGCTAAGGCACTTCCTGGCAACTGGGGCAGTGCTGCTGAGGGTGCTCTGGGGAATGCGGAGGGTAAGTCTGGCCTCATGGGTCTATGCCCAGCAGGCAGGCCTGGAAGGCTTGCTGTCCAATCCAGCCATTTCTGAAGGGGAAGCCTTCCCTGCAGGAGGATCCACAGCCTCCCACATCTCGCCCTGATCCTGAGCAGCTCTTCAGGAGAGCCCGGCAGAGAGCAGCAAGTGGTGAGACCTCCTCCCCGAGCTGGCCTTGGCCCGGTGCCCGCCCTTCCACACGCCGCCAGCGAGCACAGGGCAGAACAGGTCACTTCTCTCTTACAAAACTTTCTGTGGCGCCCTGTTGCCTGCAGGATGGAGGAGTCCAGACACTTTGCTCAATTTTCAAGGCCTGCCACAACCTGGCTCAAACCTGCCTTTCCAGCGGCAGCGGGCCACAGCCCTCTTTCCGATCCGTCGACCCCAGACCACTGCCCATGACTGCCCGATGCCTTGAGCTTTCCTGCCCTGTGCCTGAGCTCAGGCTGTTCTCACCTACCCAACCACCTTCCTCCTCTCTAACCTCTCGATCTCACCCTACTGAAACCTTACCTACTCTTTTAAGTCTCAGTCCAAATAGATTTTCTCTAAGAAGTGTTAACTTACCAGCATCAGAATTATCTTTCCTCTGGATGCTGAAAATATTCAACTGTCCATTATCCATCCATGCATCCATGTCTCCTTCCTTCCCTCCATCTCTCCCACTGTGTCCTTGGTTTAAGAATTAAGTGAGGAACACTGCATGGTCTCTGCCCTCAATTAGCTGTCAGTGAGAGAGGCAGACACCTAAGCAAGGAACATGGTAAGTGCTGCCCTGGGGGAAGGAAGGTCAGCAAAAGCCTCATAGGGAGCCCAGACAGTTAATTCCCCTTCAACAAGTGGAGGAGACCGGCATGGACTCAGCTCCGCACTACATTTGGAATCAAGAGAATGGCTGATGCGACAGGCAAGTCGTTCAGCGCAGTTTGTCACCAGTACTGTTGTTGTGTGTCCTTAATAACTCCCCATATTAACATTTGCTCTATGCATGCTTTCTTTTTTTGTTTGTTTTGGTTTGGTTTTTGAGACAGTCTCGCTTTGTTGCCCAGGCTGGAGTGCAGTGGTACGATCTCATCTCACTGCAACCTCCGCCTCCCAGGTTCAAGTGATTCTCCTGCCTCAGCCTCCTGAGTAGCTGGGATTACAGGTGCGCACCATCATGCCCAGCTAATTTTTGTATTTTTAGTAGAGATGGGGTTTTGCCATGTTGGTCAGGCTGGTCTCGAACTTCTGACCTTAGGTGATCTGCCAGCCTTAGCCTCCCAAAGTGCTGAGATTACAGGCATGAGCCACAGGGCCCGGCATACTTTATGCATGCTTTCTGTATTCTTATTTGTGTCCCACGATAACTCTGCTATTTATAGATGAAGACAGTAAGGGTCAGGGAGGGGAAGTGACTTGCTCACATAACCCAGCTAGTACAAAGCAGAGCTGAGACTAGAACCCAGATCCCCTGATTTCGAATCCACTGGCCTCTCCTTTATATCTCAGCTGCCTTCTTATATCCACTGCCTCCCTGTTACCTCAACAGCTGCTGAAAGACCCTCCTCCCCACTGAATTTAACCTTGGGATGGATATTTCTTCTCATTCCAATCAAAATTGGCCAGTTCCTGTCCCATTCCATCTCTGTTAGGGAGACAGAAGGAAATCACGAAAATTTCCCAAGGTAAATAGGTCATTTTTTTTTTTTGAGACGAAGTTTCGCTCGTGTTGCCCAGGCTGGAGTGCAATGGCGCGATCTCTGCTCACCGCAACCTCGGCCTCCTAGGTTCAAGCAATTCTTCTGCCTCAGCCTCCCGAGTAGCTAGGATTACAGGCATGTGCCACCACACACAGCTAATTTTGTATTTTTAGTAGAGATGGGGTTTCTCCATGTTGATCAGGATGGTCTCAAACTCCCGACCTCAGGTGATCTGCCCGCCTCAGCCTCCCAAAGTGCTGGGATTACAGACGTGAGCCACCGTTCCCAGCCTGTAAGTAGGTCATTAAAAAATATTATCTGCCCTTGTGTCCACTCTCTTCAGAATTCCTTACTGGGCCTGGTGCAGTGGCTCACGCCTATAATCCCAGTACGTTGGGAGGCCAAGATGGGCAGATCACCTGAGGTCAGGAATTCGAGACCAGCCTGGCCAACATGGTGAAATGCCATCTCTACTTAAAATACAAAAAAAGGAGCCATGAGTGGTGGTGCGTGCCTGTAGTCCCAGCTACTCAGGAGGCTGAGGCATGAGAATCACTTGGATCCGGGAGGTGGAGGTTGCAGTAAGCCAAGATCATGCCACTGCACTCCACCCTGGGTGACAGAGTGAGACTCCGTCCCAAAAAAACAAAAAACAAAAACAAACAAACAAAAAAACAAACAAACCTCCTTACTCGACCAGTTTAAGTTAGCCCCTCCCCATCTCTAGGCTGCAGTTTGTCCATCTGGCCTAGCTGACTTACAGAGTTCCTTCCAGGGGTGGCCACTGGTCAGCATTGCCTTTCCTCATTCCCTCTCTTCCTTCCAAAGTTTTCAGGTGCTCAGCATGTACCAGATGCTATGCCAGAAACTGGGCAATCAGCTGACATGATGGTCCCTGCCTTTACACAGGACAACAGCCTTTCCCCTCTATCCTATTGAGAAGGGTTCTCTTCTAGTGAGAACTTGCAGCTACAGACCCCAGCAATTGTACATCCTTTCTAGGGATTCTCTTCCTGGTTGGTCATGCTTCAGCAATGTGACCTTGGCCAAGCCACATAACCCCTTTGGGCCTCTATTTTCTTATTTATAAAGGGGAAAACCATCACTTCTTTCAAAGAGAGTTGGTAGGATGAAATTAACTCACACATATAAAGTAATACAGTGATTTACAGCTTGGGCTCTGGAGTCACACATATGTTGGTTCAAATCCCAGCTCTTCCACTCAATAGCTCTGTACTCAAGGAAAGTCACTTAGCCTCTCTGTGCCTCTGTTTCCATGTCAACAAAATGGGACTAATAATAGTAATCAACTCTAGGGGTTGTTGAGGAGATTAAAGGAGATGATGCATGTAAGAATTCAGCCCAATGTCTGGCATTTTTAAGCCCTCAGGCTGGTCCTCCTCTCCCTTCTTCTTTCTTCTTCTTCTTTTGAATCGTACTCTATTTATCATTTGAGTAGGTAACTCATGCAAAAGGTACCAAGGCACATATGAGAGGTCCTCCTCACATCCCTCTGCACAGTCAACTCTAGGAAGTCTCTGTGTGCCAATTCTTTGAATTGTCTTTCAGTGTGTGTGTGTATTTGCATATAAACAAATTTGTTTACGTATTGTCTCTTTTTTTATACAAATGGTAGTTTCCTATATTCAGTGTTCTACACTTTGCTTTCTGCTACTTAATACTCCATTGTAGAGACCATTTCATAGTATCTATAAAAAGCTTTCCTACTCTTTTTCTGTAAAAAGTTGTTGCATTACATGAACACCCCATAGTTTATTTAACCAGCCTAGGGCTGGTTTAGGCTGTTTCCAATCTTTTCTTTTTTAATTTTTATTGAGATAGGGTCTGGCTATGTTGCTTAGGTTGGTCTTGAACTCCTGGGCTCAAGTGATCCTCCTGCCTTGGCCTCCCAAAGTGCTGGGATTATAGGCATGAACCACTGTGCCGGGCCCCAGTCTTTTCTAATTACAAAGAGTATGGTAGTGAATGTGCTGTTCTTTTGTATTCCTTTCAGCCTCTCTCAGCCCATGATCACTCACCCACCCCTGTGAAAGGGAGACAGGGCCCACAGACACAGGCAGCAGTGACTAGTGGGCAGAAGTGTGGGTCCTGGGGCAGTCCTGGGCTGCCACTTGCTGCTATGCAACTTGGGGGAGATTCTTATGCTCTCTAAGGCAATAGCACCTGGGAATTTGCATTTCTAACACATTTCCAAGTGATGCTCATGTTGCTAGTCCAAGAAGGCACTTTGATAACCACTGCTCTAAGCCACCCAAAGGGGTAATTTGATGATTCCCATCTCATAGGCTTATTGTCAGAGTTAAGGTGTATAGCCCCTTAGCACTGTGCTAGTATCAGACTAAGAACTTAATCATACATGTCAGTGCATATTACTATATCCACCCCTCACCACAAAGAGAAAAGTGAACCAATGCAGAGATGATCAACAGCGATGCTCAGAGCCTTAATCTGTTCTCCAGAGGTTCTGGGTGTGGTGGAGCTCCTCCCCGCAAATCTCCTTTAAGCCCCAAGTCTTGGAATGGCTGGGGAACTCTGCTGAGCTGTCTGCAATCAGAAATCTTCATTTTTCTGGCAATTGGAATGTAGAAAAATTCAGAGTAGAAGCCCAACCAGAGTTCCAGCAATGACCACAGGGATGGATGTTTCTGTGAGCACCGTCCTGTGCCAGCTTGTTCCCGGGGGAAGCGCATTGCACAAGAGGACAGAGACAGCAGGCTGGTCCCACCCCAGCTCTCACCCTTGCAGCCTTCAAAGGGTCCCTTCCATTTTCAGAGCCTTTGTAATTTGCTCTCATTAACCTTGCTTTGTTCTGGGTTTGGGGGGCTGGTGGAGAACCCCTAGTCAGCCACAGCAGGCCTGGTCATGCCCCACAGCCCTCTCCTTCCTGCCCTGGGAGGGGAATCCTGGAATGAAGCCTGCTGCTTTGCTCCCTTCCCACGCCATCCTCTCTGCAGGGAGCCAGGGACCAGGGGAGCCTGCCATGGGGGAAGCGTGTGAGTCTGTTAGTCAGAAGAGGGGCACTTGTTGCAGTGCCAAAATCCCTGGACTGGGAGCAAGACTGGGCTGGGCTCTAACTTGTTGGGTGACCTTGGGCAAGGCCTTTTCTCCCTCTGAGCCTTAGTATTTCTTTTTATAAAATATGGTGTGCTCCAGCTCTGTGCCTGGTGCCCCAGTCAGTGTCTGGTGCCACAATTAAGAAATCAGCAGCATTTTATCTTGCTCACCTGTGCCCAGCCCCAGAAACGCTGAACTTCTAGCACCTGCACTCAGGCCTACTCTTCTGCCTGGCACCTCAACCTGCCACCATCTCATCCCAGCCTCCTTCCACCTTCTCCAGCTTGTATTCCATGCCCCAGGCCTTCCAAGGATGACCCACCTCCATGATGCACTGTGTTACTCACTGGCTGTGGGACTTCTGGAGTCATTCAAGCACTGTGTAAAATGGAAATAACATCACAGCAGATAAGGAGCGTTCAGTGAGACGATACATGCAGAATGCTTAGCGCCATGCCAGGCCCACGGTAAGCTGTCAGTAACCGTGAGCCCTTCTTGTCCTTATCATTGTTGTTATTGTTTCTAAAACTAAGCAGAACCAGCACTCTTGGTAGACAAACACCTTAACTCTTGGTTGATTTTCTGTTTTAACATTTTACCGTACTCTCCTCCTTTCTGCACTATCTCAAACACCTAATTATCTACAGAAAACATTCAGCTGTCTGTTGCTTGCTTTCTTTTCATCAATGAAAACACATGGTTTTATTTCTTCCTTCTTTCCTAAAACAGACATCTAAATATTGATAGAGTTTCTGCCACATCCCTGACATGACAGCCATTGAAACCAAAAAGACTGAGAGGGTCCCAGGACTAAGGAGGGGAAGTCAGTGAGTAATCACATAAGTTAGTATGTAATTACAATTTAGAAGTGTGTTCTAGATGGCATGACAGAGGGAGGAGAGAGCTTGGATGTCTTAAGCTACAGCGTTCTGTAGACCTCGTTTGGCCCCTGAGACTGCACATGAGGTATGTTCCACAACAGGACAAAATCGATGCTCCAGGACCTCCATCCCTAGTGTGCTCGGATGAGTTTGGATGCAGAGGGTAGTGTGGGGTGGGGAGGTGCGGGAGGGCCATTCTCAGCTACAGCAGCTACACACAGGACCCGCTGAGTGACTTTGATGAGTCACATGGCCTCTCTGATCTGTTTAGCTTATTTAATAGGGGCAAAAAAAAAAAAAAAAAAAAGACTTTTCCCTGTCCTAGGAAAGTCCTCTCACTGAGAGAGTTGTTCACATGTGCCTGCACTTATTCCTGAAAGATTCCTGCACGCCTTCCCCATTCTCTGCTTTGGGGGAACAATGAACCCATGGACTTGGCTCTTGAGCGGTTCATAATACTAGCCAGCATTTATTGAGCTGTTACTATGTGTCAGGCACTTTACCCATATTAAGTCATTTTATTGTCACAAGAGCCTTATGAGGACAGTTATTACTATCTACATTTTATAGGCAAGAAAATTGAGGCATGAAGAGGTTTAACAATATGCCCAAAGTCCCCAACAATTTGGCTTCCACCATTATACTAAGGTTTTCATGGAGTGGTCTGGGGATCCCTGTCGGGACGGTCTCATAACCCTTGTACATGGTCCATGAGGTCAAAATATTTTTCATGATAGTTACCAAGAACACATTTACCGTATTGCTCTCATGCTCTCCCGAGTGCTCAGTGGCATTTTCCAGAGGCTGCATCCTTATGATATCATAATAAGCAGCTAGGAGAATCCAGGTGTCTGTTTAAGACATTTGCAAACATGTAAAACAACGCCACACTTACGATTTTTTTTACTTCGAAAGTATTGTTCAGGACGTGGTGGTGTGCACCTGTAGCCCCATCCACTCGAGAGGCTGAGGTGGGAGGATGGCTCAGGCCCAGGAGGTCAAGGCTGCAGTGAGCTATGATTGTGCCACCACACTCCAGCCTGGGTGACAGAGTCAGACCCTGTCTCCAAAAAGAAAAAGAAAATACTATGATTATGTGAAACATGTAGTGGGCTTATTGTTATTTTTAAATAAATTACCACATAAATATTTATTTATTATTTATTGTTTATTTATTTTTATTTCAATAACTTTGGGCTAACAAGGGTTTTTGGTTACATGGATGAACTGTATAGTGATGATGTCTGAGATTTTAGTGCACCGTCACCCAAGCAGTATACAATTGTACCCAGTATGTAAACTACCACGTAAATATTTAGAACACTCTTCTTAGTTTTTTTTTTTTTTCTTTCGAGATGGAGTTTCGCACTTGTTGCCCAGGCTGGAGTGCAATGGCGTGATCTCTGCTCACTGCACCCTCTACCTCCCAGGTTCAGGCGATTCTCCTGGCTCAGCCTCCCGAGTAGCTGGGACTACAGGTATGCACCACCATGCTTGGCCAATTTTGTATTTTTAGTAAAGATGGGGTTTCGCCATGTTGGCCAGGCTGGTCTTGAACTCCTGACCTCAGGTGATCTGCGCACCCCCCCGCTCCGCCTCCCAAAGTGCTGGGATTACAGGTGTGAGCCACCGCACCCGGCCATCTTCTCAGTTTCGATTCCTGATAAAGACAGAGTGTAAAGGGGTCCTGAGATCGAGTGGCTTGAGAACTGCCGCATAAGCCTAAAGGGAAACGCTCCCCGCTCTTTGGCATGTGGGAGCTAATGCTCCAGGAGAAGCCCACTTGAGGTGTGGTCCCAGCGTTGACTGCCAGTCTCATTAACATGATGAAGTCATAGATTTCTGGACTGTGCACAGAGCAGCCCGTGTCAGAACCAGCTCCCTCGAAAATCAGTGCTGGTGATTCAGAGCATCTGTCTTTGTGACTTGCAATATGGGACTTAAATTTTGAATCTATCTCTGTACTTCACTTTCTACAGCTTCCTGAGAGCTATGGCAGGCCTCTCTTGGTCAGCAGCCCCTCCAGTGTCTAAGATGACTCCCTCGCAATTTGGGACGCACTCCCACCTGAGCCCTGCAAAGTAAATTTTGTTTCCTACATTTATACAAATGTTTGCAAACATTCCTTCCAAATTTGGTGACAGCCCATCAAGTCACTCTCAGTTGATGTTGTGGCCACTAGAAACTAAGTAGTGAAAATGACGATAACAATAGCATCGGGAATTCAGTAGGTGCTGATGGCAGGAGTAAGATCTACCACACATTTGCAAAATCTGTTATATGCGTCCCTTGCAGGGGAATCTTGTTTTCTGGATGGCATTTTTAATTTAATCTTTCATATTAACTTTTAGATTGTCCTCTTTATCTGGAGCTCCATAGGAAGCTTCTTGGAGGAATTCTAAAGGACATATATTCTAGAAGGATTTTATTCCAGAAATATTAAATTATGATCAGACACAGGGAGGATTCTAGCTTTTCAGGGTTTCTGTAAAGGTTTCTTCGAAAGACACGCAAGCTACGTTTTTCTGCTGTATTGGTTAAATTACTACAGGCGCTGGGTGTGCTGATTTTCCACACCAGCTCCCCACAGAGCGTTCTGTATCACTCTTGGCAACTCTTCTTGTGCTTGGCTCCATTTTGAACTTTGTAACCCATTCAGAGGCTTGCCTGAGAGCGGATCTTGTTTTGGAAGCTCACAATGGCATGGTGTCAAAAGGAATGAGCCTCTAATCTGACCTGAAAGCATAGTGCAGACCACAGATTTCTGCCTCTGAATCGGAATATTCCTATGTGATCCTGGCTGAACTGTTAGACATTCTAGAGCTTCGGTCCTCAGCAGTCAATAGAAAAAGAAATCTATCCTTCTTACCCTTACAGTATTGTTCTGAGGATCAAATGAGGTAAAATACTTTGAAAAACAGAAAGCACTTGTCATCGCTGGAGGCTTTCGAGAATGCTGTTCTCCATACTTGGAACCTGCCCTCATCCTTCCCTGTAGCTGTATAATCCCAAATCATCCTACGATACTGCTAACTCTGCTCCAGTCACACTGGTCTACCCCTGCAAACAGAAATCTCAGGGCCTTTGTACCGGCCATTCCCTTTGCATGCGATGCCCTTCCCCAGCGACTGCATGGCTGGCTCCCTGACTTCCTTCAGAGAGGTCTCTGTTCAAGTGTCACTTTATCAAAAAAACCTTTATTTTAAAAAAAGTTTTTATTTTTAGACAGGGCCTCACTCTGTTGCCCAGGCTGCAGTGCAATGGTGTGATCATAGCTCACTGCAGCCTTGACCCTCCTGGGCTCAAGCAATCCTCCTGCCTCAGCCTCCCATATAGCTAAGACACAGGCATGCACCACCATGCCCAGCTAACATATATATATATATAATATATATATACATATTTTAGATGGAGTCTCACTCTGTCACCCACGCTGGAGTGCAGTGGCGAGATCTCAGCTCACTGCAGCCTCTGTGTCCCGGGTTCAAGTGATTCTCCTGCCTCAGCCCCCTGAGTAGCTGGGACTATAGGTACGTGCCACCACGCGTGGCTAATTTTTTTTTTTTTTTTTTTGTATTTTTAGTAGAGGTGTGGTTTCACCATGTTGGCTAGGCTGGTCTTGGGCTCCTGACTTCAAGTGATCTGCCCGCCTCGGGCTCCCAAAGTGCTAGGATTACAAGTGGGAGCCACCATACCCAGCCTTAAAAAGCATATATTTTTTGTAGAGATGAGGTCGTGCTATATTGCCCAGGAGGTCTCAAACTCCTGGGCTCAAGTGACCCTCTTGCTTCAGCTTCCCCAAATTCTGGGATTACAGGCAGGAGCCACTGCACTCACCCAAAAAGGCCTTCTCTAGACTCACTATATGAATTAGCACCCATGCCCTGAGAGCTCTCTATTCCTCTTACCCAGCATCAGTGTTCTTCATAGCATGTATTACCACCTGATGCATCATATTGATTTACCTGATTGTTTGACTTTAAAATGTCAGTTCCATAAGTGCTGCTTTGTTTTGCTGTAATCTCAGTGCTTAGAACTTGGCACACACACGCCCCTCCACCAAAAAAAAAAAAAGCGAGGGGAGGAGACAAGAAAAAAATAATCAGCAGACAGTGATAGCAGAGTATGGGACAGGGTGGGCTGGGTGAAAGAGATTTCAGTGGGCCAACCATACAAAACAAAGGACAGGAGACCCCATGTTCCCTGCTGCCCATCCTCATCTCCTGGCTTGGATGCATTAGAGCAAAGCCTCAGTGTAATCATGGGCATTTGGATTGTTTACTCCTCGTTAACCACCCTCTTTGCTCACTTAATTGGTCCAAAGCCTGTGGCATGAGTAACTAACTGTGCAGCGATTTGGCACGTGGTCAGCCAGCAGTAGCAGCCGTAATTGCACAGCGAGTACTGCACTCATACTAACTGGGTGGGTCCTGTGCAGTTCCCACACGGTAATGGAGCTCAGACAGGCGGCTGCCGCTGCCTGCAGCACCTTTGATGTCCTGGCAAACACACCCATGGGACTTGCTCAACCACAGGATCTTCACTCTTGGCTTCTTATGGGTGCCCAACTAGTCTCCCAGGTCCCATGCTGTCTGAGCATCTTACACAAGTGGGCAGAGAAATTCACACCCCTGGTTTAGAGGGAACTAAATCCAAGTTGCGAATGCATGGCCTGGCTTCTGCCTGCCTGGCCACCTCCCCTCACACCTCTCCTCCTTGGATTGCTCTGTTACACTCACCTCCTGCCTGCTTTCCCGTAAAGGTCGTGCCTCAGGCCCTTTGCACTAGCTCTTCCCCCCATATCTTCAAACGGATACCTCCTTCTTATCCTGCATGTATCAGCTGATATGAATAAATGAAGGAATTGTATGGCTGTGGGCAAGTCCCAGTCCCTCTTGGAATCTCCATTTTCCCCTCTGACAAGTGAGTAGATGGATTCAATCTCTATGCTCTTTTCACATGGATATTTGATGTCTGAGCATTGTGCTAGTCAATGAATGAGGCCACAAAGATGTTTGGAGACTCTACTATGCACTGAGCTCTGGGTGCTAAGTAGAAAGTAGTAAGGAAATAAAAGAGAAACACGAACCTCAAGGGGCATGGCGGGAGGAGACTGACAGGCAGTAAACATACACACAAAGAAATAAGATGATTTCTGTTATTGATAAGTGCTCTGCACATAAAAGTAAGGGAATATGATGGGCAATGAGTGATGCAGGGGTTTGGTTAGTGTTGTCAAGGAGGACCTCTGCGAGGAAGTGACTTTTGAGCTGAAATCTGAAGGATGGGAAGCTGGGAGCAAACATTCCAAGGAGGAGCAACAATTTCAGAGACCCAGGGAAACAAACAAGTGCGTCATCTTCTTGTAGTGGAAAGAAGGCGTGTGCATAAGGGGCAAAGTGGAGGGGAAGGACGTCCTGTGGGCAGGAGACAGATGGCGAAAGTCTTGTCCAGGGGCCATGGTAGGGAGTGTGCGTTTCCCACTAAGGGCCATGGGAAGTCCATGGAGGGTTTTAGCAGGAGAGTGACTTACTATCTTAGAGCAAATCACTCTGGCTGCTCCTTGGAGAAGAGACTACAAGAACAGTCATCCAGGAAAGAAAAAGTGGTGACTGGGTGTAGGGCGAGGGGCTGAAAGAAGTGGTGAAATTCAGGGCATGTGTCTCGGAGGTAGAGCTGTGAGCACTCTCTGATGGGTGAGATGCACTTGTGAGGGACGGACAGATATGTGGGATGCAGTTGGTACATGTCTAGTAAATTACAAACACGGCCCGGGGATCCTGTGGGGCTCTGGTTTGCCAAAGAGCTCAACTTTGGGATTCAGGCACATCTGAAATAATAGGATGACCTCCGTATTTCTCACCTGTCACTGCCCTTGAGGGGAGGAACCGTGTGTATTTTATTTGTCACATTAAGTGCCTAACACAATCCCAGGCGGAGTGGCACTCAGTCACTAAATTGTCCCTGAAGCTTCATCTCTCTCAGGGATCTCACAGGAAGGATGGGAGGCTGTTTCAAGAAGGCATTCCTGGGTTCACAAGCCACATGCTCTCTGATAGTCCCATCAGTCCCATGAGTAACCAAGCCCAGTAGGTGAGACAGCTTTGCCCCATCACCCACTGCTGTCCCGGGTCACCCAGAGCCCTCTTCCTGGGCCTCTGCCCCCTCACTGGCTGCAGGAGCCCAGGCTCTCAATTTGATGCACTCTGACCACTTTCTCAGGTCAAAAATATGTTCATTGCTTAAAATTCACCAATAGACTGGATCTGTTCCCCCAACCTCCTCCACCACCCCCCACCTCTGCTTCTTTTTCTGTGGGTCACGCTGCGTTCACAAAGACCTTTGGAGACTGGGAGCCTGTTGTACATGAAGGGTGGAGTGTCAGTTGTACGTGGGAGATGTTAGGGGCAAGGGTACATTGCCAGGAGGTGGTGTTTATCCAGACTTCTCTCTGCCAAGGGGCTTCCCACTTTGTCTATGATTAGGACTGGTGCAGGAAAAAAGACACTTCTTGTTCAGAAGGTCCCCTGAGAATTTCCCCAGAGGGAAGGCTGCTGTCCCAGGAAGCTTCTCAGGAAAGGGACTCCAGACTTTGCATTCTTGGCCCCGCCTGACATGCAGGCTTCGCCCTGTTTCGGGGCTGATGAGAAAGCACGGCCCCAGGCACTGGGGCTTCATATTAAATTCTTAATAGCCATGGTGGGTTTGATCCCACACTCCCGAGAGAATTAGTCACTACAGGTTCAAGTGAGGAATTTATGGACAGGCCTCAACAATCTGCTTCTAATTTGGGGATGGAAACTTTGATTTAAGAATCCCAAAAGGCAATATAGTATGCACAGAGGAAGGAGCGCAAGGTGGGGAGGCCTTGATTCCGGTCATTGAACACACTTTATTCATTTCTGTGTCTGGCACTGTCCTAGTCGAGGCCCCTTCCTGTGAGTCGAAAGCTATGTTACCTTGGGCAAGTTCCTCCCCATTTCTAGGCTTCAGCTTCCTGACTGGCAGAAGGATGGAATGCAGCTCCCTTCTGGCTTTTGTTGGGGGTGGAGCGGTGGGGGGCTTTGATGCCATGAGTCTGGGTCTATGAAGGACAAATGGCATCTCCAGCTGTGGCTGCTCCCAGGGAGGGCTCCCCTATGGAAAGTTGGCTTTGGTGGCACAGCAGTTCCTGGAAGCCCGTGCATGCCTGAGATGCATTCATTACCCCCTGTCTGGAAACCCTGCCTGCCCTCCTGCTGCTGGGGAGGCATGGAAGGGGTTAAAGTTGCTGTGCAAGGAAGGAATAGACTCACTCCTTCCCCTCCCTTGTCAGGTCTTCTCCCCCTTTTGTTCTCAGGGATTTGCTCAGCTTGCTGGGGTTAGGTAAGCCTCCACTCTGGGCTGGGAGCCGCCACTCTGCTGTGTGGAGAGAACAGAACTGCAGCAACTTGCCCTGGCTCTTCCCCCAGGCAAGAAATCTGAAGCTACCACAAGGGGTGGGGAAATCTTGGAACCTGAGACAGTGGCCAAGCTGGAGCTAGAAGTGTCTTTAGGTATCACTGAGCCCAACTAACTCCTTTTGCAGGTGGGGAAACTGAGGCCCAGAAAAGAGACATTTGTTGGGTTCGCAGCTAGTTAGGTGGATTCAAATGCAGGTTTTCTCAATTTCTGGGCCTGCTCTCTTCACAGGGTATAAAGCTCTAACACAACAATGGAGGTAAAGTGTGGAACCAGTGGTCTCTTGGGGGTCCCTCAGGCTACTTTGTCACATGGCTCCATGGCTCCTGGACAATACATGAGTTGACCAGTTGTCAGTCATCTCAGGATGTGGTGTCAGGGAAACACCAGGATCCTGGAGGCGTGGGGACTCTTTCTGACTACCTGTGAGCTGAATGACTCTGGACACATCATGTCACCTCTCTGAGACAGTTTTGCCACTGCAAAATGGGGCCAGAATCCCTGCTTTCCCTAATTCATAGGTGTCTGTGTGGAATAATGTACTTTGAAGACTGCAAAGCTCTACATGTGCTCTGCATCCATTTCCCCTCCCTCTGGTTCTGCCCCTGATTTTCAGGAGGGGTTCAGTCTACTTTAGTCTTTAAGCTTAACCAGTGGTTGGGGGCAACGGACCCAACCTATGCTCCAGAGTTGGGTGTGAGACTTGGCTTTGCCAATCAGAGCATGAGTTCCCTGTGGTCACTGTGATTGGCTCAGGGTTGGGCTTGTGTCCCAATCACAGACAATCAATATTCATCCTGGGACTTTTGCTTGAGTGACAGAGAGAAATGACTCACTCTTTTCTCAGCTGAACAATAGCCTCGGAGAATGTGAACTTAGAGCTCCCAGGGACCACCAGGTGAGGAGAAACTACCTGATAATTAAGTAAATGCAAAGGAAAATAGCCAAAAAGCAGAGAAGGGTGATCTCTTGACAACGCTGTTTGCTCATTTGGCCTCATACTTAGACCTAAGGACAAACTCTCCCTGGATATGAGTCAATTCATTTCTTTTATTGTCTCCTTTTCTTCTTTGGTCCCTTTTTCTTTCTATCCATTTCCTTATTTTTGCTTAAGCAAGTCTGATTTGGGTTTCTGTCACTTGCAATCAAATTCCTTATTAAGACAAAAAAAAAAAAGAAAAATAATAATTACTGGGCAAACAATGTTAGTTACTGACCCAATATCCATTTCTCCTTCTCACTAAAAAAACCCTGGTTGGGAAATGAGAGCAGGGAGAGACAATGTGTTAAGTCCCAGGAGAGATGGAATGGTGGTGAAAGTTAATCACGACATCCCTGTTTCTTGTTTTTCATGATTCTTTGCAGCTGGTGGTGGCCGTGTGACCTAGTTCTAGACTGTGAAACATAGGAGCAATCAGCTAGGAAAGAAAACATATGGGGCTTCTGGGAATGTAGACATAGCCAGCATCACCCCATCTCCTTTCCCCTGCCTTGAAAGTGAGTGTGATGTCTGGAGCTTCAGCAGCAATATTGTGTTTATGAGGCAGAAGCCAAAAGAACTGCAGTGACACCAGCCCTAATATCACTGAGCTACTGAACAAAAGCCAACAGCTGTCTGCCTGTGTGTTTCTTGCAATATAATACAAACAAAAACCTATTTGTTTAAGCCACTGTTAGTGGATTTTCTATTACTTGCAGGTAGCTCAAAGCATTCTTTGAAAATGAGTCAAGTACTTATCTTGCAATGTCATTGATCCAAAACTCAGACTAAAAAAATAGCTAAGAATAAAACAAATATTTACTGAGTAGCTAAGATTACAATCCAGTGTGCTAAGTGCTTAGTTGCATGTAACTTTACATTGAGCTGCAATGACCTTATGAGGCAGATACTACTATTAGTCCCATTTTATAGATTGGAAAACTCAGTCATAGAAATATCTTGCTCAGGGCCATACAGCTAGTAAGTGCTGAAGACAGAAAGGCTTCTGACTAGCCGCAATGGTTTCTACTATGTACTTGACTCATAGGAGAGTCCCTTGCTCAGATATTACATATCCATTTTATACCCAATGCAGACATGTAGTTATCTAATAGATGCACTGTCATAAAGAAGACAGAGAGAGAAGGGCCCCTGGAATAATTGACGGCTGACAGTGTCAATGAGAGAAGATTAAACACAAAAAAGAAAAGCTTTGCCTTTCAGTGAGAGGCAAATAGTCTAAAATATCTTTGCAGCCTTTGAGGACACCTCCGCTTTAAAACTTAATTCAAACGTTAATGTTTTTGTGATGGTCCTGAGTCATCAAGGAAAGATGAAATCATGCTTCGCATCTTGTTTGAAAAGGCAGGGAAGCACCTAGTAGAACTACAGAAGGTTCCCACCTGAAATGGTTACAACGAAAGAAAAGTTTAATGCATTGACCAACACTGCCTCTTCTCTGACCCCCTCCGCAACCCAGCTCTCTGGAAAAATAAGCTTACAGAATCCTTCCTTCCTCCACAGGCCCAGAAGGCCAGGGTATTAGAAGACTGCATTTTTCATCACCATTTCCCCAAGATGTTCCCTTCCCAAGACTGTAAATGTCCTCCAGCCTGTTTTTAGCAAAGGTGATCTGAATTATGATGCCTGGGGGTTACCGACAGGCACTCACAGCAATAGCATGAAGCCCTAACGAACAAGGCCTGGTTGGGACCTCTGCTTGCTGCCTAGCTGGGATCATAAGTAGACAGAGAAGGAGCTGAGAGGGACGATTACATTGATCCAATATCTAGATGGGCAGGGGGCAACTGAATGAAGAACTCTAAGGTAAAAACCACACCATGCTGAGTCTGAGTGTGCCTTTTGATATCCAGAAGTCTGATCTGCTCTTTTATCAGATAGGGAAACTGAGGCCCAGAGAGGGAAAGGACTTACCCAAGATCACAGAGCAAGGTTATGGCAGAGCCCAGAGCTTTTGTGTCTTGACTTCTGACCAGGGCAGAGGGGGACATTGAGCAAAAGCCCCTGAGGGTCAGGAAGATCAGTTCAGACTTGTGTCCTGGAGCTAGGAAGGAATCAACCTGAATGAAGCTCTTCTCTCCACTGGGCCTTTTCTTTGGGACTCCTGGAGCTTCCAGGGAGCTGGTTCAGGTGGGGACGTTTCTGATATATTCATTCAATAAATACATATTGAATGTCTGCTATGTTATCACCATAGTAAGAAAATAAGAAGTGGTGACTGTTCCCCACAGGGTCAACAGTCGAATGTAGTGGTGAAGATTATAGGCACTGGGCTGAGTGTGGTGACTCACACCTGTAATCCCAGCACTTTGGGAGGCTGAGGCAAGTGGATCACTTGACGTCAGGAGTTCGAGACCAGCCTGGCCAACATGGTGAAATCCCGTCTCTACTAAAAATACAAAAAAAAATAGCTGAGCATGGTGGTGCACGCCTGTATTCCCAGCTACTCGGGAGGCTGAGACAGGAGAATCACTTGAACCTGGGAGGCAGAAGTTGCAGTGACAGTAAACCAGGGATAGTGGCAGGCACCTGTAATCCCAGCTACTTACGAGGCTGAGGTAGGAGAATCGTTTGAAACGGGGAGGCGGAAGTTGCAGTGAGCCAATATTACAACACTGCACTCCAGCCTGGGCAACAGAGCAAGACTCCGTCTCAACAACAACAACAACAACAACAACAACAAAAGATTATAGGTGCTGGAATCATTTGGCCCGGGGCCAAGCATGGGGACACCCTGAGCTACACAGGCAAGGACATCCATACAGACCCTCAGGCAGAACGATGTGCATGTTCACTCACAGTGACACAGGTACTGTACACACAGGCACAAACACATAGACACATGTATAAATGTGTCCACATCAGACACACATATACATATCTCACACAGACACAGGCATATATAGGTACACAACATGTGTATATACACATGCATGTGCGCACACACACAGAACCTTCTTATATTCTCCCCCCATAAGCAAATTGCAGTCTCAGCAATGCTAGAAATGACATCTACATATTCTCCTGGAAAAACAGACTTCCTAAATGCTGCCTGATTCATGACCAGGGGTGCCTGAGTCTCTCCCCCTACATCACCCGCTGCTCTACGCATTTGGTGAGGAGAAGACAGAACGCAGGGTCTGAGCCACTCCTGCCTGATTCATTCCTCTCTGGGGCCACAGAGTTTTCTCTTCCCTGCTTAGAGCAGCCTCCCAGGCTCAACACCTTGAGTTCTGCCCCTGACTCATTCTGCTTCAGCACAGCACTTAGACCTGTGGTTTGCACAAGTCAGGGCACGACCCAAGGTGGGGATGGGGTGATGTTGCTGGTGGGAGGGGGGAGGTCACTATCAGGTAATCAGGCAAGGGCTCTGGAGAAGGTCAGGGTGTGGCTGTGTGGCTGTGTGGCTGTGCAGGGGCACAAGAAATGTGTACTAGTCAGCCCTGCTGGGAAGCCGGCTCATGAGGCAGAGAGGGGACCCAGCTGGAACCCTGGCACTGTCTGCATTTAGAACTCCCTCACATTGGAGCTACTAGGTCCTGCCCTGCTCTTCCTGCAGTTCCATTGTCGCTGTGGGGTGAGGAGTCTGTGGAGCCAAGGGGAAGGCTTACCCTAAGCCTGTGACCCACCCCCTCACCACTTCCAGATCACATTTTCAGCACCCAAGCTGTCGGTTTCCAGCTCAATAGCCCCCAGCTTACTTTCTAGGCCTCTGCCAGGGGTCTTTCCTCCAAGGGCAGGCTGTACACCTCTAAGGGTAGCCTGAGGGATGGCCAAGTTGTTGTTTGCTGGGAAGGCATTAGGGTGGTGAGGATGGAGCGTGGTCACATGGGGTGAGATGTCTAAGCACCTGCCTATAACCATTTTCCTTGTAGGAAGAGGAGTCAAGAGAAGGCAGGTGGGCTGGAGCCACAGGGCCCTTCATTTGAACTCTTGCTTCGTGCCCTGTAGTATAAGGGATAGACCTGCCTGAAGTCAGTCAGTCCAAGTGCAGAGATGTGGAGGCCTCCCGAAAGGTGTTTGTTTGCCAAGCTGAATTTTTATTGCAATGATGAATGCATGAGACTGCATGCAAGAGAAACTGGATTCTGGCCAAGTTCTGACAAACAGTCCCACTGGATAGGAACGTAGGCTTTGGGGTCAACTACCCGGGTTTCAAAGCTCTGGGACGTTCTAGCTATGTGACCTCAGACACGATCACCTCGGTGAGCCTCACTTTTTTCATGTGACACATGAGATCAATAATTGTCTCTCCCTCATGTTGGATGGAAAAATGCTTAGTACAGTGGTTGGTACCTAGTAAGTGCTTAATTAGAGTGATTCTATGTGACACCAACTGCTGTCTCTGAGTCTCAAGCCCCCTTTAGAAAAGGAGGGGATGATACACTAAATTCAGTGGTTTTTAACATTTCTTCAGACACTCTCCGTCTGGGATTAGGTCTGAAGGAGAAGCATCATGGTGCCCAGAAAGCCCCCTGGGCAGAGCACAGCAGACGAGCTGAGCATTCTCCCAGCATCGGGACTCTGGCTTTGCAGATAGTCTGGACCTGGAAATCCTCATCAAAGGGTTTGGAGAGGAAAACAGTTCTCAGAGTACTGTAATAATGCCTGGGGGTTATAAGGCTCCAGGGTCTTTGCACATGCTGGTCCCTTTGTGGGGAACACCCGTTGTCTCCCACTTCTTAGCAGTGAGCTGCCACTTATGTTTCAGATCTGAAACCTCACTTCCTCAGGAAAGCTCAGAGCTTCTGTTACAGGTTCCTTTTCTCTGTATCCATTCCCATCTACAGCACACATCAAGGTAGGGGAGCATTTGATGACACTCCTCCAAGAGGTCTTTCTTTCAGCTCCATCCAGGTTTAGTGCCCTTCTGAGGTGTTCCCAACAAACCCTGCACTGTGCATTTCACGTGCTTTAAAACTCTGGTCAGCTCCAACTCAACTTCGCTCAGGGTCACACAGCCAATACATGCTGAACACAAAAAGGCTTCTGAGTAGCTGCAATGGGTTCTACCATGTATTTTACTCATAAGGAGCATGTGTTGCCCGGAGATGATATATTCCTTTTTTTTTTTTTTTTCTGGAGACGGAGTCTTGCTTGATGCCTAAGCACAGTACGGTGGTGTGATCTCGGCTCGCTGAAACCTCCGCCTCCCAGGTTCAAGCGATTCGCCTGCCTCAGCCTCCCGAGTAGCTGGGATTACAGATACATTCATTTTGTACCTGATGCAGACATGTAGTTACCTAACAGATTCACTGTTGTAAAGAAGGCAGAGAGAGAAGGGCCCCTGGAATAATTGACAGCTGACAGTGTCAATGAGAGTGATACCTTCAACCAACTCCCATGGTTCCTGAAGCCACCGCCTTTTTCTCCATTGTCTAGCAGCCACCGCGGAGAACCTCATGGAGCAAGGGCAAGAGGAGATGTGAAAGTTCAGGGGAATGGAGGGAGGCTTCCTTGACACAGTAGCATCTGAGCCTGGCCTTGAAGCCTGTCTGGGTGTGATGTAGCCAGGCTGAGACTGTGTGGGTGGATTAGAGAAGAGCAGGTGAAGGCAGGAGAGGCATTTCAGGCAGAGTGAATCATCAGCAAAAGCTCAGGCAAAGAATCATCAGCAAAAGCAGCCAAGATGTCACGCATCCTGGAGGCTCCAGATCAAATAGCTTCCTCCGTTGCATGTTCCCAGAGTGCTCCCTACTCGCCTGTCATGAAGTGCACTGCACCTGTCAACCGGGTCAGGGTGTGCTCAGTACGGGTCTCTCACCGGAAAATAAACTTCTAAGGCAGGAACTTACTTGCCTTAACCACAGTTCTGTCTCTAGGATTGAAAGAATTATTAACTACTCGTCTACCATTTCCGCTATGAAAACAAACCACCCCCCCACCACACACACACATACACCACACCACACACACCCCCACACACCACACACACACATACACCACACCACACCCCCCACCACACACACACACCACACACACCACACACACACCACACACACCACACACACAGCACACACACACCACACACAACACACCACACACACAATCACACAACACACCACACACACCCACCACACCACACACACCACACACACACCACACACACCACACACCACACACACACCACCACACACACCACACATACACCACACACACACCACACACACACACCACACACACCACACACACACTACACACACATCACAGACACACACCACACACACACCACATATGCACCACACACACACACACACACACACACACACACACACACCACATACACACAGACTCTCACAAACCTGTTTTTGTCCTCAGTGCCTAGAATGATGTCTGGCAAGAGGTAAAATTCTCAATTAGCATTGTGAAATGAATGTGTGAATAAGTGACTCTCCTTTATTAGAGGTGAAGCTCTGGGAGGCCAGGGCTCATGTCTTAAGCAATGTTATTTTCCATCTCCTGGCAAAAATGGGGTCAAGTGAGGCCCTGGGACAGAAATGTCCCTGTTATAGGAGCAGATCTCCTGGCTTCCGCTCGGGCAGTAGAGTAGGGCCTCTGCTTCCTCACTCTTCAGCTCTTTACAACCTGCCCCATTCTCCCATCTGGCCTCAACCTTTCTTTCCAAACTTAATTTCCACAACTTCCCCTCAACCGTGGATGTCATAACTCCCATGGATTCCTGAAGCCACCCCTTTGTCTCCATTGTCCAACAGTCACTCTGGAGACCCCTTGGAATAAAGAAATAAGGGCCAGAGGTTCAGTAGGATAGGAGGAAGCTTCACTGAGACAGCGGCATTTGAGCTTGGCCTTGTAAATTGGGTTACAATTTAGCCAGACTGAGACTGCAGGGGTGGCACAGAAAGAACCAAGAAAGAAAGGCATTTCAGGCAGACAGGATCGTCGGCAACAGCTCCAAGGGTAACCAGTGGAAATTCTGAGCACCGTGGCTACTTCCCCTAAGAACACTATGGGATCCAGTGTTACGGAGGTAGCAGAAGGATTGGTGGGGACTGGAAGGGATTCCTGACCTGGCCTCATTTTAGAGAGCGGAAGTCATGGTATCATCAGCAATAACAAAACTGAGATGTGGCCTTTCCTATTAAAGAAACTCACTGTTGACCTTATGCAGGACCTTGCCTTTCCTGGACCTCCTCATCTACAACATAAATGTTCTGAATGAGGCAATCCCGCTAATCTTTCCAGCTCTGAAGTCCCGTGACTAAAACTACTTTCCCCTTAGCTTCTCACTCCAGTTTTGGGTCAGACCCAGGACTTGTGACCAGATATAAGGTCAGTCTTGCTGATTTCAAGACAAAAGAGGGCTCTGTCTGTGCCGCCGGTGCCGGTTTCCCATGCCCAGGGCTTTGCTTATGTGGTTGGTGCATCCGGCTGTCACCGTGTCTATGGTGTCACCTGCTCCTAGTAGCCTTTCATCTTCTGGGCTACTGGAGCATCTCTGGAGCTTGGCCAGGGGGAAGCTGTCACAGCAGGTCAAGGTGTGGAGGTGAGTGAAGGGGGCTGTGGGGACCTGGCAGGGCACTGTGGACACCCTGATGACACTTGGCTCAATGGCACGGCTTCAGCCTTCCTTTCCTATGCCCACATATGTTTCTTGCATCCAGTAGATTTAGGAATGAGTCAGACCTGGCTTGGAATTCCCTCCTTACCATTTACAAGCTGTGGGCATTTGGCCTCATTATTTTACTTTTCTGAATCTCAGCTTCTCTATCAAATTGGAATGATATTAACTATGCATTTGTTTATTAGCTGAATTTGGCCATCCATTCATCCATATATACATTCTTAAAGAAGTGTTTATTGAATACCTACTATGTGCACACACAATGCAAAGGATTCAGTGGTCAAGTTGACATGACCACAGCTCTCATGACACGATGTAATGGGATTGTTGGCTTGCATGTCCAACACCATAGCCACTGACCACCCGTGGCCATTGAGCATTTGAAATCTGGCTAGTATGACTAAGGAACTGAATTTTGAATTTCACTTAATTTTAACTAATCTAAATTTAAATTTAAAAATTTAAAAACTCGGTTCACTTTTAAGTATGCTTGACATAACTTGGGAAGGTGAAACTACTTTTTCAACTATAAATTTCATGAAATCTAAATACAAGTCAAATATCACCGACAAAAATTTAGCATTTGAAGCAAGATATGCTAGAAGTATCTGAAAACATAGTGGATTCTGAAGACATTGCAAGAAAAAAATGAATGAAAAATATCTTACAGAAATGTTTAAATATTGATTACATGTTGAAATGATAACATTGTGAACATATTGGTTAGATAGAAATATATTACCAAAATGAATTTCACCTGTTTCTTTTTGCTTTTTAAATGTGGCTCCTGGAAATGTAAACTCATGTATGCAGCTCACATGCTTTTTCTATTGGACAGTGCTGCGTTAGGCAATTAAACAAGCAATTACAATGTAAACTCATAAAATTATGGTGAGCATTAAATGAGATACTGCCAGTAAAATGCTTAGTTCAGGGCAAGCACTTTGTCAATATTAGCTACAGCTAAGCATCAGACACTGGACTGCACCCCAACTTACTCCTTTCCCTGTCTCAGAGCTGAGCTCTAGTTCCCATTGCTGAGGGTGATTTCTTTCCTAGGAGTCTCCTGGGTCTTTCATGTAAATAGGGTCTTTCTCATCCCATCACACCATCCTTTGGACACTCTGACGTGTGTCTATTACAGTGTGGGCCCAGGTGGGCCCCTCAAAGCCCCACTTGAAACCATCTCTGCCTTCCACCTTCCTCCTCCTCAGCAGTGCACCTTTCTGCCCCACCTCAAAATCTGACCCATTCACCAGGACGTTCTAATTCACTTTTGGATTTCACAGATTGATACTATTCCCCACAATGGGGAGGGGGCAATACAGCATTGCTTTTGCTTCTTTTTTCTTTGCCAAGCAAGATCTTTAAAAAAAAAAAAAAAAATCATTATCATCTTCTATCACTTTATTTTATGAGAAGAAACACTTTCAAAAATGAGACACTTTTTTTTTTGCAGAATTTGACAAACTAATTAAAAATTTACTTGAAAATACAAAGGACTCAGAAAAGCCAAAACAATCTTGAAAGAGCAGGACAAAGTTGGAGAACGTGGACTTCCCGACTTTAAAACTTACTGCAAAGCTACAGTAATCTAGACAGTGTGATACTGACATAAGGATAGGCATATGGGTCACTGGGATACAATTGAGACTTCAGAAATAGACCCTTATATTTATGGTCAATTGATTTTGACAAGGATGCCAAGACAATTCAATGGGGGAAAATAGTCTTCTTAATAAACAGAGCTGGGACAATTCTATATGCAGCTATGAAGGAATGAATTTGGACCCCTATATCACTCCATTCACAAAAATTAGCTAAAAAATAAGTCAGAGACCTAAATTAGTTATAAACTCTTACAAGAAAATATAGGGGTAAATCTTTGCAACCTTGAGCTAGGCAATACTCTTGTTATCTCGCCTAGGCTGGACTGCACTGGTGCAATCTTGGTTCACTGCAACCTCTGCCTCCCGGGTTCAAGGGATTCTCCCACCTCAGCCTCCAGAGTAGCTGAGATAACAGGAGTGTGCTACAACCCCTGGCTAATTTTGTATTTTTGGTAGAGATGGGGTTTCACCATGTTGGCCAGGCTGGTCTCAAACTGCTGACCTTAAGTGATCCGCCCACCTCGGCCTCCCAAAGTGCTGGGATTACAGGCATAAGCCACTGCGCCTGGTCAGTGATTTCTTAACATATGATATCTAAAGCATAAGGAATAAAAGAAATGGACAAATTGGGCATCACCAAAATGAAAAGCTTTTGTATTTCAAATGACACCATCAAGCAAGTGAAAGGAACAACCTGCAGAATGGGAGAAAATATCTGCCAATTGTATATCTGATAAGGGACTTGTATCCAGAATATATAAAGGACTCTTAAAACTCAACAATATACAGACAACATACTTAAGAAAATAGGCAAATGATTTAAACATGTATTTCTGCAAATATTACAAATGACTAATAAATACATGAAAAAATACTCAACATCCTTAGTCATTAGAGAAATACAAAGGGAGACATCACCTCACATCCACAAGAATGGCTATGATAAAAAGGACAGATAATAACAAGTGTTGACAAGCACAGAGAGAAACTGGAACTCTCATACACTGCTGGTGGGAACATAAAATGGTACAGCCACTTGGGAAACAGTTTGGCAGTTCTTCAAAAGTTTAAAGATAGAGTTATGATATGACCCAGCCATTCTACTCCTGCATATCTACCCAAGACAAATAAAAACATAGATCCACAAAAAAAGAAAAACTGACACACAAATGTTATTAACCGTGTTATTCCTAATAGCTAAAAAGTAGCAAAAACCCAAATGTCCATCATCTGATGAATGCATAAACAAAATGGGATATACCCACACCATGACATTTTATTTAGCCATTAAAAAAGGAATGAAGAGGCTGGGCATGGTGCTTCAGGCCTGTAATCCCAGCACTTTGG
This sequence comes from Homo sapiens, assembly GCF_000001405.40. Lineage (NCBI taxonomy): Eukaryota > Metazoa > Chordata > Mammalia > Primates > Hominidae > Homo > Homo sapiens. The sequence goes on along the minus strand of NC_000005.10, from coordinate 151,608,338 downwards.
GAGGCTGAGGTTGGTGGATCACCTGAGGTCAGGAGTTCAAGACCAGCTTGGGCAACATGGTAAAACCTCGTCTCTACTAAAAATACAAAATTATCCAGGCATGGTGGCATGTGCCTGTAGTCCCAGTACTTGGGAGGCTGAGGCAGGAGAATTGCTTGAACCCAGGAGGCAAAGGTTGTAGTGAGCCAAGATTGCGCCATTGTACTCCAGCCTGGGCAACAAGAGCGAAACTTAAAAAAAAAAAAAAAAAAAGGAATGAAGTACTGATACATATGACAACAGAGATGAATCTCAAAAACATTGAGCTCAGTGAAAGAAGCCAGTCACAAAAGAACAGACGTAGTATGATTCCATTTATGTGAAGTGTCCAGAATAGGCAAATCTATAGAGATAGAAAGTAGATTAGTAGTTGCCTAGGGCTGGAAGTGAGGAATGGGGACTGGGGAGTGGCTGATAATGGGTATGAGGTTTCTTTTTGGGGTGGGAAAATGTCCTAAAATTAGATTACAGAGATGGTTGCATGACTCTGTAGGTAAAGTAAAAACCATTGACTAGCATACTTTAAATGGATAGATTTTATGGCATGTAAATTATATCTCAATAAAGCTGTTAAACATAAAAGTGGGCCCTAGGACAGACAGTAGATTGGTTAAGAATGCAGGGCTCTGATGTCCCAAGGTCTTCAATGAGTCCCAGCCCTGCCACTTTTTTTTCTCTTTTTCTTTCCCTAAGAGACAGATTCAAGTTGCCCCAAATATATGCTCCTTTTTGTTTGTTTGTTTTGTTCTTGAGAAAGGGTCTCGCTATGTTGCCCTGTCTGGCCTCAAACTCCTGGGCTCAAGAAATCCTCCTGCCTCAGCCACCATGTCCAGCTTGCCATGTTCAGCTGGGGCTGGAAGATCTTTAGGGATCATCTACTCCAGTCTTTCCCCAACACATTGTAGGACTACGTAGAATCAGTCTTCACATGAAATTAAAATACTAATAATCATATCATAATAATAGCTAATGATTGTTGAGCCTTTACCGTGAGCCAAGTACTATGCTCAGCATCTCGTGTGCATTGCGTCCTTCAATAACTCTCAAGGCACTCAAGATCACAGTGTTAGTAAGCAGCAGGGCCCTCAAGAGACTGTCAGTGTCATATAAAACATCAGTACTCTTAATCAAAGAATGGTTAAAAGTGAAGATTTGGAGCTTGACTGCAAGCGTTTGCACCCTAGTTCTGACTCTAGACAAGTTATTTAACTGCTTAGAGCCTTGGTTTCCTCATTTTTAAAGTGGAGATACAGGCTGGGTGCAGTTCCTCACACCTGTAATCCCAGCACTGTGGGAGGCCGAGGTGGGAGGATCACTTGAGCCCAGGTGTTCAAGACCAGCCTGGGAAACTTAGCAAGATCCCATCTCAGAAAACAAAAAATAAATAAAGTGGAGTCACAAATACTATGTAGAATTATTGCATTAAGCTGTGTTATTGCATGTAATTCACCCAACAACGTGTGAGGGCTCAGTGTTTATTTTCATTATCACTCTATGTATTACCTCCTTGTGAGGAAGCCCAGAGCATGAAACAGATTCAGGTAGGGTCCTTCTGGTTGAAAAGAGTTGGGGCCCCAGTTCTATCTGTCCTGTCTATCTTCTGCTGCCCCTTCCTTCAAGGCACCATCAAAAACAAACAAACAAACGAACAAATGGACACCCTTCTTTGGGACTCTAGGGCTTCTTGAAACATAGTTTGAAATCACTGTTCTTAGCCCATTCTCCTTCATTCATTGAAGAGAGGGAAATATACTGCTTAAGGTCACACAGTCAGTCAGAGGCAGAGACAGGACTAGAACTCTTGCTCCCTGAGTCCTGACTCGGTTGTTTCTGCCACAGTTGGGGTCCCCAGGTCTCCCTGCTGCCTCACAGGAGATTGTGCTGCTGCCAGAACTCCCAGATTCTGCTCCCTCCCTTCTCCCAGTCTCAGGGATAATCCTTTAATGAATTAAGTGGAGCAATTATGGGGGGTTATGGGGAGGCTTTGGTACTTTGTGGTAACCAACTGGTATCTTGCAGAGTCTCATTTACTGTCAGTTGTGTACTTAGGGATAAACCCACTTACTTTCCAAATCTTCACCAGAATTTCCTCCCACCACTCTCCCCTTCAAGTTAGCAGTCCCTACCAGGCAAAGGGGATAAAGTGTGAACATGAACTTTCTCTTTTTGCCTCCTCTCCAGAGCCTCCATTAGTATAGCAGATGGACACAAAACAAGCAAAAACCAAGGCAAAACCCAAAAAGATAAATATTGTCAAGCTATCTACCAGTTTGCAAATCTCTTTGCCCCAGGGTGGAGTAAGAGGTTGGGTCTTGGAGGTAGCACAGAACAAGGCTCTCCTGTCTGGAATGTTTCCTTGCTGATCTTCAAGGCTGGCTCCTTATCCCTCCAGGTCCCCTCCAGGGTCACCTGTTTGGAGTGGCCTTCCCTGACCACCACACTAGACCTGTCTCCAAGCCTCTCTAGCCCTTTCTCTGCATTAATTTCTTTAGAGCATATAGCTCTCTAAAATCATCTGATTGATGTATTTGCTGATGTGTACGTTTTTCATCTTCCTCTTCGCCCCCTCCCCAGCAGAAGCTCTGGTAGTGAGAAGCATGTCTGTCTTGCTCATGACTCAATGGCCAGCACCAGAGCAGTGCTTGGCATCGGGTAGGGGCTAGGTAATATTTGTTGAACAAGTGAGTGATGGAAGGAATGAGAAGGTAAACTGCAAAGAAATGGGAATTGGGAAAGGAATCTAGTTCCAGATCTGTCACTAACTTGCAGTGTGACCTTGGGCAAGTTTCTCACCCTCTCTGGTTAACCTCATTTTCTTTTCTTCAATTACAAGATGAAAGGCTTAGAGTTAGCATCTCTTTCAGCTGTGTGCTCAGATCTCATTAGAGTTAGCATCTCTTTCAGCTGTGTGCTCAGATCGCCTTAGCGTTAGCATCTCTTTCAGCTGTGTGCTCAGTTCTCATTAGAATTAGTTATCTCTTTCAGCTGTGTGCTCAGAGCTCCTTAAGATGATTTTCACATTGAAATATAATTCTCTCTTTTAGATATTTGTCTTACCCATTAAGCTATATGTTCCTTGGGGGTAGAGACTATGTCCTACACCCCAGCCTAGCCTAGCACAGTGCTGGACACACAGGGAAGCTAAGGGTATGTTGGAGGAGTGAGTGAATGGATGAATCAAAGACTCTCTGGAGTTTCTTCCAAGTCTAGTGATTTAGGGTCCTAAGGTTCCTGAAAGCAGGGACATTAAAAGAGGAAGCAGGTGTTCAAGTGTTTGCCTCCTTTGGCATTTACACTTGGACACTAAATCAGAATCTTTCATCTGACTTCCATACCCATTTCCAGAGTTCAGGCTCTTCTTGCCACCCCTGCCTCCCACTCCCAATCTCCAAGGCAGAGAACACTCTGCCACACCACAGGTGACACCATGGAGGCAGCGGTGCACAGGTGGCCTGTGACACAATGTCATTAAAGAGCAAAAGATAGGGCAAATTATTGTATTATCCAAACAGGAAAGTGCATAAAGGTAACATAAAAATAATCCTGTGGAATAAGGGATGGGGGGAATTAGAGCGGAGGTCAGCACATCTTTTCTTTAATGAGCCAGATGTCGAATATTTCAGGCTTGACTCTCTCAGTTGAGACTCCTCTGTGGCCATAGACAATAAATAAATCCATATCCGAATGTGTGCCAATAGAGCCTCATTTATGCACACCGAAATGTAAATTTCATATCATTTTCACGTATCCCAAAATATTATACTTGTTTTGACTTTTTTTCAACCATGGAGAAATGTAAATCCTTTCTTAGCTCACGGTTCTGTACAAAACGGGTGGCTGGCTGGATTTGGCCACAGGGGCACAGTTTGCTGACCTCTGAGGTAGAAGGGAAAGAATAGCGTTGAGGGGGTCCTACCTGGGAGGCTTTCTGGAGGAGGGACAGAGATCAGGGAGGAATTTGGTTAGGGGAGCAGGGAAGGTTTGAGTCAGATGTGAGCTAGTGGGCTCACACACTCACCCACTAACAGGGGCCGGGCAGGTCAAGGGGGTGAGTGAGGCAGGCTGGGTGGGGATCTGAATGCCTGGGTTCCATCTAAAGTCAGCAGCATCTGAGTCCAGCCCTTTGCTGCCAAGATGCCCATTTTATGGATTATCCAACATTTCAAAAGAAGCCCAGATTTTTGTGTGAAAACTCTCAAATTTAAAATGTTGGCAATGAATAATTTTTTTTTCAATTAAAAAAAATAGAGTGAGTCAAATAGGAGGTCGATTATGGTTCATGGACCATTAGTTTGTGACTCTCAGCTTTAGGTGTTTGTGGAGATGGTTCAAATTTAAGTGACAGGAAAGCTTCTCAAACTAGGAAGTATGCCTCCCCAGGGAGGTGAGGATTGAGGAGAAGGGATATGGGGACTGAAATTCACTGGAGAAGCAAGACCTGTAGTCCAGGAGAGTCCATTTTACTTGAACATTTAAGAGGAAATTATTGTTAAAGTGAGCACAACCGTGTTTGAATGAATTTTACAGTTCATTCAAATACGATTGTGCTTGCTTTAACAATAATTTCTTCTTTTTAAAAAACTTTGGTATGATATACAGTAGAGCACACTATTTTTTTTTTTTTTTTTTTGAGATAGGGTCTTGCTCTGTCACCCAGGGTGGAGTGCAGTGGCGCAATCTTGGCTCACTGCAAACCTCCATCCTCCAGGCTCAAGCGATGCTCCCTCCTCGGCCTCTTGAATAGCTGGGACCACAGGCATACACCACCATGCCCAGCTAATTTTTTGTATTTTTAGTAGAGGCAGGGTCTCACTATGTTGCCCAGGCTCATCTCAAACTCCTGAGCTCAAGTGATCTGCCCACCTCGACCTCCCAAATTGCTGGGATTACAGGCGTGACACTGCACCCGGCCAAGCTCCCTAATCTTAATAGCACAGTTGAATGAATTTTGACATACATTTCCATTCATGTCCCCTTCCAATTGATATACATCTCTACCTTTCAAGGTAACCACTATTCTTTCTGCTGTCACCTGAATCAGTTTTATCTGTTCTTGAACTTCACATTCATGGAATTATACAGCATATGCTATTTTGAGTCTGGCATCCTTTTCTCAAGATTTTATCTGAGATTCCTCCATATCATCATGTATAGCAGTAGCTTGCTGTTTTCCATGGTTCTGTAGTATTGCTCAATTTACCTACTCTACTGTTAAAGGACATTTGGGTTGTGTCCAGTTGTTGGATTTTATGAATAGCAATGCTATGAACATTCCTATGCATGTCTTTTTGTGGACATAGGCACTTTTCCCTTGGCTATCTCCTCAAGAGTGGACTTGCTGGCTGTATGGCTTATGTGCATGTCAAAGGAAATGCTGTGACTGCTGTCTGTGGTTTTAGGCTCCATTCCCAGCCCCCAGAAAACCAAGCCCACTCTCTTTTGCAATTAAGTGCCCTTAGTGGGAAGTTTGGGGCACACTGATGTAAGGACAAGGGTAAGGAATGAAGATCCAGAAGACAGAGATCAACATATGCTACTGTTGTTAGTACTGTTTTGTAGATAAACACACTGAGGTTCAGAGAAGGAAGCTGATTTGTCCAAATCAAGTAACTATTGAGAAGAGACCCTGGATTTAATCCAGATTCATCCAACTCCAGAGTCATGTTATTAGCTACTCTACACTAAAGCCTCAGGGTGTGGGCACCTGTATTTCACCTGTCTGGCATCCATTCTGCTCCTTCTGCTAACAGTCGCCAGTCATCCTTTGGGGAGGCACCAGCTGCCACCTGATGCAGTCTCAGTGGGCTGTCACTTCAGGTACCTTCTAAGTTGGATCAGGACCAGCACTATGGTGGGGCAAGTATGGTGCCCAAAGCACCTATGGAGCAAAATATAAAAGGGCACTCATTTTCAGGGTCAGCAAATGCCTGGTCAGCCTCACTCTCCTCACAGCCCTGCAAGGGACCCAGGCTTAGCCAGCCTAACCCCTCTTTCACAAATATGGATCTTGAGAGGACCAACTCCAGTGCATCTTTCTGGTGGTGATGGGTGATCGCCTGAGCAGACTGCACATGTATTGTTCCTGGTTCTTTCCTAACTGTGAGCCCTGTGCTATCTCTTATTCTCCATGTCACCCATGGCTCTTCATTAAATCTCCCTTTTGCTTAAGTTGGGTGGGGTCGGTTTTGGTGGCTTTTAGAGAACCTAACAGAGTATGTGCTTTGGAGCATGTTGTCATGTTTCTAAGCACTCTTCCCTTGGGTATATCCTCAAGAGTGGACTTGTTGGCTGTATGGCTTATGGCTTTACATATGTATGGAGTGGGCTTGGGCTCCTGGGGGCTGGGAGCATTGTTTCCATCTGGGAAATGGGGATTCTATGCTTGGGACTTTAGCTGGAAAACACAGCAAGCTCCCAGGCAGGGATCCTCAGCTCCACAATGGCATCAACTGGGGAGTTTTAACAATCTGATGCCCAGGCTTGTATCTTATCCCAATTAATTCAGAATCTCTGGGGGTGGGCCCAGGTATCAGTAATTTCTAAAGCTCCACAGATGATTCCAATGAGCACCAAGGGATGAGAACAACTGCTCTGAACTACCAGGGGATTTCTGTGGGTAATTAGCAGCTCGACTTCACCGACACAGCCCACACCTTCGTGCCTGGGACTTCAGCATAGGCATTAAGTGGCCTCCATCTGGGCAGCAGCCAGATGAGAGGAGGAACAAGAACCACTTATCTCCATTAGGCCTCCCTTATCCCCAGGTTCTGCGAGGATCCCCACAGAAGCCTGGTGAAAGCTGGAGGGCTTAGCTCAAAATCCTCAGGCAATTTGAGTGGCTTGTGTCTGGGAGCTGCTGAGGAGTCTGAAATCTTAGGGCCAAGGGCTATGGAGAGGTCATTGAAGTTATTTTCTTGCCCCTGGGCAAGAGGCACTGACAGGGGCCTTGCAATAGTGAGATGGAGAGCTGGGTTCAAATCTCAACCTTGCCAGATGCCAACCAGTAAATGTGGGCAAGCAACATCAGCTGCAAAACAAACAGATGTTTATGGAACAATCACTGTGTGCAAAGCACCAAGCCAGATAGCCTCAATCTGGGCACATCAAAGTACTCTGATTTAGAGGACTGAGGTAGAACCCCAGAATTTGCCTTTGTCAGTAGGCATCTGTCTTAGTCTGTTCCTGCTCCTATGACAAAATACCTGAGACTGGGTAATTTATAAAGAACAGAAATTATTTCTCACAGTTCTGGAGACTGGGAAGTCTAAGATGAAGGTGCCAGGCAAGTTCAGGGTCTGGCAAGGTCTCTGCTTCTGAGATGACAGCTTGTTGTTGCATCCTCCGGAGAGGATGAATGCTGTGTCCTCACATAGCAGAAAAGATGGAAGGGCAAAAGGGCCTAGCTATTTCCCTACAGCCCTTTCACAAGGGCACTAATCCCATTCATGAGGGTGGAATCTTCTTGGCCTAATCAACTCCTAAAGGCCCCATCTCTTAGTACAGTTGCATGGAGGATTAAGTTTCAACAAGAATTTCAGAGAGGACACAAACATTTAAATGATAGCAGCATCCAAGTGATTCCGATATAGATGGGCTCTAGATCTGAACCCTGAAGCTGGTTTATCAAAGTGATTCTAAAGAAGGAAGCCAGCGTTGAGCATCACAGCAGAAGGTGTGGTATCAGGGAGGAACGGCGTGATTTAAATGGCAAGATAAAGTGAGTAAGCCAGATGCTGACTTCAAGCAGCCCCAAAATATTAGGCCCTCAGCTTTCTCAACTGTTATTTGGTGGAGTAGGACCTACTGTTGTGTAATATAAATTCCAGCTCCTACATCCTATTCCTCTAAAAGTCACACTTCATATTACCAGCTCTGAATTCCTTGCATTGTCCTGTTGATGTGTATCTAGGACTGAGATGTTGTTTTAAATGTGTTTATAACCACTGTCCTCTGACAATGGCATACAGCTTTGTGCAGAACTCCCTACCATCTGCTATTTCAGGCAATTCTCATAATTTCCTGGGGTGGCAGGCTGGACTGGTTATCTCTTTTTCAGCACAAAATCCATATTATCACATGGCCAGTAAGAGTCAGTAAGCAGAAGGGCCAAATTCAGACTTGGATATCTGGCCCAAAACTGGATAAACCTGGACCAAGATTATCTGTCTCTTTGCTTGCCCATCAATTTGTTCATCATCCATCCATCCATCCATCCATCCATCCATCCATCCATCCATCCATCCGTCCATCCATCCGTCCATCCATCCTTGTGCCCACGAATCCGCACATCTGCTTATATCTGTCATCTATTTAATACATTCATCTATTTCTGTGTATTCATTTATTATGACTTGGTCTCTATAAAAATCTGCCTATTCAATTTGGCAAACGTTTACCCAGAGCCTGCCATGTGCCATGCACTCTCTCTACTTGTACCTCCTGGCCCCACGCTCCATCTAGCTCATCTTTCCTGACTACTCCAGCCCCCACTGAATGCTTTCTCCTCTGGCCTTTTTGCAGGACCCTTAGTCTATGTGACTATGGTCTCTGCTCTCTCCTGGGCCACGTTCTTCTTTGATTGATTGTGAGTGGACCCTTTGTCCTTCCTTGACTGCCATGATCTGGCTCCATTCCTGCCCTATGTCAGACTCCAGGGAAATATTCACTGGGTGGATGACTGGACCCCCAACTAGACTGTTCGCAACTCAAGGACAAGGACAGTATCTTTTCAAGAGTTTCATTCCTTCTTCAGTTCCCAGTCTAGGGCTACACACAATGGCAAGCATTTTGCTCACAATAGAGGGCTTAAATTCACAGTCCTTAGGAGTTGGAAGGAACTTTACAACTTTTATTCTTTCAACAAATCTTGCATACATATGTTTGCTAGATGCTCTTGCTAGGCATAGAGATTAGTGAAAACAACATTTTACAGAGGAGGGTGGGAAACCCAGAAAAGGACAGCCTGATGACAGCGAGGAGAATACCACCTCTCTGCACCCAGATAGTTCCTAAGTCCTCACAGAGCCAGATGGTGTGTGCCTGAAGATCCCCAGAGAGGAGGTATTGGGAAATCACAGCTGCCTCACCAAGTCAAACCAGTCAGGCCCCATCAAGAGCCACAGGAAGCCAGTTTCCGGGTGGCAGAGAGAGCCTGAGTCAGCTCTCACCTGCATGGATCACATCAGGGTGAGCAGGGGCTGTCAAGGGATGGAAGGAGTGGCCCTGAGAGTGCTAAAAGAAGGTAAGTGGAGGTGCCCCAGCTGGATCTTGGGGAATCACACCCTTGACAGGGGATATCTGAGCCATGAAGTCCATGTCCAAGTGCCGAGGATACTCCAATCAGGCCAGGCTTTCCCTCACTCTTGGGAAATAGCTTGCTGATTTTGCCCTCCGTATGTTAAAAGCAGAGACTCCAAAGATGTCAGTTTATCAAGCACAGCAGTTCTTAAACTTGAATGAGCCCCAGAATAACCTGGGAAGCTCAAAGCATGGGTAGATCTCTGTGTACTCCATGATAGAGACCTTAAGACACACTGTTGAGTAAAATAAAAAGTTGCAAAATGACACATAAGATGTTATTCAGCAACCCCCTTGCCACAACCAACCCATTTCTGTATATTTCCCCCTGGTATACTTATATATGAATGTAAATATTTAGAAAGATTACATACCAAAATGATTATATTGGCTGTCTTTAGAAAGGGTATTGGTAGTGATGGCAGAGAGGGCTTTAGCCTTAAATGTAATGTTTCATTATTTTTATTAGGAAAAGTTATCATGTATTATTTGTGTAAATAAATTTTTTTAAAGTTCAGATTTCTTCAAAAATTTTCACCTATTTTGTCTGGTTGGAGGTCCAAGAATCTGCATCATAGAAAAGTTTCTGGGTGCTTCTTTGGAGTGCTTCTGTGGAGATGACCACTTTAAGAAAAGCTGGTCTAGTCCAACCTCTTATCATAAAAAAGAGCAATTTGAGGGTCAGAGAAGCTAAGGAATTTGCCCAAGACCACATAGCGTAGTAGTGAATAAGATGGAGTTTGATCCTAGGATATTTTACTCCAAGATGGTGTGTTCTCTTGCATACAATGACAAGAAAGGAAGCTCACTAGGAGAGGTGGGTGATGGATGTCCACAACCAGAGTGTGAGGGGTCTAGGGCTCCGTGCACTGCTGAGTTAGTCCAGTTAGCAGTTTCTGGCTGGGGGAACAGGGATAATGATGGGGCAAGAAGGGGGAAGAAGGGGAAGGCAAACACTGCTCATCTTCTCAACTTTTCTTTGAGCTGCTCTGTTCCCAGACCTCCTCCCGAGGCTCCTTCCTGTTTCCAGCAGGGGCAGTGGCTCAGAGAGAACCACACAGCCTCTACCCTGACAGCCTTGTTGCTGGGTGACCTGGGGCAATCTCCTTCCCTCTCTTAACCTCAGCTTCCTCATCCATACAGTGGATTGAATCAGTCTCCCAAACCTGGTTCGGCCTCCTCTTGGAGGCTCAATTAAAAATACAACATATTTCAAAATAACTTGTTGTACACCATAAATATATACTTTTTGTCAATTAAAAAAGTAATAAAACTCAGAATCCTGGGCCCCTTCATAATGCGCGTGGGGCCTGGAATGTGCATTTTTCAACAACTCCATGTCTCCCACCTCCATGGATGATTCCTACAAACTCTGAAGTTAGAGAACCACGGGGCTACTGAGTCTCTTTTCCCTGAGCAATCCTCCCTGCACTGTGGGCCTTGGGTGGGACTGAGGCCTGGCCTGTGAGGAGAGTTTGGAGTGGCCCAGTAATCCCCACTCCCCAGAAGACCCCTGCCTCTCTTCTTGCTATCTCTGTCTAGGTTGGGGCTCCGCAGGGTCTCTCCCCTCAGGGCCAGCCTCTTCCTAGCCTGGGCAGAATGTCTGGAATGTGGCTGCCCAGGGAGACAGGGCCAGTACAGCTGTCAGAGCTGCCTCAGGAATTCAGGCAGCAGAGAGCAGGCTCCCGCCCATGAGGGCCCCTGCTCTACTGGCCTTGAGGTGACCTGTGGAAGCCAAGCCCCTGAGTGGGCAAGGGAGGGCTGTAGGGCTCTGAACAGGCTGGCAAGTCTTGCTAGGCCTCAGTTTCTTCACATAAAATCATGTCCTACTCCTCTACACAGGTGGTATTTTGGCACCTCCAAAGCAATTTTGCATCTATAAATCCTCTGCCCCATCACATTTCATCAGCATGTGCAAACAGCTATGGGAAATCTACAGATAAATTAGACACCAAATGGATCCAGGAAGCTTCCACTTGGCCCTAGGCACAGTGCTTAGTGTATTACCACCAATTCATCACCTTATGTAATCCTCATGATAACCTATGCAAGACAAGAACTGTTATCATCTCTATTTGGCAGATGAGGAAACTCCTCAGAGAGTTTTAATTACTTATCCAAGGCCACACAGCTGCAGAGCTGGGTTTGAATCCAGATCTGCCCAACTTCAAGTTCAAACTTTACCCTGTGCTCCACTTCCCTGACAAGCGCAGCAAGGGAATGAGGACTACGCAGGAATATCTTGTCCTGATTTCACTGTGAGGCCTGAACAGAGCAATCTGTGCTCCACGATGGCAGGAAACCTCTAGTAGTTCATAGAGATGGTCCTGAGCAGACGGTCTTATGATGAACCTGGTAGGTGTGAGTGGAATGACAGTCTAGGCAGAGAGACAGCATAGGCATTAGAGGGTGATAGGCTGTAGCTGGCGACCCACAGGCTAGCTGATTTGCAGAACTAGCTACATAATTTGCAGGGCTCAATGCAGAATGAAAATGTGGGGAACCTTATTCAAAAGTGATTGGCATTTGCAAGACAGAGACAGCAGAGTAGAATCAAGTGTGGGTCTCTCTACAAGTGCAAGTGGCATGTCCATGAGTCCAAATCCTGTGATTTGGTTGGACTATAGCCTAACAGTGGTAGCTAAGAACATATATCTTGAAGCCAGATAGACTTAGTTCAAATCCTAGCTCTACCATTTAAAGGTACGATAACCTTAGACAAGTCACTTAAATCTCTCGGACTCTGAGTTCCATCCTCTGCAAAATGAGAATGATAATAATAGTATTATTATTTTCAATGGCAAAAACCTCAATTACTTTTGCACCAACTTAAGGCCTCATAGGGAAGATCAATTTCAGGATTAAATGAAATGATGCTCAGCCTAGTACATAATAAATTAGAACAAATATTGTCATTATTACTGCAAATATTGTTGTTGTTATTATTACTATGCAATGGGGAAAAATGGGAGATGATGCTGGAAATACAGTTTGTGGTTATGAAGAAAGGGACAAGGAAGGGGTACTGGTTCCCTGGGCCATGGCCACATCAGAGCTGCAAATCTCAGGGCAGGTAAGGGTGGGGATAACATCAGAGGTTCTATTTCAAGTCTTCAGAGTGGCGTCCCACTGGGGAGACCTAACCAAGGCCATTGAACCAGCCAGCCCAGCTCCAGTGCACTCACCCTGGAGCCCCACCCACCAGCAGCAGCCTGGGCCAGGCCGACTGAGGACTGGGCTGGCAGCAGATGAGCTCATGCCCACAGACCTGGCCAACAAGGCCGGACGCTTCTACTGGTAGGAGCCTGTCAGAACTGCCGGCTGGGGGTCAGGATGAGCTGGAGAGCCCGGTGGTGCCCAGATGCCTATGGCCAGCAGGTCTGCTGAGTGTTTGATTACATTCCCGGGCACCCCAGGCAATGCCAGGGCTGGCCGTTCCCACTCCTGCTGAGTTCCGTCTGTCAGCCACAGAGCTGCCATCCCAAGCCTGGCCCCCACGGCCCACCTACCTTCCACCTTCTGCTCCTCCTTTTCGGCAGCAGCCCTGGCTGCAGAGCCAGGTGGCCTCATCCCCCGATGACTTCATCCTCCTTAAAGGCATCATGTCCCTTTGATAGTCGGGCCTCTAGAGGCTTTTCTGCCCACAGACCAGGCTTCAGGGTCTCTGCTTTGTTCCTGTCTCCCGGTTCCATTCTCATCCTGCTCTGTGACCTTCCCCAAGGAGAATGCAGTGTAAAGGGGCCTCAACCTGGAAGAACAGTTTGCACTTCATAGTCACTGAACGTGTCACAATGTAACCAGTCCATCAGCCAACTGTCCCCAGTGGGCTGAATCCTCTCTTGAGACTGGTCTTCTAAGGTGGACGACACTCACTTGGCACCTACCCTGTGTATGCGACGCATGCAGTGCAGTCATGCAGCAGTTCCCTCAACTAGGGTGACCAGCCATTCTGGTTTTCTTGGGACTGTCACAGTTATTGAAAGTTCTGCATCCTGGGAAACCCCTCAAGTCCCAGGCCAACTGGGACAGTTGGTCAGCCAACCCTGTACAAGCATCCATGACATGCCTCCTCTGATGATTTGTGTTTGGTTTTCACTGAACAAATCTGAGCCTTTAGCCTGCCCCAGAAGGAGTCAAGGGGGTTCAATCTCAAAAATTAAAATAATGCTGTCTATGCTTCCAGACTTTATGGGCACCCTGAAATCTGCTGCCTGGTCAGAGGGTCCTCTGCTCCGTCCCCTCATTTACATCGTTGCTCATTAGGTGAGTGTGGCTGTATTGCTCTAGAAAGAAAAGTCCAGGAGGGAGGGAGAAAGAGCTCACCCAGTTCATAGGGAAGAAGACAGCTTTCCCCAGGCAAATAGGGGAAATGGACATGACTCTTCTAGTTCTTTCTTTAGAAGCCTACGGCGGCACCCCTGTAAAAACTTTAGAACTCTAGAATGTTAGAGGTGGATGTTAAAGATCAGAGTTCAACACCTCCGTTATTGAAAGAGGGACGCTGAGGTCCAGGAAAGGGCTTCAGAATCAGTTATGAATACTGATGCCTGGGTCCTACCCACAGGAAGTCTGATGTAATTGGTTTGGGTCTGGGGCCTGGGCTTCCCAGGTGATGCCAATGTGCAGCCTTGATTGAGAACCACTGAGTTAGATATAGACCCATCCCTGAGGAACTTCCAATAGAGTAGGGAGGGAGCTAAAGTGAAGAGAGGCACACGCCAGGCCAGGGTCACACAGGGGTTGTGAGGAGAGGGGAGACCCAGGCAGTGCACAAAATGCTGGGTTAAGGGCTTCAGACAGACCGGGGCTTGGATCTTAGCTGAGTCTAGACCAGTGACCTTGGCCAAGTAATTAAAGCTTTTCTGAGCTTCAGTTTCTTCATCTGAAACACAGAGAATGATAATAGCACCTAATCCATTGTGGTGGTATTCAGAGAAATTAGATAATTCATGCAGAGTGCTGACATAAAGATGAGCTGTTATTATTTTATTATTATTATTTGAGATGGAGTCTTGCTCTGTCACCAGGCTAGAGTGCAGTGGCGTGATCTTGGCTCACTGTAACCTCCACCTCCCGGGTTCAAGCGATTCTCCTGCCTCAGCCTCCTGAGTAGCTGGGATTACAGGCACACGGCACCACACCCAGCTAATTTTCTATGCTTTTAGTAGAGACAGGATTTCACCATGTTGGCCAGGATGGTCTCGACCTCCTGACCTCGTGATCCACCCGCCTCGGCCTCTCAAAGTGCTGGGATTACAGGTGTGAGCCACTGCGCCCAGCCTATTATTATTATTATTACTTCTTGGTCAGGTCAAAGGCTTGGTCAGGATGTGCTCACAAAGGGGAGTGGAATATGAGCTATACCAACACAGAGAGGTACAATTTCAGCAGGAAGAGAGAGAATTTTAGATATCAGGGAATGAGAAGTTTCTGAGCATGCTTGGAGGGCACTAGGAGTCAATTTCCCTGGTGCATGGGAGACTGGAGGCTTGAAGACCCACCAGAAAGGTCCTGGGGCCAGCAGGGAGAAGGACCAGGAGTGGGTCAGGAGAGTGGTAAGGGAGCCGGGGAGAAGGGGATGGATGCCAGCAGCCTTAAGAGGCTCTGAAATCCATCCTGATACCCATCTCCCCCTCCTGCAATAGGCTGCAGACAGTCCCTGCGCTGGACAGGCTGGAGCCCAGCCTTGGCCCCCGAGGGAAGACAGTCGCCTGCTACTCTGCACGTGACTAATCAAAGGGCCCGTGGGGCTGCCCCGCCACCCTTCCTCTGGTTAATGCCTAATCGGACCAAACTTGGAGGCTTGAGTGGCAATCAGCCAAGTGGATAATTGCTCAGGTTAGCCTTGATCACAGGCTCCCTGGGAGTCGATCACAGTAGGTCCCCTCACCCTGCAACTCCCTGGGCCTCTCATCCGGGGCGGAGGCAGCTTGTAGGAGGGAAGCCTCAGAGAATCCTACTGGTGGGGAATCCCTCTGGACATCTTGAGCAACACACCATAGCAGCCTGCTTGATGCCTGTGGTCATCCTGGATGCTGGTGACAGGTCCCTGAAGGCACAACTCACAGTGGCTGCAGCAGCTGCATAAACATCTCACTGAGAGCCAGGAAACAGCAAAAAGCCTCATTGCTCCTGTATAAGCAACAAGACCAGAACCTTCATGGTTTCACTAATTCATAGGGTCCAGGCTAAACTTCTAGACACCTAAGTCCTAGCCATAGAACCAGGCCTCAGTTTTGTCACACGGCAGGGGAAACGGATCTGTTCTGAGTGGTCCCAGCACAGTTGTGACCCCATTTAACAAATGCGGAGACAGAGACTTAACAAATTTAAGTCATTTGCCTTGGGATACATAGCTAATAATAATAAAAGCATTAACAACGGTATGAATAATTCTTATTTATTAACCAGGTGGAAGAGTTGCTGCTCAGCTGAACATCAGCTAGAATTGCTAAGAGCTCAAACTGATTGCTGGGAGAGGTGATAAGCTTCTTGTAATTAGAGGTATGCAAGCAAAGACTCACTTATTTGCCAGGAATGTTGCAGAGGGGCTTCAAGACCTGGGGGGAGGGAGGGGATTGGACAGAATGGTTGCAGAGTTGCTTTCAGTTTTGTGGGGCAGGAGCGATTTCATTTACCTCTGTGTCCCCAGGGCCTAGTACGGTGTCTGGGAAAAGGTAGACATGGGCCTCACCTGTGCATGAACATACAAAACGAGCAAACAAATGTGTTCTATAACTAAAAACGTGGCAGCAGGGGAGAGGAGTGCTAATCCTTGTCTAACTCTTCTCCCTTTCCCTTAAAACACTGGTTCTCAACACAGGGTGCGTAATGGAATTATATGGGGAGCCAGAACAGAGAGGCACCTCATAAAACGCATCAAAGCCAAGGCGTCCTGCACCCCAGTGAGCCATCACTCACCGTGCTTTGTGATGCACACATAATCGGTCTCATGAATCTGTACAACCTTATGAAGCAGGTATTCTTGTTACCTCCATTTAATAGATGGGGGAGCCCAAACTTAGAGAGGGTAAGTCAGGTGTGGGGAAGTCACAGCTGAAAACAATAAGAATAAGAATTACCTTTTATGGGGGACTTTCTCAGCTAAGTCCTGACTGGTTTCTTAGCAACCTTTATCTCATTTAATTCTCATAACAACCTTATGAGGTAGGAGCTATTATTATCCCCATCTTTTCAAAAAAGGAAACTGAGGCTCAGACTAAGTAACTCACCCAAGCTTACTGAACTAGTAGGTGGCAGTGCCAGGGTTTCGAACCAAATCTGTCCGTCTCCAAAGCCCTGGGGAAAGGGGTGCTGTGGTTGTCAGTCTCAGATCTGAAGCATGGAGGAGTGGAGAGAACACTACTGTTCTGACAGCCAAGTGACCTTTTCTAGTTCCCTTGTGGTCTCTGTGTGACTGTGTGACCTGGGGCAACACTACCTGTCCAGGGCCTCAGTTTATCCCTCGGTGAAACCAAGAAGGGAGGTGGAGATGGGCCTGATTTCTCAGCTCCTTTCATTTTCCATGACTTGATTCCCCACCGTGAGTTCTGGGCCACAAACCAGTTGGCTTCCTCCCTCCCTCTCCGTGAGACAGAGAGCTGGCAGGAGGGGATGATCCGCCTCAATTCTCCCACCTCCTTTTTCCTCCTCCTCCTCCTCCTGGGCTGGGACACACCTACTCCAACTTTCTCAGCAGCCTCTCCGGCTGCGGGCTGCGCGCCTTCCTGCTCCGAGTCTCTGCACCTCCCTCAGGAGCCTGTCAGCCTGGCCCTCGTGAGAGGGGCGCCAGCCCAGCAGCCTGCTCTGGGGCACCCTCCCCTACCTGAAGGGCACAGGTAAGAATTGCTGGAGGATGGGAAGATGCGGGAGGGGGGCAGCAAAGTTAATCCATTCTTGAGTCTGGTTCCAAAGCAGGCTGGAGTTGGGGGCTCCTGGAAGGTAGAGAAGGAAGCAGGAGATGGCTGGAACAGGCACAGAGAGGGAAGACAGGGACATCTGGGCCTGGATCATCTAGGTACACTGAAAGAAGCCAGTGAGGTAGCCAGTCCGCGGCTGGGGATCGGGGCCCAGCAATGGGCAAGGCTGAGACTGTGATCTTGTGGAAGAGGAAGGTCACATTTGCACACGTGGAAAGTTGGATTCTTGTCCTGCAAGAATCAAATCCCCCACTTGGGCTTTCTGGAGATGAGCCTTTAAGAGGACATGGAGGAGATTTCCTCTGCAGTTTTTAGGGGGAAGTGCCAGGGCCAGGAATTGAGAGTTGCTGGCTTCTTGTGTGTGTCCAGGTGGGCATAGGAACCTTATCACAGACAAAGCTACCTGGCGGCTAAGGGAGAGTCAGATAGTCTGGTCAGCCCTGGTTCTCCTGTAGCTGCTGAGATTAGGACCTCAGCTTCCCTGACTGTAGAATGGGGGCATGCATAGTCTCTGAGGGCTGTGAAAGACCATGAGTCTGAGTGGCACCAAGACAGCACTGGAGTTGTTGGGGTGGGAACAGCCCTGTTCCCCTGTCTTGGGGAAAGCAGAAATCTGATGCATATCTCTGGAGGCAGGAGAGCCAGAGTGGAACGCTGAGCAGAGCCACTGGGCTAGAGTTCAGTTCTCAGAGCCGGTGCAGTGCCATTTGCCCCAGCATGGGGAGCAGTGAGGCAGTGCAGAAGTTTGCCAAGGGCTCAGAAATGCTGCCTCTGTGCCCAGCCTCAATCTGGAGCTGGCGCCTGGACTCAGGGGAGAGGAGGAGGTGAAGAAGCAGGCTGGGAAGTAGGTGCTTCTAGTCCTTCAGCCCTGCTTCACAGGTGGGAGCAGAGACTGGACAGGTGAACATGCCTTGCTACTAAGAGTTATTACAGCTTATGCTCGTTGAATGCTTCCTGTGCCCTGGGGACTATGCTGAGCACGCATGGTCTTTTGAAATTTTTGAGGTTTCAAATCCAGGCAGTGTGGCAGAGTGGGAAGAGAATTTCATTAATCATGTCTCTGTGACTCACAGGCTGTGTGGCCTAGGACGGTTTCTTACCTCTCTGGGCCTATGTCTGAACATATAAAATAAAGGCAGTTGGATGTTTGTTAAGATCCTCTCCTCCCTTTATTAAATATTTATTTATTTTGAGACAGGGTCTCTCTCTGTCACCCAGGCTGGAATGCAGTGGCATTATCATGCAGCTTCCACCTCCTGGGCCCAAGCAATCCTCCCACATCAGCCTCCTGGGTAGCTAGGACCACAGACAAACACCACCACACCTGGCTAATTAAAAAAAATGTTTTTTTGTAGAGATGGGGTCTCACTATGTTGCTCAGGTTGGTCTTGAACTCTTGGGCTCAAGCAATTTTTCCACCTTGGCCCCCTAAAGTGCTGGGGTTACAGGCATGAGCCACCACACCTGGCCAAGATCCCTTCTGAATCCATTCTGTTGGGTAGACAGAGCAGGAGTGATTGTCTCCATCTTGCTGATGAAGAACCTTGAGAGGCTCAATGTTCCATGTCCCTGTAAGAGGCAAACTAGGGTCTTCCCCCAGGGCTCTCGATAGAGTACATGTTAGACTTCTGGCAGGAAGATACTGAATCCATGATGTCAGCTAGCCTGATGCTCAGCTTCCTGCATACTCTAACCTAAGTGCGACTGAACTCACCTTGGCCTGTAAGTTCTCCTTCCAGATGCTTTATGACAGGCTGTGTGGCACTGGCCTGGTGCTGGCCAGTTAAGGCCAGGTGGGAGAGGCTGTCAGGCAGGCATTAAGTTTTAGAGACAGCCTGTGTGTGTCTGGGGGGAGATGGAGTTGGTACGGTTGGGGACATGCCTGTACCCCCTGGATAAACCCTGTCTTTTGGATTCATTTTGAGTGGGGAAGGACATGACCTCTAAAAGCCTCCTATGATCCCTGAGCCCCTAGAATGCAAACTGAGCTAGCTCAGAGCCTCAATACTAGTATTTCTAGGACTAATAGTACTAACACTCACATTTATGATGGAGGTTTATAGACAGGTTTACAAAGTAAAGTGTGGGTCCAACTCCCGGATATTATTAGCCATGTGACCTGGGCCTCAACTTCTCTAAAAACCTCAGGCTCCTCATTTGAAAGATGGGGATCATCATAGTTCTTTCTTCAGAGAATTGATGTGAGAAATGAGGGGGTGCATGGAAGGTAATGCAAGAAATGTGTAGGGCCTTATTTATTATGTTCACAGTCATCAAATAATTGATTCTTCTCTCTTCCTCCTAGAGTGGGTATCATCTCACAGCACCTTGAAGTGTTCCTCCCTAAGACTGGTCATAATTATAATTATTAATTATTTGTGTGACTTATTTTATATTGGCTCTCCTACTAAGATAAGCCATGGGTCTGTCTTGCTCACTGCCCTGGCGCCTGGGTCCAGGACAGTGCCTGGCACAGAAAAGAA
Organism: Homo sapiens; assembly: GCF_000001405.40. Lineage (NCBI taxonomy): Eukaryota > Metazoa > Chordata > Mammalia > Primates > Hominidae > Homo > Homo sapiens. The sequence continues at coordinate 151,588,600 of NC_000005.10, read as the reverse complement.
GCTCATTGCCTATCTGCTGAATGAATGAATGAATCTTCATTTTGAATTCATAGATGAGAACTGCTGCTTACTGGAGGACTAAGTATTAGCCCCAACCCATTCATAGATACAGTCCAGTGGAAGGGCGCTTAGAGATCACTGAGTCAGACAGTTGGTAACGGTGAGGCCTCACCAGGGAAGTCTGGTAACTTGACTAAGGTCACACAGCAGTGGGGAAAACCAGACCACTATGCAGAACTTGGACTTGCCTCTGTTTCACTTGCCTAGCCCAGTTCAGGAGATGTTCCTGTTTTTTATGTAAGTGGCAGATCAGTCTTGAAGGCCAGTTGGCTCCCACATCCTCCAGAGGCAATGTGGGATCAGCAATGAGGTTGATCTCTGGATTGTAAGCTGCCCTCCAGGGGACAAAAACATCATCAATCAGACTCCTCTCTCTCAACATGCACCAACACACACATACACCCACACACACATACACACACACCACTCCATCACTATTGCCAGTGAGTCAACAGATAGCTGTAACTGTACAACTCGAAGAACCCTTGGGAATTCTCTGAAGTCTCCCTTGAAGAATCATTGCTCCCATTTTACAGATGTCACACAGCCAGTTTGCCTGGGTTGGCACGCACTCAACAGTGAGCTATTTGTGAGAATTCGCAATGACTTAGACCCTGTATGTGCAGGTCACCAGGTTAGGCCCTTTTACAAACTCCTTCTCTTCTACTCTGCACAACTGCCCACATCACCCTCTACTGCTTCTTGTTGTTGTCATTGTTTTCAGTGTGGAGACCATGAATAGAGACTCAGAAAGGTTAAGCTAATCCCTGTAAGTCACACGGTTCTGTTATCTTAATAGACACTTAATGAGCAGTTATAATGTGTCAGGCCCCCAAAGACTCACAGTTGATAGAGGCAGACCCATAAATGGGTGGTTTAATATCTTGGGGTAGGTGGTAAAACACAGGCAAACCCAGGCTGGCATGGAGACCCAGAGGAGGAGTGACAGTAGCTGGGTTATAGATTCAATGAAGCTCTTGGAGGAGTTGGCACTGAACATCAGTTTTAAAGGCTGAATGAGAGTTAAATAAGGAAAGAAAAGTGGGAAAGGCATTTAACAGAGGGAAAATAACACATGCAAAGGCCCCGCAGTTAAAGAAAACAGCAGATGCGTGCAGGAACCTATAAATTGGGTGGGGAACACCTGGAGACATGGTCTGAGAGATAGGTTGGGGCCAGATCATTGAAGGCCCCAGCCTACCTCTTTTTTGTATGTGTCAGGCCAAGGAGCATGTCATTTTCAAAAAAATGTCACATATATATAATGTACTATTGAAGGAAAATTATAGACATACACAGAAGTAAACAGAATGGTGCAAAGAAGCCCTATCACTCAGCTTCAACAATTATGTTGGGTTTTTTTGTTTTTTTTTTGTTTTGTTTTGTTTTTTGTTTTTTTGAGACGGAGCCTCATTCTGTTGCCCAGGTTGGAGAGCAGTGACATGATCTTGGCTTACTGCAACCTCCACCTCCTGGGCTCAAGTGATTCTCATGCCTCAGCCTCCTATGTAGCTGGGACTACAGGCGTGTGACATCACACCCAGCTAATTTTTGTATTTGTAGTAGAGACAGGGTTTCACCATGTTGCCCCAGGCTGGTCTTGAACTCCTGACCTCAAGTGATCTGCCTGCCTCGACCTCCCAAAGTGCTGGGATTACAAGCGTGGGCCACTGCGCCCAGCCTGAGCCACTGTGCCTGGTCAACAATTATATTTCCTCTATACTTCTACCAACTCTTCCCCTATCAGATTATCTTGAAGCAAAAATCCCAGATATATGATTGCACCTGAAAATATTTCCATATATCTCTTTAAAACAGAAAGAATTCAGAAAGTATTTTTAGGAGCATGGCTTTTATTTTATAAACATTGGAGGACTGTTAAAGGAGTTTAAGTTAGAGTGCTTTGGCTAGGTAGACCTACCTGCCCGTGAGGTAGAACACCAATTTAAGGAAAGGAGTCAGATTAGAAGGCTAAGATATCCTGTTTTCTCCCCCTTGGCCGACCACAGTGCCTGATATTCCACCACTACCCATTGATTAACAAATTATCTTCTGAAATCCATCTCTTCCTGAAAGGGGCGATGTCATAAGCATTTTCCAGTGTAGGTCTGCAAAAGACAGAAATCTTCCCTTGCCCCTTTTTCTGTTCCTGGGCGGCCCCTGCAAGACCACCTGAGGCAACAGGAAAATGCCATCTATCCTTCCGCTGGCTGGGGGCAGGGAGCTCACAGAGGAGAATTCTCTGGTTCCCATTTGGCTCCAGTGCCCGCAGCAGTTGGCCTGGGCACAAGCCAAGCAGGATGAAACACGCCAGTGGTACAGTAACGTCAGCATGTGTGCACGTGTTGGCCTGCATGTGCTCACGTGTCCAGTGTCAGAGCTGCTGCCTGTCCCTGCAGCATCCTCTCCCCTCAGGGTCTTCCCATCAAATGCAAGGCTCAATGGTGCCAAACGTATCATTTTGGACCCTTGGAAGCTTAGCCTGAGGAAGCGGTAGAGATGGCTATCAGTATGGCACGTGAGCTCTGGAGTCGGGGTGCTTGAGTTCCAGTCCTGGCCTTAACACTTTCCATCTCTGTTACCTTAACACATGATTCCACCTTTCTGAGAGTTGTATAATGCTACCTATCACACAGAGCTGCTGAGAGTTGATGTGTGTAGAGTGTTTAGCATAGTCGGCACAAGCTAAGAGCTCTCTAAATGTTAGTTACTATTATAGATTTGGGGGCTCCTGAAGTCTTGGGAATTGACTCAGAGAATTATAGCATCTTGAAAAATTCCTAGAAGCTCAAACTCTTGGAAGCATATATTAGAGAACCCTATCAGATCCCTGGTACACTCTCTACTCTGTCCTGGTAGTGTCTGACAAATTCAAAAACAGAGTGCATAAATTGTAAGTTACAGCTGATATATATATATTTTTTTCCTTGAGACAGAATCTTGCTCTGTTGCCCAGGCTGGAGTGCAATGATGCAAACTCAGCTCATTGCAAACTCCACTTCCCGGATTCAAGTGATTCTCCTGACTCAGCCTCCAGAGTAGCTGGGATTACAGGCATGTGCCACCACGCCCAGCTAATTTTGTATTTTTAGCAGAGATGGGGTTTCACCATGTTGGTCGGGCTGGTCTCGAACTCCTGACCTCAAGTGATCCAACCTGCCTTGGCCTCCCAAAGTGCTGGGATTATAGGCATGAGCCTGGCCACAGCTGATAAATTTTTATAAAGTGAACTCGAATGGTGGCTAACCAGTAACTGGCACAAAAAGCAGACATTCCCAGCCCCCTGAGATCCCCCTGGTGCCCGTTGCCAGTCACTGGCCCCTGCTGAGTGACTCTTATTCAGATGGCCAGGCTATTCTTAATGCCTCTGAGGATAGCCACATCACTCCTTCTTTAGGGGCTATTTACTATTGTTAGGAGAACTCCAATTATTAGAGAGGTCCAGCGAGTTAATTTGGAAGTTGCTAAATTAAACTTTACCTTAAATTATTTCATTTTTACTGTCATATTTCAGGGGCAGCCTAATTTAGAGGCAAGTTTCCCAAATGTCTGGGGCTGTTTTTTAAAAAATACAAATTACTTAGCCCCATCCTAAGTCTACAAAATTAGATGGAGGAGTGTGAGGGTGAAGGACAGGAATCTATATATATTTTTTAAGCTCCAAGGGGGCTCAAGGTGAGGTCTAACTGGACTTGGTAGCCATTGGACTAGTGGTTCAGAGTTTGGACTCAAGTCAGATAGATCATTTGTTCCAATCCGTGCTCCACACTGACTGGCCATTGACCTTGGACAAGGCACGTGGCCTTTCTGACCCTCAGTTTTTTCATTTGTAAAATGGAGATAGATGAAAGGATAGTACCTGCCTTTGTGGGTTGCTGAAAGACACTGAGACATCCACAGCACAAGCGCTCACTAAGTGCTAGGTGCTATAATCAACGTTACTATTATACTGGGCAGAGACCGTATGCGGTGCAGCCAAGGGAGTACTAAATCTGGCATCTGAAGTTTTGTGTTTGAGTCTTGACCGGGCCACTTGCTAGCGGTATGACCTTGGACAAGTCTTTTGAGCCCCCATCTCCTGGCCTTGACTTGCTTCCTTCATAGGGTCTTTGAAGGAATTAAATAAGAAAACGGACCAGAATATTGCTCCAAGAACAGAAAAATGCTGCAGGAAGTAAGCCCCAATGAGCTGGAACCCAGCTAAGCCTGGGAACCCTGTGGAAAGTGGGCTTGCCATTGTCCTCGCGGTTCTGTGTGGGCAGGCCGGGCAGGGGAGGGTAAAGGGAATCATTGAGGTGTCGGTTTTCCACAGCCCTGGTATGCCCTGGCATGGTTCCTGAGCTTCTTGGTTTCTGAGAACTGTCTCCTTCCTGGTTCCTAGGGCAGGAAGGGTCCAAGATCCCATAGCTGTGAAATCCTATGCAATTTGCAGGTAGTCCAAACGCTTTTATTATTTTAATGTCTTCTTTTTTAATTAAAGTCTTCTTTGAAGTCCTTTACTAGTGTTTAAAAAAAACTTTTTTTTTTTTTTTTTTTTTTTTTTGAGACAGAGCCTCACTCCGTCACCCAGGCTGGAGTGCAGTGGTGCAATCTCAGCTCACTGCAACCTCTGCCTCCGAGGCCCAAGTGATTCTTGTGCCTCAATCTCCCAAGTAGCTGGGATTACATGTGTGTGTCATCGCACCCAGCTAATTTTTTTATTTTTACTAGAGATGGGGTTTCCCCATGTTGGCCAGGCTGGTCTTGAACTCCTGACCTCAAGTGATCCACCCAACTCGGCTTCCCAAAGTGTTGGGATTACTGGCGCAAGCAACCATGCCTGGCCCCTAAAAAAAGAACTTTTTAATGGAGTATAATATGCATACAGAAAAGTGCACAAATCATAAGTGTACAGCTCAATGAATTTTCCAGAAACTAACCAGCTCCCAGATTAATAAATAGAATATTACTACTATTCCAGAAACCCTCTTTGTACCCTTTTCAGTCACTCACCACTTCCCTCCCATGTAAGAGTGACACTATCTTAATCTAATCTATAGATTTGTTTTGCCTGTTTTTAAACTTTATAAACATGGACTACCACAGTATGTACTTTTTAATATATGACTTCTTTTGCCCCGTATTATGTGAATAGGATTCATCTCTATTGTCACCTAGAACAATAGTTCATTTGCTTTGCTGTATAGTATTCCATTATATGACCATACTGAAATATACTTGTCCATTCTGCTCTTGATAGCCATTTGGTTTGTTTCCAATTTGGGGCTGCTATAACTAGTGCTGCTTTGAATAGTCTTGTGATGAATCTTTTGGTGAACATATGTTCACACTTATGTTGACCTAGGAGTGGAACCGCTGGGTCATGAGGTGTGCATATATGAATGGAACTCTCTTATTTTCAGGTTAAGTTCTATTTATTACAAGTAGAACATGGCTTCCCAGGGTTCAGTCTCTATCTAGGAGATAGAAAGACCTCAGGAAGATGAACAGCTGCCTCTGGGGTTGGAGATGCTGATGAACAGAGGCGTGTGCAGACAGTGATATGTGTAGGCTCAGAGACTTCCAGGTGATAAAGTTAGGCATGAAGCTCAGATCTGTTGCTTTCCCTCTCCCGTCTGCTCTTCTGTTTGACTTTAGCAGTAATGTTGTGTCCACTTTGCTTGAGGGCCAGTGTTCCCCCCACCAACAGTCAGCAGACCACCTACAGAGGAAATATGAGTCCCACTTTGAGTTCCACAGCAGTCCTCCTGAAACAGGCTTTTTGAGGAAGAGGTTGCGATTTTTAACACAGTGACGTTTGAGAATCACTTCTCTAGCCTGAACACTTTCTAAAGACTGCAGTCTTTTCCTGATGTCCTCCATCCCCTCTCCATCAGGGCGTAGGATCAGGCCACATTTGGGATATCAACTTTGAAAGGGGGCATGGTAGAGAGTATGATCCTAAAGAAAGAGATGGTTCCCTTGTTCAGCAGATCTCAAACACCAGTCACACCAAAATCACCCAGGGAACTTGTTGAACATCTATTTCTGAGCCCCACCCCTAAGGATTTTGATTCAGTAGCTCTGGGGTAGGGCTGGGAATATATATATTTTTAACCCTCACCCCCATCCCCTCAGGGAATTCCTAATGGTGGGAATCACCAGTTCAATCCACCGGCCAGCTTTGCGGATGAGAACACAGACAGACCCAGCCACTCTGTTGAGTTTTGTGTCTGCTGATGGCTGGGTGGAGCAGTTACCTTGGCTAAGAAAAGTCGGTGTGTGTGGACAGAACCCAGGGGGGCTTGAATGTTGAACACAGGGACTTGGCCTGCAGCCCACCGGCAGAGGCTCATTTGCATCTCATTAGTATGCACCTTGGGTTACTCAGGGTGCTCCCAAATCATCTCTGACCTCTCTCGTGCCTTGGCTCTGCAGTCAGGTTCAGCCAGCTCAGCAGCAGGACTGGGTGCCTCAGACAGCAGAAAGCCTGTCTTGCCCCACTGCCAGAGCGCAGCTCCCACCTGCAGCAACCTGCCTGCCTGCCTGGCTTTGTCCTAAGCTGTTCTACTCAGAGGGGAGAGGACAGACAGATGGCTGGGCTGGGCTGGGCTGGGCCAGGCTAGAGGAAATGGGAATGAGAGGGAAGACTGGAAATGAAACCTATGCTGAGAATCTGTGTTTGCTGGCAGGAGAGGATCTGAGGTTATGTGATCCCTGATATGGGGGAGGGATCATATGATCCTCCCCCTTCACAATTGCTCTTTCTAACCCATGGGCATGGGGAGCGGGCCAGGGGGACTGTTGGACACACAGGTGATCTGAGTTTTATCCTGGCTTGGCCCATACTAGCTGTGTGATCTCAGGAGTTAAATAACCTCTCTGAGTCTCAGTTATCTCATCTACAAAATGAGGATAATTATAAGGTTGCTGTAAGCTAGCTTAAAAGAGATAATGCCTGCCAAGTGCTCACCACAGGGCCTGGCACCCAATAAATGTTCAATAAATGTCAGCTGTGAGCAGCTGCATGCGCCTCTGCAAGCACTCCGTAGTTCCAAACCTCACCATCTTCAGGGCCTCTAGCGATAGCTCAGCAGAGGGTTAGCTCAGGGAGGTAGGAAAGCAGGGACTAGTCTCCATGAAATGAGGGAATTTGCTCAGGGCTCTCTCCCTGGGCCCCCTGCTTGGCCCTCCGATATAATACCAAAGGAGTAGGGGCTGAGGTCCCTGGATTGTCATCTTCATCACAGCAGCTACCTCAAGGGGGCTCACATGCAAGGCACTGTGCCCACCGCTTTATGCCCTTCATCTCAGTTCTGATCCTCATAATACCCTGATGATTATGTTTCCTCGTTTATGTCTGAAGAGACCGAGCCTCTGTCAGGTCCCATGATTTGCTCAAAATCACACACAACCAGCAGTGGGCCCGGGGCAGGACTCCAACACAGGTAGCCCCTCTCCAGAACCTGAGTGTGTGGCCTGACTGTAGCGACTCCACCTCCTGGAGGTGCCTGAGTTACAGGCAGAACCTGGTTGGGAGTGGCCACGTGAGACTGATGGGCTCACGGAAGGGAACAAGGAGAAGCTTCTGTTTCAGCAGTTAAGAGGAACAGTATTCCTTTTGCTGTTGGCCACAGGGCCTGCTGGATCCTTGGAAGGCCATTTATTGTGTCTTGGATAGAGACAGGGAAGGGGCCCAGAGTGGTCACCCCAACATGTCAGTGGCAGAACATAAAAGATCGGGAGATGTATGTTTTTATAGAATGTGCAGGACATTTTCTACCTGGTGTTTTCACTGTCAATACTCTTCTGACCACTTCACACCCACCCTCTGCCCCCTCTTCAACTCTGAAGAAGATCACATCTGTTATTATTTTAATGCTGCTCAACTTGCTGCTTGAGCTTTGCTGCAAATCACTGCAAAGAGAGAAGGAACGTCACAAAGACCCGTGTGTGTGTGTGCGAGCACGCGTGTGTGTTAAGGGACCCTCCCACAAGGGGCTCCTGGGGCCCGAATGAGAGTCCGCACATGTACAGAAAATAATTCCTACATTCTACACATATTTTTTGAGCACCTACTGCAATGGTAATAACAACCACCCATTAGCGACCTTCTGCCTGACTGGCGCTGTGCCAAATGTCATACATGCATGTGTTCATTAAATCCTCCAGGAAGGTAAGTGTTACCAGCCCCATTTCACAAATGGGGAAACTGAGGCTTAGATAGGCTCAGCTTTGCCCCTCAATGCAAGTGGAGGCAGTACTGAGGGCAGGTCTCACTCTGAAACCAGTTCTTTCTCCCTGCACTCTCCTCTTGACTAATGCAGAAGACCTTGGCCTTGTGGGTTCCTGAGGAGCCCCCAGGTTGACAGTGGAGCTGGGGTTGGGGGAACAGCATGGCCAGTGCCAAAATGCCAGGATGGGGAGCCAGGGTTCTGGTTCCAATTCTGCCACCAACATGCTATGCAACTTAAAGTGACCCCTTCCTTTTTCTGGGAATAGTTTTCTCATCTTTATTAAACAGAGCTTGGACTCATAGTAGTCTTCAAACTGTGCCCTAGGGAGTCCAGGGATTTCACTGACAAAGGGACAATGCATAGGGAATGGGGCTCTGGGGCTCCTCTCACATCTATTATAGCAGGTCTATTTCAATCTGCTTAACATAAGAAGAATGATAGTTATAAAATAACAACAGCTAGCATTTATTTAGCAACTACTAGGTGCCATGCATGTGCTGAATGTTTAACAGGCACCATCTAGTTCTACCTTCAGAACACTATCTGAGGTGGGTTCAGTTAGTATCTTTCTCTCTCTTTTTTTTTTTAAATGTATTTCCTTATTTATATTTTAAATTGACAAAATTTGTATATATTTATGGTGTGCAACATAATGTATTGATAATGTATGCATAGTGGAATGGCTAAATCAAGCCATTTAACACATCCATTAACTCATATGCCTTTTTAAAATTATTTATTTATTTATTTTTAGAGATAGGGTCTTGCTCTGTAACCCAGGCTGGAGTGCAGTGGTGTGATCATTGTTCACTGCAGCCTCAAACTCCTGGGCTCAAGCAATCCTCCCACCTCAGCCTCCTGAGTAGCTAGGATTACAGATGCAAATCACCACACCTGGCTAATTTTTAAATGTTTTGTAGAGATGGGATCTCGATATGTTGCCTAAGCTGGTCTCAAACTTCTGGCTTCAAGCAATCCTCCTGCCTTGGCCTCCCAAAGCTCTGGTATTACAGGCATGAGCCACCATGCCTGGCCCCTACATGCTTATTTTTTTGTGATGACAAAATTTCAAATGTATTCTCTTAGCAATTTTCAAGTACAATATACAATGCCTTTATTAATTATAGTTACCATGTTGTACAATAGATCTCTTGAACTTACTTGCCTTCCAACCAGAGAGCCCCAGAATTGGGGCTGGATTTGTTGATCCCTCAGAATTCCTATTTTGCCTCCCTCCTACCCCAAGCCCTGTGTTCCTGGTGTTCCCTCTGGCTTAAGAATTTTTCAACTCCAAATGGAAATTTTATATTCTTTGACCATCTTCCCAATCCCCACCCTCACCCCAGCCACTGGTAACCATCATTCTATTCACTGTTTCTATGAGTTTAACCTTTTTAGAGTTCACACAGAGTGAGTATATGTGGATTCTAAAAAAGTATTTGCAGTATTTGCCCTTATGTACTTGGTTTATTTCCCTTAACATAATGCCCTCCGGGTTCATATGCGCTGTCACAACTGACAAAATTTACCCACCTTTTAAGGCTGAATGACATTCTCTTGTGTATATAGGCCATATTTTCTTTATTCATTCATCTACTGATGGACATTTACGGTAATTCCATATCTTGGCTATTGTGAATAATGCAGTAAAGATGGGCGTGCAGGTATCTCTTTGACATACTGATTTCATTTCGTTTGGATATATACCCAGTGGTGGGATTGCTGGAGCATATGGTAGTTCTTTTTTTTATTTTTTGGGGAACCACCATACTGTTTTCCGTAATGGCTGTACTAATTTGCATTTCCACTGACAGTGTCTGATGGTTCCCTTTTCTCCACATCCTCTTCAACAGCTGTTATCTCTTGTCTTTTTGATAATAGTCATCCCAACATAATCTAATTGTGGCTTTAAGTATCTCCCTTTCAAAGGTGAAGAAAAACATAGGCTCAGAGATCAAGTTATTCAAGGTTGCCCCAGTTGGGACTTGAGGTCTGTGTTTGAAAACTCATCCTTTTGCAAAGGATTCCATTGGATCGAAGTGGCAAGAACCACAGGATAGTAAGCAACCCCACAAAACGAGGCCCATTCAGCAGGGACATTCTGGCCTTTGCATTTTGTTCTCTTCTCCATCTGAAAGAAGCTTTCTAGTCCTCCTGGAGAGTCTATCAGGGCACAACCTTCCTCACCTAGAACCTAGGGGAGGTTCCCCCGTTCCCCTGTTCTGCGTTTAGAGCTTCTAATGAATAAATACCAGGCAGTATTCTGCTAAGCTGGAGTTGGCTTTGATCTTTTTTTTTTTTTTTGCCTTTCCCTTTTCATGGATTTTAATGGTTTTCATCTAACAAACTCCTCCTACCAGAGAGCCCCAGAAGAAGTGGGGCTAGAGTTGTTGACCCCTCAGGATTCCTCCCTTCCCTCCCTGCCACCCCAGGCCCTCCAGTTCTGAGGTTCCCTCTGGCTTAGGGATTTTTCAGCTGCAAATGCAAAGCTCATAGATCCGTACAGACAACCCTAAGAGGAAGAGACCCCAGACACGCCTCTTCCTCTCTTTGGGCCTCATTGCGTATCAGGATCTGCAAACTTGAAAACCCACAGCAGCGTTTCCTTGCTGCCCATCTCAGGGCCTTTGCGTTGCCTGTTCTGTCTGGAACTCTCTTCCTGAAGATAGCTCTCTGGCTCTCTTCCTCACTCTGTTCACCTCCCTGCCCAAATGTCACCTTGTCATATAGGACTTCCCTGACTCCCCTTTAAAAAATAGCATCTCCCCTCCATGCTCTACCCCTTGCCCCACATAACGTTTCTTTATATCGCTTTTCATCACCTGACACAGTCAATATTTTCTTGTTTATTGTCTCTCTCTGCTACTAGAATACAGTACCCACAAGAGCAGAAACCTCATCTCTCTTGTTCTCTGCTCTAGATGCCTGGCACAGGGCAGGCCCTCAGTGAGTATTAAATGAATGAATGCCTTTGGCAGAGGAAGCTCAATAATAAAACACTTTCTTCACATCCCCAACTTTGTTCCTTTTCTTCCCCAAAGCCCAGGCCACTGGAAGCCCTTTTCTTCCTTCAAATATTCATTTCTCCAGGGTCATACTATGACTTTTGAGGGCTCTAAGCATTCTAGTCTTTGTGGGCCCCTTCTTCCATGAAACAATTATAAGTGATAATTATGAAGTCATAAATTAAAAATTATGTTCTATGACGGCATTGGTATAAAGATGCGTATACAGTCATGTAGCACATCATGACATTTTGGTCAGTGTGGGACTGCATATATGAGAGTGGTCTCATAAAATTATAATACCATACTTTTACTGTACCTTTTCTATGTTTAGATACACAAATACTTACCATTGTGTTACAATCACCTACAGTATTCAGTAGAGTAGGATACCGTACAGGTTTGTATCCTAGGAGCAATAGGCTGTACCACATAGCCTAGGTGTGTAGTAAGCGTCACCACCTAGGTTTGTGTAAGTGCACTCCATGATGTTTGCACAATAACAAACTTGTGCAAACTTCTCAAAAACCATGAATGACTCCCTACTACTAAGGAGAGAAATTATTTCAGTGGCTAAGACTTGACTAGCAGGTACCTAGAATGTCACCATTCTTTCACTTACAGTTTTCATTCTGGTTCAAATAATGACACATTTCTCAGAATGTATTCCCATCGTTAAGTGAGACATACCTGTGTTATTATATATATCCAAACTCTTCAACCTAAAAGTTTTTCTTTCTTTCGTATTTAAAATAAACTAAAACATTTATTATTGATTCAATTTTCAAATTTAAAAGGAAATTCTCAATAATTTATTGACCATAGTAACTTTCTACAGTAGTCCTCATTCCTGAAAAGATGTTTAAAAACCCAAAAACCTATAGTATAACTTAATTGATTTAAACTAGGGGTGAGTGAAAAGCTGTTTTTAAATGTTCTCCTGGTAATTCTAATATGCACGAATAGTTGAGGCCACTGTTCCAGATAATATATCCCAGTTTGCTCCCTCAGATCATTCCCTTCCTTCTCTAAGACATAATTTGAGGACATATTCATTCCAAAAGCTAACCATTTTAAAAATACCCCCTTGTTCCTATACCATACTGCTAAGTATACGTGAATTTTAGCTTTTTCCCTTCCATATCTTTCTAGCCCACATATTAAGATCTCAATTTTTCTTAAGAGATTCTCCCTTTTCATTCTGCTTTAATAGTATGTGTAGTCCTGGGTCCTGGGTGTGCCCACTCTGCCTTACAGATGAGTGGACCCAGCATTCTTCTCTGAATCTCATGAATCCTGTGGTTCCTATGCCGTGCTCTTTAGAGCTGGGCTGTCCGATGTGGTAGACACAAGTCACATGTGTCTTTTAAAATTTAAATGAATTAAAATAAGATAAAATGAAAAACTCAACTCCTCAATTGTACTAGCCGCATTTCAAGTGCTCAATAGCCAGCCATGCATGGCTCATGGCTCCCACCCTGGACAGCACAGAGACAGAACACTTCATCACTGCAGAAAGTTCTGCTGGAAAGCGCAGCTCTAGAGTGAACTCCAGCTACTCCAGGCCTCTGGGATGTCTCTCTTCCTAGAATATGGATCCTTATTCTGTGCTGGTGCTTGCATCCATCACCTACTAGACGAGTGAACCTGGGCACAGTCTTCAAATTATCCAAGCCTCAATTTCACAGTTACAGATTCAGAGTAATGAATGTCATAGGACAGATGATGATGGTACATCACTAACTGGTACTGAGTGTGTTCCAGTGCTAGGTATTTGCCGTACTTTACCTCATTCAGCCTTCTCAACAACTCCAGGAGGTGAGTACCATTATCTTCTCCCTTTGGCTGAAATCAGCAAGGTTAAATAACTACCCATGGCCACACAGTTGATAAACTGAGAGCTGGCATTTGAAACTAGGTCTGTCTGATTCCAGAGCCCGCTTTCTTAACTTTTAATTCTGTCCAGTACTGCATACTCTACCCAAAGACCAAGTGAGATAACACATGCAAATGCTTATTTGAAAATGTATAGATTATCATACAGATGTAAGACAGAATAATTTTTGTCATCAATAATAAAAAGAATACTAATAAATAATGGGACCTCATGTCCCAGCTCTCTTTCATCCATGTCCTAGATAAGGATTTCCTTTTTAGTCATTTCTAACTCCAGACTAGGACAGGCCTGACTTTTACAGTCAAATCCCCTAAGATGGCCTCTCTGCCAGCTGACACTTCAGACTGCCATTTACTGAGCCATTATTGGTTCTAATAAGGTGTTACTCTGCATCTTTCCTCCCTGTGCTTTCACCTGTCAAATTATCTGTTTTCCCTGCAGTCCTGGGAAGTAGGTAGGAGTAGCTATTATTATCTCCATTTTACAGACAGGCAAGTTGAGGCCCAGGAGAGATTGTGTGGCATTCTCAAGTCACAGGACCCATCAATGGCTCAAGCCACTGGCTCCTCTCCTGGCCACATCCAGTTGTTTTGTTATATGAGAATCTGACAGTGGCTGCCTACAAACTAACAAATGACTCACATGTTCATCCAAGTTTCTTGGAAGTAGATTAAGTCTCTCTACCCTCAGTGAATTCCAGTTGTCTTAAACCAATAGAGCTGGTGTTCAAGCCCTATCCACACCAGAGTGGGAGACTTGAATGCGAAAATCCCTTTTTTGGTCTAATGTTAGATTACTCATCCCAATGATGTAGCCCTGTCCTGGTTCTGCTTCTTCTCAAAAACCATCAATCACTCCCTACTACTAAGAAGAGAAATTATTTCAGTGGCTAAGACTTGACTAGCAGATACCTAGAATGTCACCATTCTTTCATTTACAATTTTTATTCTGGTTCAAAGCACAGTCCCTCTTAATTTATTTATCTCACCTCTTTAAGGTTTTTCATAAACAGAATATGTTTAGGATTCTTTCTTGAGAGCCACAAGAGCCAGTCTTAGCACTGAACACCTGGGGCAGAGGGGTGGGACAATTAGAGGGGTTTGGAATCACCCATCCATTACAGTCCTTCCCTCTATATGCACACACATTATTTACAGATGAGAAAAAAGGTCCACGGGGCTTAGGTGACTTACTTGACCAAGAACAGACAGAGAATGAGTGACTTTAGGTCTCAGCCTCCCAGAACCCAGGTCAGGGATCAGCTTATTACACTGACTCTCAAACAAGCATTGGCAGGTGTATAACCCTGATCCACAGAGAGGAAATCCCTTCGCTGCCATTGGGGGGCTCGTTTAGGGTCTGATAGAGACCATAGGCATGCACAGGCCAAAGAACCATGCCCGTATGAGTTGGAAGGGACTTCAGAATGCTTCTTATCTCCCCCAAGGACAAATATCCTCCTACAGTAGAATATGCTCCTCAGGTGGCCACCCAGATTCTGCTTGGATTCCCCCAGTGATGAGGAGCCCTCCACGTTCAAACTTTTATCAATGAGTTGGACAAAGACATGAATGTTACAACTATCAGGTTTCTGAATGTCGGAATCAAGATCCTGAGAAGCTGGAGTAGAGAGCTGAAACACAGGGTGAACTGAATCACAGCCTCTATAAAGCCCTACAGCACTAAGTTGCAGAAAATTAGCCTGCACAAGCATAGATCAGGGATGACGGAATAATTTGTCTGAAAGTCTTTTTTGTTTTGTTTTATTTTGAGATGGAGTCCTGCTCTGTTGCCAGGCTGGAGTGCAGTGGCGCGATCTCGGCTCACTGCAACCTCCAACTCCCTGGTTCAAGCGATTCTCCTGCCTCAGCCTCCCGAGTAGCTAGGATTATAGGCACATGCCACTGCGCCCAGCTAATTTTTGTATTTTTAGTAGAGACGGAGTTTCACCATGTTGGCCAGGATGGTCTTCATCTCCCGACCTTGTGATCTGCCCCGCTTGGCCTCCCAAAGTCCTGAGATCACAGGCATGAGCCACTGCGCCTGGCCTGAAAGTTTTTATTATCCACAAACTCAACAGTTAATAGTATAAGCCAGGTACTAAACAGTTGTATTACTAGGTAATATTTGTTGAAAACTATATCACGTATTGTGCTCGGCACTTATGTGCATTAACTAACTTTCATTCTTGAAACGACCTGCAGAAGTAGGGAAACTAAGGATCAGAGAAGGCAAGCCATTTGCCCAAGGTCACACAGCCAGAGCCTGTGTGTTGTTAGCCACCTTCTCCTGCCTTCCACATCTTTGAAATGGGGCTGGGAGTTACATGGAGGCAGAGTTGGTTCATACATATATCCTAAAAGGGTCCATTCATGGCCAGGTAGACACAGAACTAATGTACCCACACAATTATTCAAAAAATTGACTACTGAGTATGCATGTGTGCCCTCTTGTAAATGTGCACATTCACTCAGATGCAGGTCTCTTTCTGGGCCTGAGGAGCCAAGGAGCATGAGGCCCCACCCCAGACAAGTGCCTGCTCGCAGCTTCCCGGAACAGTCTGTGGCTAGGCCAGCAAGCTTAGACTCGACCAGAGACCAGTGGCTTCCTGCTGTGTTGGGGCACAGGCTGGACCTTCTCCAGAGGCTTCAGCGGACCCCACCCTCAACCCAGCCCAGGCTTTGATTCTGCCTTGGCATTAAAATCTAATAACGAATATGTCTTGAGTTTTGTCTACATACCAGGCACTGTGCTGAGTACATTAACGTGCACGATCTTATGTAGTCTCCATAAAACCCTATGAATATGAATGCAGTACTCTTAAGAGCCCTCTCTCACAGATGAAAAAGCTGAGGTTCAGGAATATTGAGTAACTTTCTAAGGTTGAACAGGTAGCAAGTGGTAGAGCTGTGATTTGAAATCAAACAGTCAGATTCATAAGTGACCACAGCTCTTTCCAGAAGCACAGTCAGGAGGAAAGAACCTGGCTCTAATTCTCACCCTGTGACTTTGGGCAAGTCTCTTTCTTTCTTTGGGACTTTATTTTCCAGCTTCCAAAAGGAAGGAATGATCATGAAAGGCTCTTTCAGCGTTCATTCTGTCATTGTGTTTCCTAAGTCTAGATTCTTCCATTTCTCAACTAGTATTGATTGAGCCTGGTTCTATACCAGGCACTGTTCTAGGCACTAGGGAATTCATCTGTGAATAAGATACACAGAGCTCCTCTCTTCATGGAGTCCAAGAAGACAGTCATTAAACAAATAAACAAGAAAATATTGGGTAGTGATATATGTCATGAAGAAAATAGGGCAAAGTGATAAAGAGGGGAATTGACAGGAAGTCTACTCCAAACAGGAGCTCAGGAGGTGACATTTAAGCTGAAAACTGAATGACAAGAAGGAATTATTCATGTGAGAATCTTAAGGGAAGCAGTAAGTGCAAAGGCCCCGAGGCAGGTCTGGGTTTTGTGTGGCTGCAGCTTGTGAACTGGAGAAGTAGCATGGGCCCAGGAGGTGCAGAGCCTTCTAGGCCAGGGCAAGGAGTTTCTATTTTAATCTAAGTGCTATGGGAAGCCACTGGAAAGTGTTAAGCAGGGAAGTCATATGAATTGATGTACGTTTACACAAGATGTTTTAAAATAGTGGTCCCTGGGTGTTGTGAACTAGGAAGGTAGTACAAGGAGCCTAACATGCTTCTGCGCCCTGCAAGCTTGTTCACTCATCTAAACCTGGGGCCAGGAAACAGCTGTGCAGACACTGTTCCCTCCCTCAGCAAACTACTCCCCAGGTGTGCAGGTCCTACAGCCTGGGCAGGTCATGGGCACCAAGCCACCATCCAAGGGTGCATTCTCTCTGCATTTTATCCTCCTCCAGGGAGATCCCTCCCCTTCCCCTTCCCTACAGCTCATCTTAACGGCGCCTGCATTGCAAGGCACCGGTGCAGCCATCGAGCAGAGTATCTTGCTGGGGCCTGCCCAACACGGGTGCTGACCTGGTGAACAGGAAGCTCTCCACACAGCAGGGCAGGCAGGGCTGGGAGGCTGCGTGCACCCTGGGCTCACAGAGCTGTGGAGCCAGTGGACCTGGGACTGGGGTGAGGACTCACTTTCCCTTGGGGTTTCAACTTCAAAAGCAATGCCATCCTGCATGGGTTGGGGGCTGAATGACTCAGGCGTCCCCTTCTGCTTGTGGGGGCTGGGTCAGGGGTAGGGTGAGTGTGGCTTTTGCCTGGGGCTGGCCCCACTATGGGCTGCAGCTCTAAGCATGGAAGGACAGTAGTGGGCAGGCAGGGCGGGAAACGTACAGCAGCTCTTTCTGCCACTAACTTTCAGACCTCGAATGAAGAATCTGCCACCTTCCTGCCCTCTCTTTTCTGAGGTGCCTAAGCTTAGGGCACCACCAACAGAATCTCAGGAGTTGGGAGGCGGGTGGTAGGGAAGCTCGAAGGGTGGGACATATTGAAATTATTTTCTGTCACAGGCCTTCAGACCCCGATTTAGGCAGACTTTTCTATTCCTGCCTCTTATCTCGGAATGCTGTCAGCATGATCTTGGGGAACCCTGTGCCCAGTTCACACAGGACTCTGGCAAGACGGGGCTCCAAGCCTCTCCTTCCCCCTTTGCCTTGGAAGTTTAACTCTTCCTTGGCTTTGAAGAGCAAGGCAACTGGAAAATCAGGTCTGGCCAGTTTCATCCAAGAATGCTCCAGCGCATCTGGCTGGCAGCCATGAAGCTCCTAGGAATCAAGGCTCCCAGGGGCAAGCCAGGCATCAGCCTGGTGCACCAGACCTACACATGGCCCTGCCAAACCCTGCCCCGCTCCTCCTGCCCCTTGCCCCATCCTTGGCCCTGGTGAGTCTCACATTTTCACCCAGGCTGGAGTTCGGGGATGGGCTCTGTGGGAAACAGCAAGGGTCTAAGAGAGGCGAAGCATTTATTCATGATCAGTTCAACAAGAACTAACTCCCAGGGACTAGTTCTTACCCGGCCACACACTGTGTGACTTGGAGCTTGACTGATCTCGACTCTGGGGCTCTATTTCCCCATCTATACTCATCTATGATGAAAAGCAGGGACAGAAGCCCATCATCTCTAATGTCCATTTCAACTCAGACATTCCAGGAGCCTGGGAGTTTTCATGTTCCAGGTTACATGATGAGTCAGAGTCATGCCCTGTCTATAAGGGACATGTGGTGAAACAGGTATAAATAGGACTGGGGCAAGGAGGCAACCCTGGTCTGTGCAAGGAGCTCCCACTAGCTATAAGGCCCTGGGCAGCTCCCTTCCTTTTATGAACCTTAGTTTCCTATTATCAATAATGGCTGACATTAAATTAGAACTGACAATAAACTAGGCACTCTGATAAGTCATTTACCTTTATTATTTCACTGAATTTTCACAACAATCCTAAGAGATTGATGATTTTCTTATCCTTATTCTACAGAAGGTGAAATGAAGGCTCATGAGGTTAAATAACTTGCTCTAAAAGTCACCTACCTAGCAAATGACAGAGGCAGGGCTGACAGCCAGGCAGCCTGATGCCACGCCTGGGATCTTGGTCACTTTGCTTTCCTGCAGCCTCTGCATGTGCGGAAACAGCTCAGTTTGGCTAGAGCTCAGCCCCAGTGGAAAGGCCTTGTAGGAAGGAGAGAGAATAGTAGTTTAGAACCAGATAGCTAAACTTGGTTCCTGGCTAAGAGTTGGGACTATCTCACCATCGCCCAAGGAGTCACAGAAAGTTTTTGGGAAAAAAGAGTAAGAGTTCAGGACTGTGTTCTAGCTGCTGAGTGTCTTTGAGAGAGCATTTTGAACTAGTCTGCTATTCTTCAGCCACGGGGTTTCTCAACCATGGCACTATTGACATTGGGGCTGGATAATTCTGTTGCAGGGCTGATATGGTTTGGCTGTGTTCCCACCCAAATCTCATCTTGAATTGTGGCTCCCATAATCCCCCTGTATCATGGGAGGGATCCAGTGGGAGGTAATTGAATCATGGGGGTGTGTTTTTCTCATGCTGTTCTCGTGATAGTGAATAAGTCTCATGAGATCTGATGGTTTTACAAAGGGGAGTTCCCCTGCCTACGCGCTCTTGCCTGCTGCCAAGTAAGATATGACTTTGCTTTTCCTTTGCCTTCTGCCATGATTATGGGGCCTCCCCAGTCATGTGGAACGGTGAGTCCATTAAACCTCATTCCTTTATAAATTACCCAGTCTCAGGTATGTCTTTATTCTCAGTGTGAGAACTGACTCACACAAAGGCACTGTCCTATGCATTGTAGGTTGTTTAGCAGTATCCCCAGCCTCTACCTGCCAGATGCCATTAGCACCACCACTCCCAAGCTGGGTCAGCCAAAAGTATCTTCAGACATTGCCAAGTGTCCCTTGAGGGTCAAAATCACCTCCAGTTAAGAATCACAGCAGTAGAAACCATTTTTTCCCCCTAACTTGCACCCTGTCTTTTATTTTCTGCCCAGGGTTTCGGGAGTTTTCCACCATGACTATTGCCCTGCTGGGTTTTGCCATATTCTTGCTCCATTGTGCGACCTGTGAGAAGCCTCTAGAAGGGATTCTCTCCTCCTCTGCTTGGCACTTCACACACTCCCATTACAATGCCACCATCTATGAAAATTCTTCTCCCAAGACCTATGTGGAGAGCTTCGAGAAAATGGGCATCTACCTCGCGGAGCCACAGTGGGCAGTGAGGTACCGGATCATCTCTGGGGATGTGGCCAATGTATTTAAAACTGAGGAGTATGTGGTGGGCAACTTCTGCTTCCTAAGAATAAGGACAAAGAGCAGCAACACAGCTCTTCTGAACAGAGAGGTGCGAGACAGCTACACCCTCATCATCCAAGCCACAGAGAAGACCTTGGAGTTGGAAGCTTTGACCCGTGTGGTGGTCCACATCCTGGACCAGAATGACCTGAAGCCTCTCTTCTCTCCACCTTCGTACAGAGTCACCATCTCTGAGGACATGCCCCTGAAGAGCCCCATCTGCAAGGTGACTGCCACAGATGCTGATCTAGGCCAGAATGCTGAGTTCTATTATGCCTTTAACACAAGGTCAGAGATGTTTGCCATCCATCCCACCAGCGGTGTGGTCACTGTGGCTGGGAAGCTTAACGTCACCTGGCGAGGAAAGCATGAGCTCCAGGTGCTAGCTGTGGACCGCATGCGGAAAATCTCTGAGGGCAATGGGTTTGGCAGCCTGGCTGCACTTGTGGTTCATGTGGAGCCTGCCCTCAGGAAGCCCCCAGCCATTGCTTCGGTGGTGGTGACTCCACCAGACAGCAATGATGGTACCACCTATGCCACTGTACTGGTCGATGCAAATAGCTCAGGAGCTGAAGTGGAGTCAGTGGAAGTTGTTGGTGGTGACCCTGGAAAGCACTTCAAAGCCATCAAGTCTTATGCCCGGAGCAATGAGTTCAGTTTGGTGTCTGTCAAAGACATCAACTGGATGGAGTACCTTCATGGGTTCAACCTCAGCCTCCAGGCCAGGAGTGGGAGCGGCCCTTATTTTTATTCCCAGATCAGGGGCTTTCACCTACCACCTTCCAAACTGTCTTCCCTCAAATTCGAGAAGGCTGTTTACAGAGTGCAGCTTAGTGAGTTTTCCCCTCCTGGCAGCCGCGTGGTGATGGTGAGAGTCACCCCAGCCTTCCCCAACCTGCAGTATGTTCTAAAGCCATCTTCAGAGAATGTAGGATTTAAACTTAATGCTCGAACTGGGTTGATCACCACCACAAAGCTCATGGACTTCCACGACAGAGCCCACTATCAGCTACACATCAGAACCTCACC
This sequence comes from Homo sapiens, assembly GCF_000001405.40. Taxonomy (NCBI): domain Eukaryota; kingdom Metazoa; phylum Chordata; class Mammalia; order Primates; family Hominidae; genus Homo; species Homo sapiens. The sequence goes on along the minus strand of NC_000005.10, from coordinate 151,567,621 downwards.
GGGCCAGGCCTCCACCGTGGTGGTCATTGACATTGTGGACTGCAACAACCATGCCCCCCTCTTCAACAGGTCTTCCTATGATGGTACCTTGGATGAGAACATCCCTCCAGGCACCAGTGTTTTGGCTGTGACTGCCACTGACCGGGATCATGGGGAAAATGGATATGTCACCTATTCCATTGCTGGACCAAAAGCTTTGCCATTTTCTATTGACCCCTACCTGGGGATCATCTCCACCTCCAAACCCATGGACTATGAACTCATGAAAAGAATTTATACCTTCCGGGTAAGAGCATCAGACTGGGGATCCCCTTTTCGCCGGGAGAAGGAAGTGTCCATTTTTCTTCAGCTCAGGAACTTGAATGACAACCAGCCTATGTTTGAAGAAGTCAACTGTACAGGGTCTATCCGCCAAGACTGGCCAGTAGGGAAATCGATAATGACTATGTCAGCCATAGATGTGGATGAGCTTCAGAACCTAAAATACGAGATTGTATCAGGCAATGAACTAGAGTATTTTGATCTAAATCATTTCTCCGGAGTGATATCCCTCAAACGCCCTTTTATCAATCTTACTGCTGGTCAACCCACCAGTTATTCCCTGAAGATTACAGCCTCAGATGGCAAAAACTATGCCTCACCCACAACTTTGAATATTACTGTGGTGAAGGACCCTCATTTTGAAGTTCCTGTAACATGTGATAAAACAGGGGTATTGACACAATTCACAAAGACTATCCTCCACTTTATTGGGCTTCAGAACCAGGAGTCCAGTGATGAGGAATTCACTTCTTTAAGCACATATCAGATTAATCATTACACCCCACAGTTTGAGGACCACTTCCCCCAATCCATTGATGTCCTTGAGAGTGTCCCTATCAACACCCCCTTGGCCCGCCTAGCAGCCACTGACCCTGATGCTGGTTTTAATGGCAAACTGGTCTATGTGATTGCAGATGGCAATGAGGAGGGCTGCTTTGACATAGAGCTGGAGACAGGGCTGCTCACTGTAGCTGCTCCCTTGGACTATGAAGCCACCAATTTCTACATCCTCAATGTAACAGTATATGACCTGGGCACACCCCAGAAGTCCTCCTGGAAGCTGCTGACAGTGAATGTGAAAGACTGGAATGACAACGCACCCAGATTTCCTCCCGGTGGGTACCAGTTAACCATCTCGGAGGACACAGAAGTTGGAACCACAATTGCAGAGCTGACAACCAAAGATGCTGACTCGGAAGACAATGGCAGGGTTCGCTACACCCTGCTAAGTCCCACAGAGAAGTTCTCCCTCCACCCTCTCACTGGGGAACTGGTTGTTACAGGACACCTGGACCGCGAATCAGAGCCTCGGTACATACTCAAGGTGGAGGCCAGGGATCAGCCCAGCAAAGGCCACCAGCTCTTCTCTGTCACTGACCTGATAATCACATTGGAGGATGTCAACGACAACTCTCCCCAGTGCATCACAGAACACAACAGGCTGAAGGTTCCAGAGGACCTGCCCCCCGGGACTGTCTTGACATTTCTGGATGCCTCTGATCCTGACCTGGGCCCCGCAGGTGAAGTGCGATATGTTCTGATGGATGGCGCCCATGGGACCTTCCGGGTGGACCTGATGACAGGGGCGCTCATTCTGGAGAGAGAGCTGGACTTTGAGAGGCGAGCTGGGTACAATCTGAGCCTGTGGGCCAGTGATGGTGGGAGGCCCCTAGCCCGCAGGACTCTCTGCCATGTGGAGGTGATCGTCCTGGATGTGAATGAGAATCTCCACCCTCCCCACTTTGCCTCCTTCGTGCACCAGGGCCAGGTGCAGGAGAACAGCCCCTCGGGAACTCAGGTGATTGTAGTGGCTGCCCAGGACGATGACAGTGGCTTGGATGGGGAGCTCCAGTACTTCCTGCGTGCTGGCACTGGACTCGCAGCCTTCAGCATCAACCAAGATACAGGTACTGGGGGTGGGGTAGGGTGGGGTGCCAGGGCCAGAGGTAGATGGGCTGAAGGAAAAAGAAGTCAGCCTGCGGGCTGAAGGAAAAAGGAGTCAGCCTGCAGGCTGAAATGAAAGGCAATAAATAGGGATTCTTTTTCCTGTGTATTTTATTTTTAATTTGTTTTTACTGGGAATATATGTCTATATATGTGCATATACACATACACATATATGCACATATATTACATATTCTGTTTATAAAAGTAATACATCTGATTATAAATTTTTTATATAAAATTTAAAAACGAATGCTCCCCCATGTTCCATCACCCCAGATATAATCTTTATTAACAATTTGGTCTATAATCTTCTAAAGTTTCTTTCTTTGTATCTTATATATCATATATTGTTCATTTTATTATTATGAAAATACAGTATAATAGACACTATTCTAAAATTTACTTTTTTCATGTCATATAATATCAAGACATTTTATTTGTCAGTTCATTTGTTTTAATTGGCCACATATTATTCTACCATGTAGGTGTAATATTCTTATTTATATACTTTTACTTATATGCCTGGGTCTCTACAGAAAAAAATTCTTTTCTTTTTTTGAGATGGAGTCTTGCTCTGTCACCCAGGCTGGAGTGAAGTGGTTCGATCTCGGCTCATTGCAACCTCCGTCCCCCGAGTTCAAGCGATTCTCCTGCCTTAGGCTCCCGAAAGTAGCTGGAATTACAGGCACCCACCACCATGCCCGGCTAACTTTTGTATTTTTAGTAGAAACGGGTTTTTGCCATGTCGGCCAGGCTGGTCTCAACCTCCTGACCTCAGGTGATCCACCCGTCTTGGCCTCCCAAAGTGCTAGGACTACAGGCATGAGCCACCATGCCCGGCCGAAAAATTCTTAAAAATGAAGTTTCTAGGTCAGAGGATAATGTGCATCTTCTGTGTTAATAAGTATTTCCAAATTGCTCTCCAAAAAGGTGACACAACCACATTCCTTTTTTTAAGTTTCAAGGAAAGTAAGTGTAAGTCAGCACTGTTCGAGTGCCCACTACTGGTAAGGCCCTAAGATAGGTACCTGGGGGAGATCCCACGTGAATAAAGGCAGATCACTGCCTTCAAGGAGTTTGCAATTTGGTAGGTGATTTATTTCCACCAAAACCAAGTTGTAATAACTTGTTCTCAATGTTGGCTTTCAGCAACCTTTGTCTCTTAATGCCAGCCACTGAAAGAAAACAGCTTAATTTAATTAAGCTGTTTAATTAGAAAGAGCATTAGATTAAGAGTCAATCCCAGACCCAGTTCTTCCACATACTTGCTACATGATCTTGGTCAAGTCGTGCTCCCTCTCTGAGCCTCAGTTTCCCCAGCGGTCGTCTCTGTTATGCTATGGCTGTGAGCATGGGCCACGCCCTCTCACACAGGCCCTGCCAGTACAGCATGATCCATGAGAACTTCAGGTGTAAGCTTCTTTTACTCATTCTTGGACCCTCAACTTCTAGAACAGTGCTAGCCCATCGTAAGCAATTTGTGGAGGGAATGAACTAAAAAATGAAGCTCAGCCCCTTAAAATCATGAAAATGATGGAGAAGGGAATGGCAATTTATTCTTCAAATTCCTAACCCTGAAATTGATTATCTACCAGGACATAAAGTGTGAAGGAAACAGTTTAAGGACAACTATAAGAAAACCTCACTTACAGAATGTGAAATAGATCAATGGAATTTGGGTTTAAGTAGCCAAGAGAAAGTAGATAAACTACCACTGTCTTCTGAAAACCCTAAATATGCTCACATGCTAAAGGCATGCGTCCATTTTAGCAGAGGAAGGCTCTGAGAGGTTCTAGAATAAGGATATTAATTCCCCTGTGTTCAACTCAGCATCTCCCACATTATACTGGTAGAAGCAGTTCCTTCTTTTCATAGAAAATCTACTTATTAATACCCTTTCCACAGTGCGGTTTGGGGAATGGTGGGTAAGGGTGATTTCTAAAGCCACTTTGAGCTCTAAAGTATTTTGGGTTTGCTGACTTACTGTCCCTAGGAATGATTCAGACTCTGGCACCCCTGGACCGAGAATTTGCATCTTACTACTGGTTGACGGTATTAGCAGTGGACAGGGGTTCTGTGCCCCTCTCTTCTGTAACTGAAGTCTACATCGAGGTTACGGATGCCAATGACAACCCACCCCAGATGTCCCAAGCTGTGTTCTACCCCTCCATCCAGGAGGATGCTCCCGTGGGCACCTCTGTGCTTCAACTGGATGCCTGGGACCCAGACTCCAGCTCCAAAGGGAAGCTGACCTTCAACATCACCAGTGGGAACTACATGGGATTCTTTATGATTCACCCTGTTACAGGTAAGGATCCAAAAAGCTGGGTGAACAGGGATCTCTACAATGGTGGTTCTCAAATTGTGGGCCCAAATCGGCACCATCAGCATTACTGTGAACTTGGAAATTCAAATTCTCTGGCCCCACCCTAAATCCACTGAATCAAAATTTCGAGGGTGAGGCCCAGCAATCCGTGTTTTCACAAGACATGCAGGTGATTCTGATGTGTTTCAAATGTGTACTAACATTTGACAATGCTGTTCTACAAAGTCCATCTCTATGTGAAAATGAAAAGGATCTGTCTTCATGTTTCTTTCCTTGGGGCCCAAGGAAACTAAGCAGGTTGCCCATTGGTCAACCTGAGACTAGTTAGACCTCCAAGTGGTCCCAACCTGACTCTCTCCTGAGTCATGAGCCACAGGTTGAATCCCTTAACCCTAGTTCCAGACTGATCTCAACCCCGCCCAGAGTGCTGGCAATGTGAATCCACTTATGTTGTCAACCATCTCAGGAGCACCTGCCCAAAGCCTTCTGGGACAAGGATGGTGGATGGTTGGGAGAAATCCAGATGTTGGCAGCTGGCAGCAGTGAGTCAGACATTGCTCTTAGAGGTGTTTTGTTTGATTTGCTTAAGCTTTAAACAATTATTTTTTAAGTTGCAGCCAACACATAAAATTAGAAAATTCCACAAAACATTCCAGGTTTCTGGTTGTTTTTTAAAAATGGAAGGATCTGGCCACATTGTCTTCACAGTCCCGCTGGGCCACAGTGGCCCGGAGCCAACAGCTGCTCCCTTTGTAGACCTGGCACAGAAGCTCTGATCCCTGCAGGTCCTGCCATCCCCTGTTGTGTTACTCCCAGCCTGCGTCCCTCATTGACACCACCTGCCTGGCTTTCCTTGGTGCTGCAGTGTGAGAGCTGGGTCCCATTGCTGCAGACACTTCTTAAAGCCTCATCTTCCTCTTGGGGGAGGAACAACAATCCTATTGTAGAGAAGGCTGACATATTCCCCACTGAACCCAACATCCTGTTTTCCGTCTCCAACAATTTACTCTTGTCGGAGAAGGATGGAACCTGGTGAGATTGGAGGAAAGGAAGAATGCGAGCGGGCAGTCCCTTTATTCTTAAGACAAAAGGTAACCAGGAGGAGGATGACGCTGGGACTCCTGGAGCAGACAGAGGGGTGGGTGAGATGTAAGTGCCTATTTGCCTGGTAACATTTATTGTCAACCTTTCCTGTTAACCTTTGACCTCAGGGTGTGAAGTAGTTCTAGGAGGAGGATGCTTTTCTCCTGGAAAACAGGCTGAAGCTGGCTCTCTACCTGGGCCTACCCTGTCCCTCCCTGTCCCTCCCTCTTCAGGAGTGGGAAGAGATCTCTCACCTAAGGCATTAACTTCTCAGCTTCTTCCAAATCATTGTTCTGTTTACTATCAACAGTTCCCTGACAGCAGGTCTGGCAAAATGCCCTAGAGGGCAGAGATGTTCTTAGCCTTCCTGCAGTTGAAAGGAAGAAATCTTTATAAGCATGAACACTTTCAAAAGTAGAACAAATCACCAATGCGCCCCCAGCCCACCTTTCTCATCACCACCATTACTTTGTCCCACTTCCCTACTTGGATGCCTTGTATGGCTTCCCTGTGCTCTTAAGCTAAAGTCAGTAAGCCAGACACAGTGGCTCACACCTGCGATCCCAGCACTTGGGGAGGCCGAGGTAGGAGGATCGCTTGAGCCCAGGAGTTTAAGAGCTGCTTGGGCAACATGGCGAAATCCCATCCGTACAAAACATACAAAAATTAGCCTGGTGTGATGGTGTGCACCTGAAGTCTCAGCTATTCAGAAGGCTGAGGTAGCAAGATGGCTTGAGCCTGGGAGGTTGAGGCTACAGTGACCCATGATCGCATCACTGGTCTCCAGCCTGGGTGACAGAACAAGAGCCTGTCTCAGAAAGAAAAAAAAAAGAGAGAGAAAGTCAGATTCTGCTGTGTCCTACAAAGTCATGCCTGGTCTGTCCTTGCTGACCTCTCTGGCCTCATCTTGCCCCTCTCCTGCTGCCCCTCCCCATGTTCCAGTCACATGGCCTGCCTCAGTCCGGGCCCCTCCACGCAGGACTTTGCATGTGCCATTCTGTTTAACAGGGGACTCTTCTCTCCTTTTGTCTGGTCAATTCCCGCTCTTCTTTCAGATTCCAGCCTAGCTGTTCTTTCCTTAGAGAAGTTTTTCCTGATACCCTAACACACTTTCCAGCACCACCTACTCCTTTTTGCGACATTTATCATACAGGACGTTATATTCACTTGTGTGATTATCCCATTAATCATCTGTGTCCCTCACTAGACTTCAAAGTTATCCCATTAATCATCTGTGTCCCTCACTAGACTTCAACGTTCCCTGAGAAAAGGGACCCTAACTGTTGGTGCCCACCATAATTTCTTCAGTACCTGTCACACAGTAGGAGCTCAACAAATAATTGCTAAATGGATGAATGAATCTCTGCCAGCATCCACAATGTTTTGTTAAGCCCAAGATTCATTCACGTACTCAGCAAATGTTTAAAGGTGTCTGACCTTACTAGGCTTCTAAACAATGTGCTGTGGAGTTATATGAAGATAAATAAAACACAGTTTCAGGTCTTGAGAAATTCAGTCCATTAGGAGCATGAAGATTTGGATATAAACACAATAGAACCAGTTTGAAAGGGCATAACATCGTAAACTATGTGTAGATACAGTGCCCTGGCCACTCAGAAGAAGGAGGAAGCTGCTCTGGGTGGTGGATCTGCAAGGGCTTCATGGAACAGGGGTGGTTATGCTGAGCTGGAGGGTGGGAGGATTTTGAGAGGCAGCAGTCCGGGAGAGCAAATGGGCGAGGGTGACGACACAGGTGCTATCTGAGAGGGAGGAAGACCCTGATCTTGTTGAAGACAATGCAAGTAGATGGACTTTCTCAAGGTTTATCTCAGTTCCACCGCTTATAAATAATGACATCTTGGGAAAGTGAGTTACCTGCTCTATGCTTGAGTTTTCTCACCAGTGAAATGGAGATTATAATAGAGACCACCTGGGCTGTTGTGAGAATTAAATGAGTTAATATACAAAGCTATAGAAAGAGCTTAGCTGAATGCCTGTGCATGTGAGAGCTCCAAAAGGGTTGGTTCTTTGATGCTGCAGGAGGGAAGAAGAGGAAGATGAAGATGGAAAGGCAGCTTGGGCAAGACCTAGATTGTGGTGACTCAGGGTAAGAGGAGTTAAAGATCAGGAATCTATCACAGGTGGAATCAACAACAGTTGGAAAACTGTTGGATGAGGGAAGATGAAAGGTCATATATGGGTCTGAGATAGGGTGTTGGGGAAACATTTGTTTGGAGGAGAAAAATGGTAAGAGTGAAGTCCACTGAGCGCCACCTCATCCAGGAAGGGTGAGAGGGGTTTTCTATGCACCTTAGTGAACATGCACACAGCCCTATGGAGGTGGTTCTGCTATGTCCCCATTCTATTCAGGCACTTCCTGGGAACCCTGATACTGACTTCAGAGAGGAGGATGAGGATGAGAATAGGGGCAACTGGGCAGGATACCTCGGGGCATTGATTCCAGAGGCACAGGACCTTAGAAGGTCAGGGGAGGCAGTGGTGAGAGGCAGAAGTAGAAAAGAAAAACCAAATGGGGTTGGGGGAGAGAGGGAGAGAGAGACAGACACACACACACAGAGAGAGAGGCTGAGATTCAGAGGCACAGGGGGAGAAGAGAGAGAGGAAGAGCTGGAAGAGAGGAGGAGGATGGTGAAGGAGAAACACAGAAAAGAGAGCAAAGGGAGAGGAGAGAAGGGCAGGGAGGAAAGGAAGGGATGGAGCCAGATAGAAGGCTTACCTGCCAAGACCCCCTAGTCCTTGTGCTCTTCCTGGGGGACCCCAGGCCCTAGGCCCTTCCCCATGAGGCCCCTCAGCTTGGGGCCAAGCTGGGACAGTATCCAGACCCTCCTGTCCTACAGGAGTGTGTCTTTCCTTCCACTTGTCCTCCTTCTTTGACTGGAAGGGCGCCTGAGTGTGGAGCTTCTCAGGAGCCTTCTCCAATCCCTTGCACGCCAAACTTCAGTTAGGGAAGAAAAAGCCGGAATGACTTGCGTTCAACTGCACAAGGCGAGAACACGCCCCCGACAGAGCCCACATCCTCACACCACACTCCCATTGCCATGACTGGAGGCTCTGGCCCAGAACTGAATCCCTGTTCCCCTCGCTGAGCTCCCAGCTCTGTCACTGAGCCCCCCAGGGAAACTCTGGGCTCTTCACTGAGCTTCTTTTTCTACACTTAATTCCATTATCTCAATCACTTCATCACCTAAACAAGATCAAGAAAGTGAAAGTGTTCAGATGTTCCATTAACCTCGACCAGTAGCTCTGCTTTCATTTACAAGAGACCGTCCACACCAGCCACGGCCTCTTAGGCCATGGCTTTGGATGACCTTCTGGGCCCCTGAAAACCTCCACCTCAACTTCCCTGAATCTTGCAGAGAGCTAGCGCCTTCTCTACCCAACTTCTTCAATTACGGATGAACTGAGAGGAGCCCAGAGGAGCCCCCTCTCTATTTATCTGCACCAGCCTGTCATGGGAAGAGCCAGTACTAGGACCCTAGTGAATAATAATAATAATAAATGGGGAAAATGCTGTCACTTCATGGTTTCTCTGAAACGGAAGGCAATAGTTGTTATTTCTGCTGTAGCTCCTGACAAGCTGCTTTTTTTTTTTTAAAGGAGTCTCGCTCTGTTGCCCAGGCTGGAGTGCAGTGGTGAGATCTTGGCTCACTGCAACCTCTGCCTCCTGGGTTCAAGCAATTCTCCTGTCTCCTAGTAGCTGGGACTACAGGCACACGCCACAACATCCAGCTAATTTTTTTTGTATTTTTAGTAGAGATGAAGTTTCACCATATTGGTCAGGCTGGTCTCGAACTCCTTACCTCAGGTGATCCGCCCGCTTCGGCCTCCCAAAGTGCTGGCATTACAGGTGTGAGCCACCGTGCCCAGGCGACAAGCTGCCTTTTTTACTCAACAATATATTGTGTGCAGCATTTCCCCATCTACAGAATGTATTTTGAATAGTTGCTTAAGATTCCTTTTTATGTAAAATGTATACAACTCTTCCCTTATATGGATTGTGTCCAATTATTGGCTTTTTAAAACGTGACTCAGGTGAACACCGTGTGAACTCATCTTCCCAGATGTATGCACTGATTTCCTTAGAATACATTCCTTAAAGTGGCATGAGAAGTTCAGAACTTAAGCCAGAAAGATGTTAAAGGTCACCGAATTCAACTCCTTTTGCAGAGGAGGCTGGGGTTGAAATAAGGTTGGGAGAAATAAGCAGGAGCTTCCTGGAGTCAAGGCGAGGCACAGAGGGGATTAGTGGGTCCCCTGTAAGGAACCTGAGGCTGGAGCTGGGGGTTGGCAGGGCCATAGGAGGGGAAGGGAGAGGCTGAGGCAGGAGGTAGCGTCCTTCCTGGAGGCCTCCCAATCCCAAAGACCCTGAATGCTTTCCCAGCCTCACCATGACCCCTAACCCATTCCTATCCCAACATATGAATTCTCAGAATTGAATTGGTTGTCAGGACTTTTTCAGATGTAAAGATAGAAACCCAATGCAGGTTGGCTGAGGCAATAAAAGACATTTGTTTTCTTACTTTACAGAAAATTCCAAACATAGTATGGCTGCAGGCACAGCTGTAGCCAGTGTTGGAATAATGTAATGAAGGCGCTGCCTCTGCTTATCTCTTGGCCTCATTTTCTCTGAGTGGGTCTAGCCTCAGGAGTCCCTCTTCTTGTTGCTGTCAGGCTTCCTTCTGTTCTCTCAGCACAGCAGCAGAAAAAAGTCTCTTTCTAGAGCTCTTGCAAAAGTCCCAGAATGGATTCTCATCAGACAGACGGGTCCCTTGTCTATTGCAGAGCCAGTTGCAAGGGCCAGGGGGATAGTCTGTGCTGACTGGCTATCCTTGGGCTATAAACTTCTCCCCAGGCGGGTCAGCCTCACCCCAGATAATGAAGGACTAAAGCTAGGAATGGTTCTAATTCCTAATTAGAACCTAATTCTCCTGGTTTCCCCTCAGGAGAACTGGGGTTTGTTTATTGAAAGAAGAGGGAATGAATGATGAGCAGAAGACATCCAGATGCAAACATGTTCCATAGATTTTAGTGACGAGGAACCAAAACTGCATCACAGCAGTGCTGACATTGACCCTTGTGCACCAGTAACCCTACTGGTTGCTTCCAGCTGGCAACCATCCTGACGGGAGGCTGCTCGTGGTGGGCCGATTGCTGAAGTTTTGATGTATCACCCCTGCCTAATAGAGAAAGCAGGAAGTAGCTGGGAACTTCACCTGACACATTATCTCTGCTGTTCTCTCCCAGCTCCTCACTTCCCCCTTGCTTTCCCCCGAGTTTCATTTCCCCTTAGTGTTCTGATGCTCCTCAGCCTACAGTGAGGTCATATTCCAATAGATCCATCATAAGTTGAAAATGCTGTAAGTCTAAACTGTGTTTAAACACCGAACCTACAGAACATGATACCTTAGCCTTGCCTACCTCGTATGCGCTCAGAACACTTGCATTAGCCTACAGGGGGCAAAATCATCTCACATAAAGCCTATTTTAAAATAAAGTATTGAATATTTCAACACTTCAGTATTTGTACTCAATACTTCAGTATTTGAATACTGAAGTGAAAGTAAAAAACAGAATGTATGGGTACTTGAAGTATGGTTTGTACTGAATGTGTATCACTTCCACACCATGATAAAGTAGGAAATTTAAGTTGAACTATCCTAAGTCAGGGATGGTCTTTACATGTTCTTCAAAGATCAGAAGAATTCTTATCTGAGATTTGAATGTAATTCTTGAAGTTGCCTCAGTAAAGTGGCCCTGAAAGTCTTCTGCTCATGTCTCTCCCTTATCATCTCTCTCTCAGGTCTCCTATCTACAGCCCAGCAGCTGGACAGAGAGAACAAGGATGAACACATCCTGGAGGTAAGTAATGGTGGTGAATCCATTTGTGGTGATTTGTGGAGCCATGTTAGGCCTTGGAGCCACGTGCATGTCTAGCACTGTGGCTGAGGAGGGTCTGGGTTCAGGGAGGAAGATATACGTGAGCTGAACCTTGCTGGATGATCCTTGGATCTTTGCTAGCTCCTCAGCACTGAGAAGGGAAGGAGTCTGAAACTGTGCCCAGGCTGGGTAGGCACCATTGATTGATTAGTGATGCCTGCAGGGAGTGAAGGAGAGGGGAGCAGTACATGTGTGCTATGTACTTACCGAGTCCAGTCCATCCCTCCTGGCTCAGGCAGACAGAATCATTCTCGGTCAAACACTAGGTCAGTAGCAGAGCCAGGATGAAAACCAGACCTTTGTCTTCTAGATCTGTGCTCTTTCTAGGATGCCTCTAAAATCACATAGGCATTCCTGGTGCCTGTTTCAATGAAAGGCTTTGGTT